>NC_000004.12:7571489-7877986 GCF_000001405.40 Homo sapiens
CTCAGGGGATGAGATGAGGGACCCGCAAAATTCTACCTGGGCAGTCCCGTGGGACTACTATGAGAAATGGAAAGTGGGTCATGGAAGGCTTCCTGGAGGAGGTGACAGTGGGCAGAGGTGGTCTGCCCATTCCCTGAGCAAGTGGAGGAGGGCTGAGGCAGGGACTGGGGCCGAGAGGGAGGGAGCCCGAAGAAATTGGGGGCCTGTGCTAGCAGAGCATGTCACCAGGAAAAGGGGCCAAGGCCAGCAGCTTCAAAGCCTCAGCACCAAGCGACGTTGAATTATGGACGTCATTCAGTGTTAATCATGGTGATTATCATCAGCGATGAAAAAGGACAAACACATCCCAGTAACAAGTCCAGCTCGTTAGCTTCCTGGGACTTGTCGACCCCCCTCGCGGTGCCAGAGCTGACACTTAGCTGCTGACAGTGTCATCCGCTCAACTCAGCAAACGTGCCCTACCAGCTGCCTGTCCTCCAGGCACCAGGCTCCATCCTGGGCCTGCAGGAAGAACCTGACAGTCTGTGCTTTGCCCCTACGTATGTCTGGGGGCAGCTGCTGGGTTTGATCAAAGCATCCTCATCTTCTCTCTGCCATCTCATGCTCCGTGAAATTCAAGCAGCCTCCTGGTCTTGAAGCTCCTCAGTTCCCTGTGAGCTGGGTCTTCCTTGGGGCCAAATATACAAGGTGCAAGACAATAGCACAGGGCGTCCAAAGCTGAGGCTGAGGCCCCAAGCTTTTTCAGTCACTTTCCCCATTACTAAAAAATATGGGATATGCACCCCTACTGTTTCTTTATTTACATATATATATATGATATTAACATACTCTGCTAGTATAATCTTTGTAAACATACACACAGTTTACACATTTTTTTAAATGAGCTCAAGATGAAATCATTTAATCATTTACGTTTAATCATTTAAACGTAAGTTTCTTTACGTGAATTTTTTTTGGAATTTAAACTGTAATATTAAGGCATATTAGTGAGAGCAATAAGATATTCAACACTGTCTTGTTTTTTGAGAACTTTCATTCTTTGTGCTACAGCAAGACTTAGCCCATGTTAGTTTGCTTCAATACTTGATGCTCGTGGCCTTCAAAGATGAAAAGCATTCTGCACAAAGATGTGTAGGGTATGTGGGAGGAAGGGCTTGTTACCATCACTTCCTAAATCATCAGCATCATTTTTCAATTTCATTTAACAGGACTGCAAAATTTTATGTTGAAGTTCAGCTGCTACAGCTCCATCAATTGTCAATCAATTTTCTTGCAAACTCACTGAAAGGTGTTGCATTTTTAATGTTTTTAACACATTGGCTAACACATCTGAAGCCCCTTGGTTTGGAAGACTTTTAAAGAGGTTAAGAAATTTTTATTTCCAGGATTTTAAGGACTGCACGTTTGAGAGATTTTATAAGCGACGGACAACATTTCATAACATTGGAAATATTTCCAAACATCCATTTCTAAAGTGCCCCGTCATAGTCTAAATCCCTTTGGAAAGGAGAGCTTTTTCTCACTTATTATCAAAGTGGCTGTTGATCTTGAATGGACAAGCTGCGTGTGTTGCTGCTTTTTGAAAATGTAAGGTGAGTGGCAGACATGAGAACAGCCTGCCTTCAATTCCCATTCAGAACTTGCGTCTTTTGGTAAAAGAAAAATGCGCAATCCACCTTTGAGTTCAACAGCTCTTGAAAGCATATTGTTTATAAGATACTCCTCCAACTTCAACAAGCACACAAGATCCCTGCGGCATGATATCCAACTCATTTCAAAAGTCTCCTATTGAAAGGTGTTGTCTTCATAAAATTAGCCACTCCAGAGACATCCCTTTGCATACAAATGTTGACAGGTCCCAGTGGCAAGACCTCGGTTACTGTGTGGCAATGCAGGTAGACGGTGCCAATGTCAGTCTGGTTCCTAAGTAAAAGTAAAGGCAAAGGTTTCCTTATTTTTCAGATAAAATAGAGGCATAAATAGAGTTCTATTAGTTTCTTGGTGTGTTCTGATTTTTTGTTTGTTTGTTTCTTGTTTTTTGTTTTTGAGACAGCATCTCGCTCTGTCGCCCAGGCTGAAGTGCAATGGTGCAATCTCGGCTCACTGCAACCTCTGCCTCCCAGGCTCAAGTGATTCTCCTGCCTCAGCCCCCTGAGTAGCTGGGATTACAGGCATGCACCACCGCACTCTGCTTTAAGGAATTAGGACAAAAGGAGGGGTGAAGGGGAAAAATCTTTACACAGCACATAGGACTAGGGGCCAGAGGCCAGAGCCCCTGCCAGGCTACTCCCCTTTGTGCATCTTTAGGGTACACAGTGGACCCTGTGGCTTCAGTCCTTAACTTCAGGGGCTCCCCATGCAGGGTGAATTTCAAGTGGCTGTCCTGCGCCCACTGCCTCCCTGGCCTCCTCGCTGTGCTTGGGAAGCAGCAGGCCCATTCCTGCTGGCACACGCGTCCACTCAGGGTACTTGGTCCCAGAAATCCTTGGCTCTTCCTGAATGTCACCTTCTCAGAAGGCAGCCCTTGTGCACCGTCTAGAACCGTCCCCTCCTCCTCGTTTCTCCTGAGCCCTTTGGCATTGCTTTATTCTCTTCACAGCATTTGTCATTTTAGAAATTGCCTTATTTGTATGTTTCCTTGTTCTCAGTCAGTTCCCCCCAGAAGCTCGAGCATCAGCTCAGAGAAGCGGGTTGGGTCCCGTGCGCCTTTGCGGCCCCAGGACGGGACTGTGTTCCCCACCCTCGGAGGTGAGGTGCAGCGAGGGTGTGGTCCCTTCTCCCACGGGATCACCTTGATGACTGGCTTCCCCTGTCACAGAGATGGACTGCAGTGAAGAGAGGTACTCCCTGAGAACAGCTTGCCTGTTTACAGCCAAGTGCATTTTTTAACATAGAAAACAGGGAGTTGTTTACAGCCATGTCTTAGAGAGTGATGACGTGTTCTTCCAGCTCTCGCCCCTGCCTTGCTTGGCATGGGATTGCCTGCCGTTTCAGCTACGTGTGTGTTATGCAGAATGTCAGGTCAGCGCAGCAGGTGGGACCATGCCTCGTTAAAGGAGAGAGACAGGGGGAAGGAGGAAGAGAGGGGAAGGAGGGAGGGAGAGAGGCAGGGAGGCAAGGAGGGAGGAAGGAAGGAAGGAGAGAAGGGAGGAAGGGAGGGAGAGAGAGGAGATGGCTGAGTATTTACTGAGGAATCAGAGTGAAAAATCATAAGGAAGTCACCAGGGCAGGGCCTTTTAGGTCAACCCCCATGAGCAGGAGGAAGGGCGGCTCCTCTGACTGCATCTGTGGGGCTGCCTCATTCATCTGAAAGATGCCGTGTGGCATGCTGTCCCCAGGGATGACTTGAGTGAAGGAGCCACTGAGCAAGGCCTCTGTGTCTGTTAGCCCAGCTCCTCTTTACACCGCCCATTCTGCAGGGCAGAAAAGTCGCCATGTCCCGACTCCTGGGCCCTCCTGCAAGAGCACTCCAGATGCCTGAGAGCCCCATTGTCTCACCTCAGTGAAGGGGACAGAGAGATATCTTCAGAATATGAGAGGGTCTCTGCTATGAGGACACTTGGTGAAGATCGGGGGACTGGCGGTGGGAGGACTGGGGCTCCACGTGGCCCTCTGGGCTTCATTGCCATAACCGGCATCCCTAGAACCTGGCCGCAGCCTGTTCAGTCCTCAGATGAGACTCTCCTCCTACTTCACCCATCCTGGCACTCTCTGGGCTCAGTTCCACAGAAATATACGAGCCGTGTGTGTAATTTTAATGTTCATTAACCCTATTCAAAAAGTAAGGAGAAACAGCCAAAGTTGATTTTAGCAGTATATTTTATTTAACCCAGTATATCCAAAATATTATCATGTCAACAAATAATTAATGTGAAAATTTTTGAGATCTTTTATGTCCTTTTTTCCATACTAAGCCTTTGAAATCCAGTGTATAATTTAGCTGCATCTATATGTATAGATGCATATAGCTCTGAATTCAACTGCTACATTTTTATTGGGAATTACTTGTTCTATATTTAGATTTCATAACATTGACAGTTGTAAAAGTAGGTTCACATACGCACATTGTTCCAAAGACACTTAAGTTTCGCAATAACAGTGCCAAGTATCAGTTTTTAAAATTAAATTTAAATTAATTGAAACTAGAATGGTAGTACCCCAGTCACACTTTGAAGGCTTGATGACCACACGTGGCTGGGAGCCGCTGGACTGGACACTTGCTCCTGTGTCCTTGTTTACCCATGGCTTAGTGCTGACCGGTGTGTTTACGCATCAGGATCAGAGAGGTTAACAGATGTTCTTGTTGTTTCTTCTTTTCCAAGTTGAACCCAGGAGAAGGTCTGTGTCTGGCTATGAGAGGTTTAGGGTCCAATATTTGTAGTGGGCGAAGGAAGGTGAATTATCTGTTGTTTCTGTTTCTGTTCAGTAATTTGACAACTGAATGATCTGAGTTCATAATTAAGAAATTAGTTTTTTGAAAGGGTCGGTTGATTCTTGAATTGATGAAGTTGGGACTGTCAGCTTTCTAGGAGATGTCACATATCAGTGAACAAACAAGACTTCAGCAACTGGTGCACAGCTGTGTGTGTGAGGACGAGGAAGAGCTCCAATGGCAGAGTGTTCTTAGAAAGCAGGATTAATTAGCGTGCGAGGGAGAGAAAGGTCAACACCACTAACATTCTCCTTCTGACCAAAGCCATGTGCTCAGCTGAATTGCTGTTCCAGCAAAGACAAAGCCATGTTTCCTGGCCCCGGGAGTCATCGGGAGGCGTGGGTTGGCTGTGTAAAGTCAAAAGTCAGTAGGGATCTACTAATGAGCAATTGCATCCTAAAGATAAGAGCACCCTTCCAGCAATCACTTTTAGAAGACCATTTTCAAAAATGAGCTGATTCCATTAACTAATAGCATATCTTTGGATTTAGGAAAAGAAAGCGATAGGAAACGACAAAGCAAGTCACAACAGCCATCGAGTGCCTGCTAGAGCCAAGCCCTGTGGGACTGAGAAGGGGTTGGATTCACCCCTGTGTGCATCTTACTACAAAAGGTGACATTTGTGTTGGGTATTGAGGAATGAATAGGAGTTGGCTGGGAAAAGACCCAAAGAGCTGGTGCTCAAAGGCCTGTTGATCTAAGACGTGGTGACAGAGGGACACATGTGGAAGGTGTGGACGTGGAGAGGTGGTGAGGGAGAATGGAATGTGGAAAACGAAGCTACTGTGGGCGGGGAGGTTCCTGGAATGCCATGGTAGGGGGTTGAGAGTCTGTCATAGACAGCAAAGGGCTGCCTGCTCAAGCGGCCACAGGGGCCAGACAGGTGCTGTAAGAACTGGAGCCAGCCTGGCTCATGGCACATGAACTCATGCGTGCCCCACCCAGCGGACCACAGCAACTCAGTTCTATTCAATTTTACCATCTGGAAATGGGGCCGGGTTATCGCAGTCTTCTGAGATTGCATGGGAAATGAGCAGGGTGGATATTCACGTGAAATGTCATGGTTGTTGAATCCCCATGAGGACAGATGTGGTCTTCTGGCCACCCCTCTGCCATGTTTATTAGAATTCGGCAAGGAGAGGTTTAGGCACAGTCCTGTCAGAGTTGAGTTCCTGTTTTAGAGAGATCACAGCTGCTGTGACAAGAACGCTCATGTGGAGGGTGTGAGCTGGAGGTGGGTCCACATAAGGGAGTGTGAGGTTTGTCCAGAGCAGGGAGGGGAGAGAGGATGAAACTGATGGAAATAAGGAGAGGGTTCCTTAAAGACATGGCACATCTCTCAGCACCAGTTCCCTGGTGGGGAGACAGGTGAAGGCAGGTGGGTAGACAGGTAAAGCCAGGTGGGCAGACAGGTGAAGTCAGGTGATACAGGTATAGTCAGGTGGGTGTACAGATGGAGTCATATAGCATACAGGCGAAGTCAGCTAGTGCCATGGTTTGGAGAAGTCATATAGCATACAGGCGAAGTCAGCTAGTGCCATGGTTTGGAGAAGTTATGTAGCATACAGGTGAAGTCAGCTAGTGCCATGGTTTGGAGAAGTTATATAGCATACAGGCGAAGTCAGCTAGTGGATGGTTTGGAGAAGTTATATAGCATACAGGCGAAGTCAGCTAGTGCCATGGTTTGGAGAAGTCATATAGCATACAGGCGAAGTCAGCTAGTGCCATGGTTTGGAGAAGTCATATAGCATACAGGTGAGGTCAGCTAGTGCCATGGTTTGGAGAAGTTATATAGCATACAGGCGAAGTCAGCTAGTGCCATGGTTTGGAGAAGTCATATAGCATACAGGTGAAGTCAGCTAGTGCCATGGTTTGGGGAAGTTATATAGCATACAGGCGAAGTCAGCTAGTGCCATTGTTTGGAGAAGTTATATAGCATATAGGCGAAGTCAGCTAGTGCCATGGTTTGGAGGTCATATAGCATACAGGCGAAGTCAGCTAGTGCCATGGTTTGGAGAAGTCATATAGCATACTGGCGAAGTCAGCTAGTGCCATGGTTTGGAGATTATTTGTCCCTGCCAAAACTCGTGTTGAAATTTGGTGACCAAAGTGGCCATGTTGGGAGGGAGGCCTAGTGGGAGATGTTAGGCTCATGAGGATGGATCCCTCATGAATAGATTAATGTCCTCTCAGGATTGAGTTCTTGCTCTCTCAGAACCAGATTGGTTACCACGAGAGCAGGTTGTACCTTTCATGTTTGGTCTCTTTGCGAACGATCATTTCTACTTCTATTTCCACCATGAGTTGAAGTAGCCTGAGACCCTTACCAGATGGGCTGCCTGATCTTGGATTTTCCAGTCACCATAATCATGAGCCAAATAAATCACTTTCCTTAATAAATTACCCGGTGTCAGATATTCTGTTTATGGCAACACAAAATGGACTAAGACAGGTGGGCAGACAGGTGAAGTCAGGTGGGCAAATGAAGGGACTCTTGACCTAAAGTCCTTTGAAAGTTTTTCTGGTCACCTGCCAGCAGCTCTTGTCTGTCCCTGTGAATTACAACCAAATTATCCATCACAATTACTTCCAGTTAATTTGTCCTGCTAAGCCTGAGCCAGTTGATGAGTTTCCTTAATTTTGATCATTTGCTCAAGGGAACGTTTACTTCTTTTACATGTAAAGTGTGTCTAATGGCAAACAAAGCCGAGAATGAGTGTTGAGTGCCTGCGCAGCTGGGGCAGGCCGCCTGGGCTGCAGTTCCAGTTTCATGACAGGCTTGTTCCCACCCCGACTTGACGGCTTTGACAGGTCACATGACCTCTCTGGGACTCAGTTTCCCCATCTGTAAAATAAAACACACGGAGGATTTGATCTTGTGGTTTCTCCCAGTTTTGGAATTCTACTCAATTTCATTTCTGCAAATGTTAGTGATTGAAACCTTTCTGTTTGCTGGATAGAAGCCCACCTTATCCCTAAGTTTACTACTTCTCACTACTTCCGAGGTCTGGCTGTGGGTGGATGTCAGGGAGCTTCCACTTGTCTTCCCATGATGCCCCCTGCACACAAGTCTGTGCATCTCACAGACTGGGATGTGTGAATGGGCAGATGGCTATAATTTCATTTCAGTATTTATGGAGGCTGGTAATGCCCACATGTCCTCTCTCTAGCTACCCCCAACACAAACCCATCAATCCCCAGACTCACACTTGGGGCTGCCTTGGTTCCTAGGCTATATCACATACTTTTGTGTTTCTTCAATGAGAAAGTCTCTTAATCTGTCGTTATTTTTCCCATCCATAAATAATGATGCATGGATCATTTTAATATATATTTGTATTATTATGATTATTTTAATTCTATTTCATAATAACCATATACTGAGTAGCTGAGTACCTACAAAATCCCATGCGCTGGGCTAGGCCACACCCACCCGTGTGTGTGTGTGCACGCACCTGTGTGCAATATCATCATAGTCTCACAGTATTAGGAGGTAGGTGTTATTAAATCCATGTATAGCTGAGCAAACTGAGGCTCAGAGAACTGATTCTCCCCCAAGATTCCATGGCCATCAAGTGGAGGAGCCAGGACTGGAACCCTCCCCTTGGTCCTCCGACCTCCTTTGGCTGCTCTCCTGGATTCTACTCATCTTGTAGGGCCTGGTCCAAGTATCCCTGAAGCCTCAGGGCCAGTAAGACATGGAATCAAGCCACTTCTGCTATCTTCTTTATCACTGACACTGAATGTACTTTCAGTGGGTGCTTGTTCTGCTCTGGGCCTTGTGTGAAGCATTCAGTGTGCAGAGGTGGATGAGATGTGTCCTGTGTTAAGGAGTCTGCCTTCTGTCAGAGATAAAAAACCTATGCACATCTGGGGCTCCTAGCACGTCAAGACACACAATGCCAGGAAATTATACACGTAGAAAGAAGTCTTCTACCTAGAGGGATCCAGGAAGGCTTCCTGGAAGCAGAGGCAACTGTGCTCACAGTTAAGAGCTGGCATGATGTGTTCATGCAGAGTGGAGTGAGTCCAGGCAGAGGGAAGGATGTGAGCATAGGCAAGGAAGTGGGGACATGCTTGGAGTCTGCAAGTAGATGTGTTTGTTTATGAGGGTATATAAATTGTAAATGGGTATTTGGCTAAAGCAATCACTGTACAGGCTATGTAGGCAAAACCCAGGCTTACTGCAAAACCTTTCCAATTCATATAGTAACTTGTCATTTTCTACACAAATAGATAATGCAATACTTTTATTAACTGATAGAAATTGCTTTGCACAAATGGGTGTGGTGGCTCATGCCTGTAATCCCAGCACTTTGGGAGACCAAGGGGGACAGTTAACTTGAGGCCAGGAGTTTGAGACCAGCCTGGCCAATGTGGTGAAACCCCATCTCTACTAAAAAGATGCAGAAAACAAAAATAGCTAAGCATGGTGGTGCACGTTTGTAATCCCAGCTACTCAGGAGGCTGAGCCATGAGAATCGCTTGAACCTGGGAGGCGGCGGTTGCAAAGAGCAGAGATCATGCCACCACACTCCAGCCTATGTGACACAGCAAGACTCAGAAAAAAAAAAAGGAAAAAGAAATTGTTTTGCATAGTGATCTACTTTTATACAAAGTATTTATTGGCCTTTTAAAATTCCTCTCACAGAAAGTTTCAGGGATATATTAATGGTAACAATATTCTTACAGTAACAACACTCCAAAAACAGTGTTTCACATCTACCTGTTTGGGAGCTACTATGGGCAGCAGCAAGCATCCCCTAAGAACAATGGAGCTGTCCTTGGGGGAGATGTGGGAAGAGTTTTGCAGGAGCAATGTGTGGCAAGAATATGAATCCTGAACCCTTGAGTAGGGAGAATTTCTTCCATCGTGTAAAAGTTAGACTAGTCAGAATGTGCATCTCAGTTTTAGGGGGTGAAAATCAATGGAGGAGTAAAAGTCTGACGAAAGTTTACTGGGAGGCCTCCCCCAAATTATAATAATAGATATGCCCTGGGATTATAATAATAGATATGCCCTGGGGTGTTTATTCTTTGTTTTATATACATTTTCTAAAATCCTTACAACAATCTTATAAGGAAGACATGATGTCATCATTTTACAGATGAGGAAACTGAGGCTCATAGAAGAAAGGTGGTTTGCCCAAGATTATGAAGCTAGAAAAGGTGCACCTGAGAAATGAAAAGTGATATGTCTAATTCAAAAACCTGCATATGTCCTTAATTTTTTTGAAAAAAAAAAAGCTACAATAAGTTTTTTAATGAAAAAGGAAAAAGGGTATTAAAACTATGTACAGAAAAATATAAATTATAATATAAATTCTAATTAATACATGAAAAGAGGCTCAGCCTCACTCTTAATGAAAAACAACTATGTGTCATTTTTACTTTTTACATTGGCAAAAAAATACTAAGATAAATAATAATAATATCCAGTTTGGTGAGGATATAAGGAAATGAGCATGCTTCTATTCATCTTATTGCATATATTGCTGTTATTTTTAAAATAAAAAGTCCATGGCCTTTTGATCACAGACCACAGTAGACCCCATCCCAGACAAAAATCAAGGCGTATGTTACGCATGTGGCTGCTATGACATCTGGGGTGGAGGAGGAGCCCCCGTTGTGAGTATGGTGGCAGGGGCGGGGGTACCTAACTGTAGCTAGGCCTGGTCATTTGAGGCCCAGCAAACTCCACCCAGGACAGGAGCCCTCACGCAGATTGGGTCTTGGCTGCTGTGGGTGCTGTCCGTGGTGCTGACCTAGCTACGCCTCTCAGGTTGCTTAGGGTCCCCCACAGCTCTAGCCCAGCCCTCTGTACACAGTGTGGACTCTTGCTGCCAGAAACCCGTCCAGAGTCTGGATGCTAGGCCCTAGCTCTGCCCCAGTGCTTGCTCATTAGAGACAACTAAAATATCAAAAAGCAGGTTACTCACCTGTAAATTTACCACCTAGAAATGGTGTTTTTAAATTTCTTAATATATCTCCTTCTTGTCTTTTTCTATATATCTTTATTTCATAGTCGAGACAATTTTATACTCTGAATTTTTATCATATAAGTATCTACCCACATTATCAGGAATGCTTTGTAAGCATCATTTTAATGGCTTCAAAATAGTCTATGATTTAGATAACGATGATTTGGCCATTTTTGTGGTCACCTACCACTTATTGGAGACATATTATATTCTGAGAATATTATGCCATTTATAGGCATTAATTCCAATATGCAAAAGAACTTTGAAATGAAGGCGTTATTATTCCCAATTTTACAGATGCTGAAACTGAAGCTCAGAGAGGTTAAGTTGCCCGAGGCCATACAGGACAATAGGGGCAAAGATGGTTTTGAATCAATGGATGTCTGACGACAAAGGCCATGATCTCACCACTGCACTGCACTGTCTCCTGAAGCCCTTTGTGTGAAATGATTAAATACATCATGATTATGTCACACTTCACTTACCCTTCTCCAGGTAGTTGAACATCTGGATGATTTTACATCGTCAAATACAAGGTTGTTAACAATTAAAGGATAAAACAGGGTGCGGCCGGAAAGGCGGCCGCCCCCTCGCCCATCATGCAATGCACATTCGTGGGGAACCTGGCGCTAAGCCATTCGTAGATGACCTGCTTCTGGCTCGGGGTTTCATATGTAGCAGAGCAGCTCCCTCGCTGCAATCTATTGAAAGTCAGCCCTCGACACAAGGGTTTGTAAAAAAATAAATAAATAAAACAAAAAACAAAAAAAAGCAATTAAAGGATATAAAAAATGAAGACCCCTGAGACATAATCAGTGTCTTGCAACCTCTTTCTCTATGGCCACACCACATCCAGCAAGAGCGTCTGCCCCTATTTGAATGCCTCCTTCCACCTGGGTCAGCCAGTTCCCTTAGCAGCCGTAGCAGCAATTTTAACCTGCAAGCAGCCTGATTGGCCCAGCTGGTCATGCCCACCCTGTCACTCATCACTGCCCTCTCTACTGATTGGCTTCTCTTGGGTCAGATCCCCACCCACCGTGGGCTTATTCCTTGAACACAGGGCTGTGGCTTCCTAGGACTTGGCACATAGTAGCTGTTCAATTCACATTTGTTGAAATGAAGAAAATTGGGTCAGCATTCCTTAGGACTTTGGCAAACGGGCTGAAACCCAAGTCTAGAAAATTGCCCAGAAAAGGCCCTGCCCAGGTCAGCCTGGGACAGCAGCCACCTCTGTGGGAGGAAGTGAGGGTTGCAAAAAGTTCTAGTACTTTGTCTTTCTGACCCCATTTCAGGTGCCTTCTAGTGCCTGAAAGAATTCCCAAGCATCCAGTGTTCCTTTTCTCATGAGCTTAAAGGCACCATTGGAAGGCATGCCCACTTTCGAGAGAGGGAAGATGTCACTGATGGTTTGCTCCAGAAAAGACCTTAAGGATCATGTATTCCAACCCCCCTACACTCCTGCTAGAAAAAAACCCTGGAGCTAAAACAGGAACTCAACTTACCGAAGTCATACCACCTCGTAATAATAAAGTAGGCCTCCCACCCAGGTTTATCCTCAGATATGGTTTGGCTGTGTCCCCACCCAAATCTCATCTTTAATTGTAGCTCCCATAATTCCCTCAAGTTGTGGGAGGGGCCCAGTGGGAGATAACTGAATCATGGGGGCAGTTTCCCCCATACTGTTCTCATGGTAGTGAATAAGTCTCACAAGATCTGATGGTTTTATGAGTGGAAACCCCTCTCACTTGGCTCTCATTCTTTCATCTGCTGCCACGTAAGATGTGCTTTTCACTTTCTGCCATGATTGTGAGGCTTCCCCAGCCACATGGAACTGTGAGTCCATTAAACCTCTTTTTCTTTATAAATTACCCAGTCTCTAGCATGTCTTCATCAGCAGCGTGAAAACAGACTAATACATATGAGCACTTTACACCCATGAAGCTCAAATGTGGTTCAGTTTTATTCCCAGCTTCAGCACAGCACAGAGAGCTTAGGTCTGGGGTCAGGAAGACCAGAGTCCTGCCTCTAATGTGCTACGTCTTATATGCAGCCTTTACCCCTTGTCTCAATTTCCTCATCTGTAAAACAGGATGAATAAGACCTGCTCCCAGAGGCTAGAACCTTTGAAGACTGAGATGATGCATGTGACTGTGTCTTGCGGACACTAACATAAGGTTTTATATGAGGACAGCATCTTCGTCTTCATTCACAGTCCACATGTTGGATCCTAATATAGAATCTGTTGCATAGCAGGTGTTCCATAAATGCTGGTTTGCTAAATCATTATTAGTAGTAGTAACAAATAATTGTCATGGATAAGAGGAAAGGAGTCCAAGAGCATGGGAATCCCAGTGGCCTCTGAGTTGGAGCAGGGAGGAAATGTGGATGAAACAGAGAGTTGGGAACCCCAGAGGCCCAGTTTCTTGACCCTACAGTTGGGTCTGTGCCCAGTACTGGCTGTGCTTTGGAAACTGAAAGAGTACATTTAAGAAAAAGTTGCTTCCATGATGGGCTGAAGGCACAGATACTCAGTAGACATTTAGGTCTAGAAAGGAACTTAGACACTCTCTAGTGAGACCCCTCCACCTCACAGGGAAGAAACCTGAGGTCTGGTGAATGCAAGGAACTTACCCAAGGTCGCACCATGACAGAAATAGGGACAAAGGTTTTTCTGAGTGACGAGTCTCTCTACTACTCTCACTCTAAGAAACCAGGCTGCCTCCACAGTAGATAAACACATGCAGAGGAGGTCTTGCTCCTGCATCCCTTCCTAACGCAGAGCCTAAACCACAGCGGGGCTCAGCTGGGGGGAGGTTGCATCTAAGATTGAGCAGTTTTGCAGGCACAGTTCCAAGAGCATCATAATTCTGCAGCCCTCAACAGACTGTGTGTGAGATTTCCAAAGTGAAATAAATGCTCCCATTACCCAGTTGAACTGAGAATATCGATGTCATTAGCCTAATTGTGTGCGCTGTGTTTATAGACTCCCATGCTAGGCTCTGGGGGATGTCAAAATAAAGCAAGCACATTGCAAAACACAAAGGGGGTTGCAGCGGGTGATGTGAATCTCTTGTTGTGATTCCCGGCGTGACTGCATTTCTCAACATGCACGCCCTGAGAGGGAGAGAAAGAGCAGCCGTTCTGTCTGACATGTCAGAGTCTCAGAAATTGCTCTGTTGATGGACAGGAGGAAGAGGTGAAGGGAGAAAAGATCTGAGACAAGCATATAAAACTGAAGAATATAATTTCCTCTCTGGGACTTATTTTCTTTAGTGGGGAATGGGCAGGATGGTCGGGGAAGCCTCTTGCATCTCCCTGAAGCAGGTCCATCGGGGCCTGAGCTATCACAGGAAGAATGAGTTGGGCTAAAACCGTCAGCTCTAGTGCGGCCTGCATTCCTGCACCAGTATCTCAAAACCCGCCGGACTTCCAAGGGGTGGTTTGGGCTGCGGTGTAGGAGTGGAATGTGGATCACTGAAGTACACCAGAAAAGGGAACCCAGCCTGAGGCTGCCTCTGGGGCCCTCAGGAGGTGACCTGGTCCCCTGTGTCAGGCAAGTCCCTCCCACCACATTTCCGAAATCCACCTGTGGCCTCACCTTGCTGAAACTGCAGAACAAATCACAGGACTATCAGGGGACCAGGATATCTCTCGTCTACCACTTCAAGGTATTGTAGAAACAACTTATAGACTAGTCACTAACTTATCACCATTTCATCTTCTATCTTTTGTGTTCATGAACTAACTGTACCATTTTCATTGTTTTATGCGAATGGTTTCAATGCTCACAGCCTCTTCCATCCTTGAGTTAGTAATTCTGATTCACCTCTCAGCTGGCTAGGGTACATCTCCAAGGACTGTTTGGGAGGACGCATGTGGGGGAGCAGCCTTGCCCCTAGGATTTTCCTTTTATTGACTCCATCCCTGTTGAAGGACAGCTTGACTGAAGGTGAGATTTCTGAGTCATCTCTCTTCCTTGCAGACATCTGAAGGGGTTGCTCTATTTGCTTAATACTTAGCCTTATAGAGGGAGCCATGCCAATTTGGCAGTTCATTTATCTCGCCTGGTTTTCTTCCTCCTTCTAGTTAAATATTTTCACTGGGATGGGTCTGATGTTTGCCTCCTTTTCATGTTGACCTTGTCTTGGACATGCTGAGCTGCCTCACTCTAAAGGCATTGCTCTCTCTTTGGCAGCCACTCTGTTCCAATTGTTCTGGCTTCTCTGTTGGGAACGCCTATGATTTGGGGCTTGATATCTGTGCTCTCATCTTTAGGGCCATTTTTTCCCTCCCATTAATTTGACTGATTTGCTTCCTTCTGCCACCTTCTGGGAGAGCTTTGCAAGTCTGTCTGTCTGGTCCCTGATTCTGTTTCTACGTTTTCATTCTGCCTTTCACTGCCCCCAATGACGATGTTTTTTCTTCAACATTTATTTTAAGTTCCAAGGTACATGTGCAGGATGTACAGGTTTGTTACATAGGTAAATGTGTGCCATAGTGGTTTGCTGCACAGATGAACCCATCACCCAGGTATTAAGCCCAGCATCCATAAGCTATTTTTCCTGATGCTCTCCTTGCCCCATTCTCCCAACAGGCCTCTATATGTGTTATTTCCCCCACACTGTGTCCATGTGTTCTCATCACTCAGCTCCTCCTTGTAAGTGAGAACATGTGGTGTTTGGTTTTTCTGTTCCTGTGTTAGTTTGCTGAGGATAATGGCTTCCAGCTCCATCCGTGTCCCGGCAAAGGACATGAACTCATTCCTTTTTTATGGCAGCATAGTATTCCATGGTGTATATGTACCACATTTTCTTTACCCAGTCTATCATGGATGGGCATTTGGTTTGATTCCATGCCATGGACAATTTTAGTGCCACTTTTACTCAGATATGTTTCTTTCAGTCTTTTGTCCTTGAAACCTGTATCTTCTTATATACTCCTCGGAGATCAGCCAGAGTTTGCATTTTCTCGAGGTGTTGAAGACAAGTCCTTTTCAGAGACAGCATCTTTCACTGAGTCTTTGGGTTAGCATTCTTTTCTGCTTGGATGTTCTGTGTTGGACTGTAGAGCTCAGAGTACATGCAGGAGAGTGACAGAGAAGCAGACGTCAGCTAAAAATTAAGAATGACCTCTTAGCTACAGATGATCGGAGATGGGCGGGGCTGCCCTGGGAGGTAGGGAGCTCCCTGTCATGAGAGGTGCGCAAGCAGAAGCTGGACAACCACCAGGAAGAACATAATTGCAGTGAGTCCTGCCTTGGATGCCCTTCAGTTGTCTGATGTGGAGTTTCTAGATCTTGGTGCCAGTCTGGATTAGAAGAGGAAGAGAGTTGAGGGGTTTTAGGTAATATTTGGCCACTCAGATCTTGCGCTAAGCCACAGCCTGGCTGCCACTCTGCTCTGCAGCTCTGTGATGTTGGCTGAACCTGGGTCCCATCTTCTGACAATCGGGGACCGTAGTGCCTACGTGGCCATGTTGGCGTTTTCATTGACCCTCACACACCTGCCACCCCTGTCCTGGGAATACAGTGAGACAGGCCAGAGAAGAGCCAGGCTCCTAGGAGTTTGCATTCTGCCAGGAGACTGTCATCAGGGTTGGAGATGAGACTGACGAATGTGCTTGGTTCTGGGCAGCGCCTTGATTAGGCCCAAGGCAGGCCCAGGGTCTGGTAGCAGAAAGGCCCATGGGGTTTCCATAGAGACCAGGCCACCTGGAGTCGCCTCTCTAGTCCCCAACTCTGGCACCCACAGCAGCGTCTTCGCCTCCCAGGGGAGGTAGGGGGCACAGCTGCAGGCTGGGCCCAGGCGTGTCTGCCCACCTCCCGTCACTTTAAATATGTAAACTGGCCCGTCAGGGACTGTTTGCCCCCTCTTTCCAGCTGCAGGGCCTGTCAGTATGACAGTCACCTCCACAGTCCTGGCCATGCCTCTGGAGCACCCCGTTAGGCCGGCCCATCCAGGGAATTTGTTTTTAGAGTCCATTTGTCATCTCTGTAGCAACAACAAAAAGATGGATTGCTTTCCTGTGACAACGGAATGCATTTTTTCAGGCCTTTAAAACCAATTTCTCTAACTGTAAAAGTGGTCCCAAAGGATTAATCAGAACACCCAGGGGCAGAGTTTTTTGTCTGTTTGACAGCCTACAGTGTCCTTGGTCCTCCAGTCGCTGGGTCCCTGGAGAGAGGAGATCAGCGGTCATTAAAGTGAGAAACGCCGCCCATCTGGGTCCCTCTGAATAAGCAAATGGCTTGTTAACCAGAACATCTTCTGCGGTCGGCAAATCCTTTCTGTTCTCTGGGCCGCCAAACCGCATTGAGAGCCCATTTCTCAAGTGTCACTTTGGAGCCGGCTTCGGGCTGTGAAATGTCTCCCACAAAGCTGCCCTTGGTTTTCTTGAGGCTGATGGAACTTTCATGCGGTTGTTGGTTTTGTTTCGGATGAGGAGGAATGGCTGTATTTTCACCTGGCCTCTGGTAGGTGTCCTCTTGTAATTGGAAATCCCTACATTTCTCCTTGGGGGCTGGGTTTCTGCCAAGGCCACGTTGGAGGAGGATCTGGGGAACTGGCCTTTGGAGCATTGAAGGTCAGGGAAGCCACAGCAGGAGACCCAGTTTTGAATCTGCTGAATGGCACTTGGAGGATCAAGTTCCCTCTGAGGTTGAAGAGCCCCCCTCTGACCTTGGTTCAGGGGAATCACGTGGGCTGGCCTTACCAGCAGATGTGGCAACTGGGATCTAAGAATCCTTGTAAAGGCGTTTTGTATCCTTCCTGGAAAACTGGAGTTGGACATACCTTCAAGGAAAAACTAGCTGGGCTTCCTGTCCTGGAAGAGGAAGGGCGCTGGGAGAGAACACTGACATGCATTCATTCATTCATGCATTCACAATACAGTGCAGTGAATGCTCACATCATGGTATGAGCAAGACTTTTTTTGGTATATTTTGCTTTCTTGCTTTTGTTTGGTTTGGTTATTTTTCTAAGCACAGAGCAGGTGGCTCCTATCGGAACCGCTTCACAGAGGACGTGGACATCAAGTTGGTTTTATAGGGATTTGGGGCAATTCAGAGAAAAATGGATATGGGCTGCGGGCCCAGGGAACAGCATGTGCAGAGACACAGCAGACTGAGAGAGCCCAGCCTACTGGGGACACAGTGAGCTGCCGGGTGACCCTGGTGCACAGGAGGTGTGGGGCGAAGGGGTTCAGCAGGCTCGGAGTTGGTTCTGAGTGCTCTCAAATGCAGTGCCAAGAGTTTGGCGTTTCCTGGTAGAAGCCTGCAAAGTCTATCTGGGAGGCCAGTTAGGAGATCCTTGTGGCAACCCAGAGGTGAAATATGACATCAACAGTGAGAATGGAAGGAGGGGTCAGGTTTGGGAGGGACTTCGGGCATAGAACATATGGTATTTGGTGGCTGGTTGTTAGCGATGATACCAACAGCAGCAGTAGTGAGAATAACGACCTTTATAGGCATGCCCTCTTGGCTGAGACCCGTTTTTTTTGTTTGTTTGTTTGTTTTGTTTTGAGACAGAGTCTCGCTCTGTGGCCCAGGTTGGTGTGCAGTGGCACGATCTCGGCTCATTGCAACCTCTACCTCCCGGGTTCAAGCGATTCTTCTGCCTCAGCCTCCCAAGTAGCTGGGACTATAGGCGCCTGCCACCATGCCCGGCTAACTTTTGTATTTTTAGTAAAGAAGGGGTTTCACCATATTGGCCAGGCTTGTCTCGAACTCCTGACCTCATGATCTGCCCACCTCAGCCTCCCAAAGTGCTGGGATTACAGGCGTGAGCCACCGCACTTGGCCAGCTGAGTCCCGTTCTAAGTGCCCTGTGTGTAGTAATACCATGAGGACATGGATGGTAGGAACTATTTTTATCCCCATTCTACAGAGAGGAACCTGAGGCTCAGAGAGTTTAAGTAATGTGTCTGAGGTCACACAGCAGGGGAAATGGCAGAGCCAAATTTGAACCCAGACACCTGGATCTGTCATATCTAGAGCAGCGCAAATATGGAGACTCACCAGGTCTGTGTGTGAACCAAGAGCTTTCCATGTGACTGCCTGGGGCACGGAATGGCGGGGCTATTGGAGCAGCAAGGAGACATGAGAGAGAAAGGGCTGGAGGATGCATTTATAAAAGACAGCCGAGAAGGGGAATGGCTATTTATTGCTGTTGCAAAGGTCTGTCTCTTAAAACCCGAGTCGAATAAGAGAAGGAAGCTAGTGCATTCTGGCCGCACAGACACCCTGCCAGGGTACTGCCTTGTTTATGAAGAAGAAACAGTAAACTGAAAACATGACCTCCAGTGATTTGTCCCAACATTAAATAATGACTAGTTTGAATTTAAATATGTGGCGGAAAATTATGCTCCGATCCCTTCCTCTGGAAAGGGTTCAGGGTGTTTGATTACCGAATGAGTCATGCATATTCATAGCTGTGCTTTCATCTTGCCAATCGGGTCCCCTTTGTTATTTGCTAACTTTAAGAAGGAAAGGGCTTGTGAAGACTGTGAAGGTGGCCTGGCTTCTCAGGTCCTCTCCCAGGGAGAGAAATGCCTCCAGGGCAAGAATGAGCTCTGGCTGGAGAGTCTAGAGAGTGGACTTCTCCCCTCGGGAGCCGGGCTGGGACGTTGGGTGTCAGGCAGCATTCTCATGTGCTTTGTCAAATTTGAGCCTCAAAGGTTCTGTGGGTGAGGATGGAGGTAGACGTCTCCATTTTTGAGATGTGGAAACTGAGGCCCAGAGACAAAGGGGCAAGGTCACAACGGCTAATAGGGAATGGGGCTGGGCCCACCCATGGTCCCATCCCTGCCCTGGGAGACTTCATTCCTAAGATTCATGAAGTTCAGGTGTGAGCCACTGCGCCGGCTACTGCTGACACCTTGATTTTAGCCCAGTAAGACTGATGTGAGACTTCTGGCCTCCAGAATTGTAAGAGGACAAATGTGTCTTGTGTTAGACCACTGAGGTTGTGGTTATTTGTTACAGAAACCATAGATAGCTACACATCACCATATCTATATAGGGGTGAGCTTTCTTGTCCTTAAAATGTAGAAAATATCTTTGTAGGCTTGCTGGCAGCTTCCAGTCAGGAAAGGGATTTGCAGGTATGGTGGCCACATGGCTGCATGGCTGTCATCTCCCCACAGCACACTTGGCGGGTCTCAATGGAGGAAACTGACGCTCATAGCGCCCAGCAGATGGGATGAAGTGGGCACCGGGCCAGCGCGTGCATCCTTAGCTCACTCTTCCTGCTTCTTTCTGTGTCCTTCTTCCACTTCCTCTTCCTCCTCCCACCTTCTCCTTCTTCTCTTGTGCTCAGCCTCCTCGCGCTCTCCCCTCCACCTGCTGCTGCCTCCTCTCTCCTTCCTAACAAGGTGTCTCACCTCTCCCATCAGTTATGGTCCCGTTTTACAGCCAGAACCTACAAGCTGTCCTGCCAGAGTCCCAGGGCTGGGAGGGGCTGGATTAGGGCCAGAGCCAGTGTTGCCTCCCTCCAAGCCTGGTGCTACCCCCTGCGAGCTCCATCAGGCCATCCAGGGTGGACCAAGGGGGCACTGGGAAGGGTTTTGGGGAGACAGGTGGTGCTGGCAGGCTGGTGGGGCCTGATCCACCGAATGGGAAGTGTGGACTTTTGGCTGTGGCAGAGCCAACGCTCATGCTCTCCCGGGTGGTCACGGGGTCAGCCACTCAGCACACTCAACCCTGGGCAATCTCTCTGGCTCTTGGCAGTAGCTCTTTTGAATTCCGGCTCACGAGGATTAACGATGACGAGGGGGGTGTTAGCTCTGAAGAAAACCCCAATCCTTCCCCATCGCCCCCGTAGAGCCCGGGAGAGCTTTCTAAAGCGCCCCACGGCAGTGATGAATCCCGGCAGAGGCCTCTGACCCCGGCGGGCCTGTCGTCAGGGGTGCCCGCCGCACGGATGGATGGGTTTCCTTGAGTCCCGCTGCCTGCGCTCTGCGGTGTTTGTGCTTATCTGGGATTACGCTTTTCTGTGCTTGTGTGTCAGCCTCCATGGGATATTGGGGACCTCCTCAAAGGATTATATGGGGCCATTTCAGCCGACCAACAGAAAATCCCAGCAGGTTGCAGATGAGAAAAAAAAAATCCCCCTTTAAATTGGCAGAGCAGCTAGGAAAGCGCCGAGGCTTTCATTTGGGGGCTTTTAAGCACCACATGAGCCCTGAGCTTCTCCCCTTTATACTTGAAAAAGATACGCTTCGAGTTTGGCTCTCTCGACAAAGCCCCTTTCATTTTATTCAAGTCTCTGTTGTTTATGGCGGCCTTGCCTGGTCATTATTTTTGTGGGCTCCCCCAACTACCCACTTTCATCCACAGCTGCTGCTCTAATTATTATTATTTTTTTTAACAAATCCAGGCTGGATCTGGGCACGCTGGTATTTTGGAACCAAATAGGCCGGTTCTACAGTTGCCTTACTCGCCCTGGTGACTGCAGTAATGAGCTTAGGCTCTGAGCGTTGGTGTCCTCATTCAAGAAACGGGAGAAAGTCTCAGTGGACAGCATGACCAGTGCTCACCAGCACCCAGCTCCCTTCTTTCTGGCTATCTGAACAACCGTCTTCCCCAGCCCCCTTACAGCAAGGCATGGCCATGTGACTAGCTCTGGCCAGTGCCACGGGGGAGTCAGTGGTGACAGTCACTTCAGGCTAGGACCATGAAAAGTCCACATGCAAATCTGCGGTCTCTCCCCGTCTCAACAACTGAGATGGAGCTTCTGTTACATGGGGTCCCCGAATGACTGTGTGGAGCAGGGCTGTGCCAACCCACTATGGACAAATAGCATGAGTGAGACAGAAGCCATTGTGGTGATGGGTTGCTGGGACTTCAGGGTGGATTGGCAGCAAAACCTAGCCTATGCATTCTCAAATGTAATCCCTACCTCACAACATTGAGATTTGTTGAATGATTGAATGAATGAATGAATGAATGACATAAACCACCAACCAGAATGCCTGGCTCATAGTAGTTGTAAAGCAAATGCTAATAATTTCTCCACTTGAAGGTGCATGCTATGGAGGTGCTGCTTGGGTTAATCTACTGCTGTGTGTGTGACAACGTATCCCAAACCCTACTGGCTTGAAACACCAATTTATTGTTAAAACCTATATAATTTATGGGTTGATAGGGCTCAGCCAGAAGGCTTTTGCTTGGGGTCTCACATATGGTGGCAGTCAGGAGGTTGAGGTTGCAGTGAGCCATGATCGCACCCCTGCACTCCAGCCTGGACAACAGAGCAAGGCCCTGTTTCAAAAAACAAACAAACAAAACCAACAGGGTCAGGTAGAAGTGCAAGGCTTCTTATGGCCAGTGGAGCCTCGGGAGTCCCAGGGCATCACTTTCTGCTGCAATCTTTTGGCCAAAGAAGTAGCTAAGATCAGCCTAGAATCTGGAATGGAAATAGACTCTGCTGTTTAACAGGGGAGCAGCCAGGTCACCTGCAGCAGAGCAGGTGAGGCGGGAGGTACTGTTGCAGTCTTCATTGGAAAGCAGGCTGTGACAGGTGCCTGCAGTCAAAGGGCAGGACCGCCTCCTGGCAGAGGGACTGTCCATCTAGCAAGGGCCATGAGAGACCCGGATGTCCTGCTCCCCTTCCAAGGCCCTTCCTCCCCTGTCCCCACACTCTCATGTTCCAGGCAGTGGCTCTTCCGTCTTCGTGCCTGGCCGAGCCTCAGTGGCTGCTGTGTTCCAGGTGGTGCTGCTGCTGCTCAGAGCCCAGCCGAAACCTGGCCAACCTGGGGGCGGGGGTGGGGGCGGCCCCAGGCGGGTAATGGGAAGCCGGAGCAGATGTTGGCAGTTACAGGCAGGGGTGCCGCTTGCCAGCCAGCACAGGACCACTGCAGCTGAGCGGCTGTAACTTACTTTACAGAAATTGCCCAATTTCGAATGAATAATATTGTCATTATGGTTAAACTCATCAACTCCGGCGATACCTCTGCCCCTCTCGGGAGCCCTGGCAGAAGAAGGCGCTACTCGGAGACTCATTAGTCATCAACCAAAGTGCTCTTGTTATGGGAAATGAAGACCAAATGGGCATTTATTGAAATCCATCCTGACACCCTCCACTGGGAGGCCATTTTTAGTTAGTTCATTTATTGAGCCTCTCTTGAGCACGTCTGTCTGCCAGGACCTGGGCTAGGTCTGGTGATACCAAAATGAAAGCACCCAATTCCTGCCCTCACAATGCCCCCAGGCTCTAGAGGAATAAACAACACAGTGAAGGGTGGACTAGGCTGTCAGGGCGAGAGCTGGTACTCTGCCCCCTGCTGCCTCGGGAAGTGCTCTGGCCTCGGTGTATTCCTGTCTGTAGGATGAGGGCCATCAGCTACCTCTGCGGCTGTGGCAGGTCCCGCGATCATAAAAGCTTGTCACCTGCCACGGTGTGTGCCACAGTGTCTGCAAGTGGCCTGGAGTGGGAAATAACGGGAATGCAACTTTTGGAAATTACAGAATGGATGGAGGTCTTTCCCTCTCCCTCAGCACACACACATAGCCAGCAGGCAGCTGCTGCCCGAGGAAGGGTAAGCTTCTTGCTTGGCTGGAAGCCCCGGGTGGGCCTGCTCCCCTCCTTGGCACTGTCCTGCCTGCTCCGGGGTGGGTGTGAGATCAGAGATTCATAGGATGGGACCCACAGCAAACAGACCTGCCCAGGGCGCATCCTGGCTCTAGGACTCTGGGCTCAGTGCCCTTCCTCCTTCTCTCCCTCCCTTCCTAATTTAGGAAGCCCCTAATTTACAGTGTCAAGAGGGGCTTCCTCTTCAACTCTGGCCACACACAGGTGTTTGGGGCAGAGTCTTAGTGTCTATGAGTGGGTGTCTTGGAGTTCAACATCTGGGTCTGGACCACGCTTCCACCGCTGTTCAATGCTCATCCACGATGGGGCGAGGGTCACAGTCTCGGTGTGCCTCAATTTCCTCATCTGTAAACCAGCATAATAGTAGCAGCAAATCCATTGATTGGCTCTGAACTTGAGGTGGTGCCTCAACTGCGTTTACTCACAACACTCTGATACCAAAATGTCTTTTGCAACACATCTCCACCTCTGCAATGCCAGCTGGGTGTCCCACAGCTCAGTTCAATTCTGACACCATCCACCTTGACTTACTATCAGATCCAGGCTCGGTCCCCCATGACTGTTCCCGCTGCAGATGCCAGTCACAAGTCCAGGCTGGCACTTCTGCTGGATTGGGTCAAAACTCAGGGGGTTTCACGGCCTCCTCCTCGTGTGTAGTAATTCGCCACACAGAACTCAGGAGAGCAGTTTCCTTGCTATTACCGGTTTATTATGGATACAACTCAGCAACAGAGGAAGAGAGGCACGAGGCAGGGCATGGGGTGAAAGCTGCCACATCCTCTCCAGCCGTGCCACCCTCGAAGCACATCTGTGTTCACCAACCCAGAAGCTCTCCAACCCCCTCATCTAGGGGGTTTGTGGGGGCTTCATTACGTAGGCACGGTGGATTAAGTCACTGGCCATTGGTGACTAACTCCATCTCCAACCCCTCTTCCCTCCCCAGAGGTCAGGGGTTAGGGCTGAAAGCCCCAAAACTCTAACCCTGCCTTGGTCCTTCTGGGTACCAATCCCCATCCCAAAGCTGTCTCCACCACTCCCCACCCCCGCCCCGCACCAGCCATCTCATTACCATACGAAAGACGTTCTTGTCACTCTTGTCACTCTGGAGATTCCAAGGGTCCTAGGAGCTGTGTGCCAGGAACCGGGACAGAGACCAGAGACCAAATATCTATTTCTTCTTTTGCCACAGGCCAGGGATGTCCTGTGCACAGGGCCTGGCACTTACTCAGTGTTCAGTTCAGATTTGCTGCCCTGGTTCTGTGATTTCATCAACCTGGATGGGTAGGGACAGTGGTTCTGACTCTAGTATTAATGCATTAAGAATGTTTCTCAAGCACTTTCTAGGCACCAGGCACCGTCACCTGAATATTCTGTGGTGGACAAGCCCGACGCGGACTCTGACCTCAGTGGGGCTCTTGGTCTGGGGTCTGCAGTCCCCTGGCCCCATGGGGAATGGGAACATGCCTGACAGCTGCTCTTTCCCTTTCCCCAGCCTGCATTCCTGCCACGGCAACCCGCGGTTTCTCATTGAGACTGCATCCTCACAAACCATGGTTCTAGCTGGCGTGAGGCAGCACTCATCCTCACAAATTTGACTCAGCATCCTGTTGTGTCTTTGGATCCAGTGTCTGCTGCTATCGGAAGACATAAGACAATGCCACACTGTGTGAGGCAGAAATAAGTATACGATAGAATAGATTTGTGAGCCTTGTATAGAGATATGCAATCTAGGATGTCCAAAAATAGGGAAGAGAGCTTTGAGGATTCCGGTGAGATTCACAATGGCCAGCTTGGCTGGCATGGTAGACGGTGTGGTTAGCGGCTCCCCTCTGCAAAGAGAGCTTCATTTTCTGGTTGAAGTGCCGACAGTGTGCTTTTGACTCATGCTGCTTTTTATAGGGACTCGCTAGACCTGCATGTCAGATTCTGTCTGCAAAGTGCCCTTCAGGTGCCAAGACTCCATTTTTTGACTCAGGGAAAATGCTGTTTAATTAGCAGGCTCAAAAAGATACCCAATTATGAGTTAAATTGGGCTAGAAGAAACTGTTCTTTCAAAATTTATCTCCTTTCGTGCTAAAACCCATTTCCATCCCCTTCAGACAAGCTAGTTAATTTCTTTTAACGTAATTTGCAAAGGACATTCCAGGAGAAATCTGCGTTCCTTTGGAAATCGGTCAAGAGCCAGCTTCCTTTAGCACCTCCTGGCAGGGCGAGGGTGGAAGTTTCTCCATTGGGCACCCAGGGCTCTCTGTTCTCTGAGCACCCACCAGGTACCCTTGAGGTGCAAGGGGCTTTCATGTTTCAGGAAATGGAGCCTAGGAGGGGCTTGGACTGCTCAGGCCACGCAGTGAGCAGGCAGAGGGACTTCAGTGGAGAGACCTAGAAAGCAGCCACATTCAGATCATGAAGGTCTCACAGGAAATCCTGGGGTTGGGGGTGAAAGAGTAAGGGGCTCAGCTCTTTGAATCTGGAAAAAGCTAAGCAGAAAACCACCAAGAGCCATGATGCGGTTGTGCAATCGTGAAAGTGCCACCTCTCTGTGCCTGGGGGCTGGCTTCCTCCGTGAGATAAAAAATCAATGCAGGCTTAGGTAAGGAAAGACTTGAAAAGACTGTTGAAATAAGGGAGGAGGCTATTGCAATAGGGGAGGGGACTATCCAATAGGGGAGGGGGTTATGGTAGTAGGGGAGGGGCTATTACAATGGAAGAGGGGGCTATTGCAATAGGGAAGGAGGCTATTGCAATAGGGAAGGAGGCTACGCAATAGGGGGAGGGACTACGCAATAGAGGAGGGGCGATTGCAATCGGAGATGGGGCTCTTGCAATGGGGAAGGGACTGTTGTAATAGGGAAGGGGACTATTGAAATGAGAGAGGGGGCTGTGCAATAGGAGAGGCTGTGCAATAGAGGAGGGGCTGTTGCAATAGGAGAGGGCTATTGCAGTGGGGAGGAGGTTACTGCAATAGGGAAGAGGACTATCGCAATAGGAGGGGGCTATTGCAATAGGGGAGGGGGACATGCAATGAGAGGTTACACAATGGCGGGGGGCTATTGCAATAGGGAAGGAGCTGTTGCAATAGGGGAAGGGGCTGTTGCAATAAGGGAGGGGCTTTTGCAACTGGGGCAGGTGGTTATTGTTAAAGGGAAGGGGGCTATTGTAATGGGAGGGGGCTCTGCCATAGAGGGAGGGGCTACACAATGGGAAGGAGGATATTGCAAGGGGGGAGAGGCTATTGCAATGGAAGAGGGGGCTATTGCAGTAAGAGGAACATTCGACATTGAGATCTATAAGCAGCTCAAAGGTCAGGCAGAAAGGAGTTTTCTTTCATTGGGAAGCAAAAGCTCCGTGGAACTGGTGAGGGAGGAGGGGTGAGAGCTGCGTTCTGCTCTGTGGTCAGCGGATTCCCAGGAAGGGCCATTGAGGAGGGGAACTGGTGTCCAGGATGGTCAGTGGGGATGACAGTTCAGCTAATCTTTTTTTTTTTTTTTTTTTTTTTTAATATGGAGTCTTGCCCTGTTGCCCAGGCTGGAGTGCAATGGCACGATCTTGGCTCACTGCAACCTCTGTCTCCCAGGTTCAAATGATTCTCCTGCCTCAGCCTTCTGAGTAGTTGGGATTACAGGCGTAAGCCACCCTGCCCGGCTAATTTTTGTATTTTTAGAAGAGACGGGGTTTCACCATGTTGGCCAGGCTGGTCTTGAACTCCTGACCTCGTGATCTGCCTGCCTCAGCCTTCCAAAGTGCTGGGATTACAGGCGTGAGCCACTGTGCCAGGCCAGCTAAGCTTTTATGAAACAGAGTGAGGAGGTGGAGGGCTGGGGCTGGCTTTGTCCTAGGCTGCCCGATGATGCCCCAGAGAGGTTCCGTGCTTCTGAGAGGCAGGGGCTTCTGAGGGGCTCACCTTGCTGCCAAAGCAATAAGGTCACAGTGGGGACATGTCTTTATCTAGTCCCTGCATTGATGTAGGAGCTGATTAGCCCCTTCTCCCTCCGCTGTGATCATGTGTCACAACTCCACATGTGGGAAACTCCTCCTATGGGTGGATGGATAGATGTCCATGAAAAACTCCTACCTTGGGCAAGGCATGGCGGCTGTGTGGGGGGCAATGCAGGAGGCATGGGAAGAGGAGGCGGGTGGTGGCTGTGTGCCCCTCGCTTGTGCTTTTCTGCCATAGAAACCTCCTTCTTGCCAATCTTACCTAAGCTTTCCCCATGAAAACCTCACGCAATGGCTTCTGTCTTCCAATAGACATAATATTCTTCAACCTCCAGAAGTGCAGTCCAAAGGCCACCATAATCCACACATAAGGTGATGGTGTTGGGGGTGGGGACAGGGGCTGTGTTCTCCCCCCCAGGCTGTGCTCATGCTGAGCTCTGTGTCCTATGGTTAAGGTGTCACTGCCGCAGCACGAGGAGCCCTGCAGTGTGCCATGGGGGCCTTGCTGGCCACAGCCTGGCTGTTGTTTTCCATTGCACGGTGCCGATGCCCTTGCAGGCGGCAGGGTTGAAGCAAGGGCTCTTGAGGAGGCAGCCGGGAGAAGTGGGCCGATGAGAGGTTGCTTGCCTGAGTGGAGCCTTGTTGAGACCCATCCTCCAAGAACACAAGGGCTGTTAAGTCAAGAGGGAACAAGTCCTTCCTTCCGCAGGCTTCTCATGGCCGCCCTGCAAGACGGCGGCCCCAGCTCACCCGAGATCTCCACAGCTCTTGAGTTCCTGAGTGAAGTCAGCCTGACCCCAGAAGGCCCCTTCTGCCCTTCAGCCTCTGCTCCCCTGCCAGCCAGGACTGGGAGCCAACTGGTGTGGTCTCCCCTAGAGCACGGGTGAGGACTGAAGTGGCGGTGATCCACGTGCCAGGCACTTGGCACGGGTGCTTCTCTGCAGCCTCAGAAACAGCACCGTCCCCCGCCAAGCCCGGTGTGCTCCGTGCAGATGTTGATCTTTGGGAGACAGGTTTAGGAGGTGGTGCTGTCATGCAGAGACGGGTGGCCGCTGGTGCCTTCAAAGGGGAAGTTGGATAACCCCAGGCCCCATGCCTGGATCACGAAGCCAGCTCCTGACACCACGAACACCTTGGCTGCTGTTGACGTCTGTCCCTGCTTCCCTGCAAACTGCACACGTGTCCCACACACCCGGTTCCATTCAGGTGTCTCTTCCTGTGATTCTGGCACAGCGGGGGCAGGTCTCGCCTCCCTCTGAGTGTCCCTGGAATACAGCATGGATGACGAGGGGCTGTGAGAGGTGAAATTGCAGGGCAGGTGTGGGCTGGGTGTGCAGGGCGTGGGATCTTTGCCCTAGAGCTTCATCCTAAGAGCTGTGGGGTGGGTTTTCTTTTTTCTTTTTTTTTTTTTTTATTGAGACAGAGTCTTGCTGTGTCACCCAGGCTAGAGTGAAGTAGCATGATATCAGCTCACTACAGCCTCCGCCTCCCAAGTTCAAGCAATTCTCACGCCTCAGCCTCCCAAGGAGCTGGGGTTACAGGTCTGTGCCACCACAACCAGCTAATTTTTATATTTAGTAGAGACAGGGTTTCATCATGTTGACCAGGCTGATCTTGAACTCCTGACCTCAAGTGATCCACCCACCTTGGCCTCCCAAACTGCTGGGATTACAGCCATGAGCCACCACACCCAGCCTGGTGGAGTAGGTTTTCTAAAGGTTTAAAAGCATGAGGGTGTTTGTGTAACCCTCTTTCTTTAGCTTCTAATTTGATCAAAGGTGGAACCAGCTGCTGTCACAGCTTACCACAAGCTTAGGGGCTTGAAACAACACGCATTTATCTTACCATGCTGGAGTCAGTTGTCCAAAATGGGTGTCACTGGGCCAAAATCAAGGTGTCGCTGCTACAGTACGAGGAACCCCCACAGCGTGGAGGCTTCCCTCTAGAAGCAGTGATCCACATGCCAGGCGCTTGGCACGAGTGCTTCTGTGCAGCCTCAGAAACAGCACCGTCCCCACCCAAGCCCGCTGTGCTCTGCGTGGATGTTGATCGCGGGAGACAGGTTTAGGAGGGGCCACACCAATCGGCTCCCAGTCCCGGCTGGCAGGGGAGGCAGAGGCCTGGGTTGCACCTGTGCTCCTCTGGGGAAACCTGGGAGCATTGCTAACCCGGGGTCCGGTAGAGGGAATTCCTAGCCTGGCGTTTTTAGATTACGATATACATATATATATACACACACACACACACACACACACACACACACACACACACACGATTAAAATGCTATATATTATGTATTTCTTGTAAATCAAATCGTTCTGTCATTATATTAGCAACTTTTATCTCCCTAGCAAATATTTTGTCTTCAAATCTCTTTCGTATGAGACTTATGGAGATACACTAGTTTACTTTGTTAGTTTTTGCCTGGTATAACTTTCCCTATCTTTTCAGTTTTAATGTTCCTCTGTCCTTATATTTTAGGGTTTGCTCTAATTAACAGCCCAGGCTGGTGGGCAATGGCATGGTCTCAGCTCACTGCAACCTCCATCTCCCGGGTTCAAGTGATCCTCCTGCCTCAGCCTCCTGAGTAGCTGGGATTACAGGTGCCTGCCACCATGCCTGGCTAATTTTTGTATTTTTAGCAGGAACAGGGTTTCGCCGTGTTTCCTGGTCTCGAACTCCTGACCTAGTCTTTTAGTTTTATCCTAGAAGTTTTAATAGACTGCTTAATGAAGTTTGGAGTGAATAAGTATCTTTATCTTCCTCTTAAATAATGCAAAGGCCTCCCTTAGGATATTTTAACTCCAAAAAACCAGCTTTGATTTAGATGCTGTTTTGCCTAGGATTTTAGTTGTATCTTTTTTTAAACTCCCCAAATTAAACCTCATTTTTTTTTTTAAGTTATCAAGCAATATCTTTATTCAAACAGTAGTAGTGCAACTTAAACATTTGTAGAACTCTTTTAAGGTTGTTTTTCACTAGATAGTGAGCTATTCAAAAAAGCAGGGTCATTATTATACTCTCTACATTTTAACCTCATATGTTTAGCTGGGTATGGTGCTGCATGCCCGTAGTCCCAGCTACTCAGGAGGCTGAGGTGGGAGGATTGCTTTAGCTAAGGAGCCACAGGTTGCAGCGAGCTGAGATCACACCACTGCACTCTAGCCTGGGCGACAAAGCAAGACTCTCTCAAAAAAAAAAAAAAAAAAAAAAAAGTTTAACATAGCTTTGTTTTTTGTTTGTTTGTTTGTTTTTTTAGTATTTATTGATCATTCTTGGGTGTTTCTCGGAGAGGGGGATTTGGCAGGGTCATAGGACAATAGTGGAGGGAAGGTCAGCAGATAAACATGTGAACAAAGGTCTCTGGTTTTCCTAGGCGGAGGACCCTGCCGCCTTCCGCAGTGTTTGTGTCCCTGAGTATGTGAGATTAGGGAGCGGTGATGACTCTTAACGAGCATGCTGCCTTCAAGCATCTGTTTAACAAAGCACATCTTGCACCGCCCTTAATCCATCTAACCCTGAGTGGACACAGCACATGTTTCAGAGAGCACGGGGTTGGGGGTAAGGCCATAGATTAACAGCATCCCAAGGCAGAAGAATTTTTCTTAGTACAGAACAAAATGGAGTCTCCCATGTCTACTTCTTTCTACACAGACACAGCAACAATCTGGTTTCTCTTTCCTTTCCCCACACTTCCCCCACTTCCACTCGACAAAACCGCCATCGTCATCATGGCCCGTTCTCAATGGGCTGCTGGGTACACCTCCCAGACGGGGTGGCTGCCGGGCAGAGGGGCCCTCACCTCCCAGACGGGGTGGCCAGGCAGAGGCGCCCCCCACCTCCCTCCCGGACGGGGTGGCTGGCCGGGCGGGGGCTGTCCCCCACCTCCTGGAGGGGGCGGCTGCTGGGCGGAGACGCTCCTCACTTCCCAGACGGGGCGGCTGCTGGGCGGAGGGGCTCCTCACTTCTCAGACGGGGCGGCCGGGCAGAGACACTCCTCAGTTCCCAGACAGGGTCGCGGCCAGGCAGAGGCGCTCCTCACATCCCAGACGGGGCGGCGGGGCAGAGGCGCTCCCCACATCTCAGACGATGGGCGGCCGGGCAGAGACGCTCCTCACTTCCTAGATGGGATGGCGGCGGCCGGGAAGAGGCGCTCCTCACTTCCTTGACGGGATGACTGCCGGGAAGAGGCGCTCCTCACTTCCTTGACGGGATGACTGCCGGGAAGAGGCACTCCTCACTTCCCAGGCTGGGCGGCCGGGCAGAGGGGCTCCTCACATCCCAGACGATGGGCGGCCAGGCAGAGACGCTCCTCACTTCCCAGACGGGGTGGCGGCCGGGCAGAGGCTGCAATCTCGGCACTTTGGGAGGCCAAGGCAGGCGGCTGGGAGGTGGAGGTTGTAGCCAACCGAGATCACGCCACTGCACTCCAGCCTGGGCAACATTGAGCACTGAGTGAGCGAGACTCCGTCTGCAATCCCGGCACCTCGGGAGGCCGAAGCTGGCAGATCACTCGCGGTCAGGAGCTGGAGACCAGCCCGACCAACATGGCAAAACCCCGTCTCCACCAAAAAAATACAAAAACCAGTCAGGCGTGGTGGTGTGCGCCTGCAATCGCAGGCACTCCGCAGGCTGAGGCAGGAGAATCAGGCAGGGAGGTTGCAGTGAGCAGAGATGGCGGCACTACAGTTCAGCCTCCGCTCGGCATCAGAGGGAGACCATGGAGAGAGAGGGAGAGGGAGACCATGGAAAGAGAGGGGGAGGGGGAGGGGGAGAGGGAGAGCTAAACGTCATTATTATTGATTTGTAACTCAGTGTTTGTTTAGATCACTCCATATTTCCTAACACCTTTTCTCCCTGTTCCTTCTTGCATGCAGATATCTTTCTGTAAAAGTTTCCTTTAACTTTTGAAATTGATTGTAATGAGGTTCTGAAATGGCAAATCCTCTGTTCTGATTTGTGGACCGATTTTCTCCGTCTGTTTTCTGTGCTGTGATTCTTGGTTATGTCTTCAGCTGTACCATATCACTCAAGAATTCTCCCTGGCTTCCTTTGTTTTCAACCTCAATTATGATGTCCTTAATTTTTAGAAACAATATTTGGCTCATTTTCAGAGCTGTTTATTTTAAAGTCTTTGGTTCCTATTCATATTTTATTCTCACCTTTATTTCTTTAAACATGTGAACATCATTATCTGATAAGTCCAATATTTAAAGTCTTTGGGGGCCTAATTAATTCCTCTCTCTATTGTTTCTGTGGTTCTTGCTTACAGAGCCTCATTTCCTGGTATATTTTGTCATTTTTCATAGTGAGGTCATCATGCTCTTTGAAACCTGATCTGCGGGGATTCTCTGAGGCCTGGGTCACACCTGTGCTCCTCTGGGGGAATCCTGGGAGCATTGCTAACATGGGGTCTGGTAAAGGGAATTCCTAGCCTGGCGTTTTTAGATCTCACATGCAGCTGTAAGAAGGCTGCCTCGAGTTTACACATCTTTGGGAGATATTTTTAGTTTTAATAAATAAAAACTTACTAAGTTTTAGTAAAATTCATATGTGTGACTATGTTGCGTGTGACTCTGTTGTGTGTTTGTTGTGTGTTGTGTGTGACTTGTACGGTGTGTGTGACTGCTGTGTGTGTGTCGTGTGAGGCTCTGGTGTGTGTGTGTGTACTTTTCTCCTCCTACCACAAACAAGGCAGAGATGGGCAGGTCTCTGGCCACAGGGTGGCTTTAGGGACTGATATGGTTTGGCTCTGTGTCCCCACCCAAATCTCATCTCAACCTGGAATCCCCACGTGTTGAGGGAGGGAAGTGAGTGGATCATAGGGGTGGTTTCCCCCATGCTGTTCTCGTGGTAGTGAGAGAGTTTCACAAGATCACTATGGTGATGTTTGTTTGTTGGTTTGTTTTTGAGACGGAGTCTCGCTCTGTCGCCCAGGCTGGAGTGCAGTGGCGCGATCTCGGCTCACTGCAAGCTCCGCCTCCCGGGTTTATGCCATTCTCCTGCCTCAGCCTCCTGAGTAGCTGGCACTACAGGTGCCCGCCACCACGCACGGCTCATTTTTTGTATTTTTAGTAGAGACGGGGTTTCACTGTGTTAGCCAGGATGGTCTCCATCCCCGCCTCGGCCTCCCAAAGTGCTGGGATTACAGGCATGAGCCGCCGCGCCCGGCCTATGGTGATGGTTTTAAAAGCGATAGTTGTTCCTATGCCCACATTCATTCTCTCTTCTGTCGCCTTGTGAAGAAGGTGCCTGCTTCCCCTTCTGCCATGACTGTAAGTTTCCCGAGGCCTGCCCAGCCATGCAGAACTGTGAGTCAATTAAAACTTTTTCCTTTATAAATTACCTGGTCTCGGGTATTTCTTTATAGCAGTGTGAGAACAGACTAATACAAGGCCAGTTCATCCTTACAACAAAGATGTCACCCCCTGGGGTCCCAGCTTCAGGCAGAGGGATTCTTCTAAGCTGGCTCCTCTCCTTGGATTTGTCTCCTGACCCCTACACCCCATGCAGATGTCAAAAGAGAGTTTCAAGATATCCCGCTGAGTTAGGATTCATTTCAGCCACGAATAATGTAAAATCTCAAACCAGAGTGACTTAATCAGGATAGAAGCGTATTTCTCTCTCAGGATCCAGAAATCTGGAGGAGGTCAGCATGGGACTGGTTTGATGTTCCTTCGTGTGAGGGATCCATGTTTCTTCTTTATACCTCACTCTGCCTGGCTTCCACTTCCAACAAGGTCCAGAGTAGCTGCAGCTGTGCCAGCCATTGTCTGCATATCCCAGTCGTTGGAAAGGAGGAAAAGGGGTGAAGAAAGGCATGGTGGTGGTTTTGAGGACACTTCTCAGGTGTTTCACACAGAACTCCTGCTTGCATTCTTTGGTCATATTGAGTGTATGTTCACCCTGAGTTTCGGGGGAGGTTAGACGGTGCAGTCTCTATTCCACATGGCTGTATTGGGAGTTCTGTTCTTCGAGGAAAGGATAGGTGTTGGGGGGCACCTGCCACCTGCTACTCCAGGGGTGCAGGGAGAGGACACTGGCCCAGGGCTAGCTCAGCTCTCTGGATTTCTGCCTCCACTTGGGGTTTTGGTCTCCAAAGAATCCTGTTTTCTTGCAAGCTTAACAGTGCACCTTGAAATATCTGAAGGTGTGTTTAATCCAGCTTTATTGCTGTTTCCCTATTGCTCCCTTCCCATGGGAAGGATCTGCATGGTATTTAGGCTGCCATATTGCCAGAAAGAGGCCGTCTCCCTGGTGGATGTTTTGGGATCCCTTGCTGTTTCACATCTGCCTCTGCTCTCTGTTCCATTTCATTCCCCCACACATTCATCACATACCTGTGGCTTGGTGCTGGTCCTGGGAGGGGGTCTTGGGGGTGAGGAGCAGGGGGAACAGCTGGATTACAGAGACCCACCCCAGCAGAGGCTGCAGCCAGTGGGTGGTGAGCAGAGAACACCCTCCAAAGCCCACAGACAGTCCCCCAGGTGGTGGTCTCTGTGGAGGTGACCCCCAGGACCTGCACCAGTGAAGTTACAGATGCTGAAAGGATGCACATGCAGCCACACGGGGGAACAGAAGAGCCACCGGAGCGTGGGGACACCACGTCAGGGAGAGGTGCTCTGGCCGGTTGCATGAGTGGAGACGGGGACTCCTTGAATTCCGAGCATTGAACATTTCTGCTCCCATGAACCACCCCTTCTTGATAATAACTTACTCTTTAAGACTGAGTTTCAGTGCCTTAGATGGAAAGATCTTACCTGACAACTCTTTGAAGGTGAGCTACAGGAGAGTTATTGCAGTGAGGAGCTCCTGTAAATAACAATTTGCTCTTTACAACCTGCCGGAGAATAGAGCTAGGGTTGTTTTTAGCGATGGAGAATATCCACTCAAACCCATTTGACTGTGGATTGCATTCTTAAATACTTATTCAACGATCGTCTCTGTGGCCGTCAGACTCCAGCGACTTTGATTCCACTGTTGAAACAGTTACACAGTATCCTGGCTTCTCGTTCCGACTCCTTGTCCTTCGTTTCTGCTGCAAACGGTCACCTCCCAGACCTGTAAGCTTCACCTGTTCCTCTCAGAAGTTTCCAGAGCTCCTCTGTCAGATGTCGGGCTGCTAAGAACATGTAGCTCCTGAACCTCCTCAGGAACAGGGAGGTGCGTCCTGTGCCTTGAGGGCCGCCTCTGTGGGTACTGGCTGGACTTGCCCTGTTTGGGTCTGCATTATCCTGTGCTCTTGGGCATATGTTCACCCTGAGCTTCAGGGAAGGCTAGACGGTGTGGTCTCCATTCTGTGTGACTGTATTGGGAGTTATATTCTTCAAGCAGAGGAGGGTGGGTGACGATGCCATCAGGAAGCAAGGGCAGAGCCCCTGTGGATGACCCCAGGGGTAGCACATGCGGGCAGGCAATTTTTATAATAATGCACCCATAATTACTTTTGCACCAACCTAATAGTGTCACAGGGCCCTGAGCTGTTGAGGATCCTTTGACTTCATTCCTAGATAAACAGAGTGGGGACAACAGCTGTTTCTGAATTTGTTACCTGATAAGTCCTACACTTTATATGAAGCTTTTTCTCTGAAGCGATTTCACTACCAGCCTTCAGCTCAGAGGCAGAAAGCCCCCGTCAATTTTTCTGCCATCTCTTTGCCGACATAAAACCCTGATGATGGATATCAACTTTTAGTATTTCATTGACTTCATGGTCTGGCCACAAGAGTTACGCTTATGAAGCTGCAGGTTCCCACCTTCAAAATTGATCTCTCTGTCTTTCTTGTGTTATCATTTGTCTCTCCTTGGCCTTTTAATCATGAAAATAAAAATATGTGTTCAGCATTTCAATACTTGGATCTGAGACAGATGCTCCACGCAGACGCTTTTGGAGACTTGCTGTGTCCTGAAGCCACGTGGATCCTCCTGGGGAGGTGGAGAGGGTGCGTCGGGGAATTTTTGTTCTGCAGCCTGCCCCGCCACCTTCCAGATTCAACGCCTACCACTCTTCCTCCGTGAAGCCCTCCATAAGCCCCCTTTGACCTCCCGCCCCACCTGCCTGTCATTGAGCGCTTCTTGGGCACCTGGTGTTACAGCGATGGCCCATCTCATCCTTACAACAGCCCTGAGTGTCAATAATTAATAACAATTTTGTCCACCTCACAGACAAGATTGGGGCTCATGGAAGGAAGCAGCCTTTTCCCCAAGGCAACTGCATCCAGTCATGGGTAGTCCTGAGAATCCTGCCAAGTCTTTCTGGCTCTCTTCCCTGGGCCACCCAGGAGTTCAGAGCAGATGGAATCTCAGAGCAGCATAGTTCCCATGCTTGTTGATGAGGGGGTCAGTGTTCAAGAGGAAAGTCACATTCCCAGGATCACATGGCCAATGAGTAGCAGAGATAGGTGCTCCTCAGCCCCCAGCCCCAGGGCTGTCTCTACCGCATCAGCCTGGACCCCAGAGCGTCTTGGTGGCATCCTTGAAGTCACAGTCCCCGGCTGGCCGTGAGTGAGTTGCGGTTCCCCTGTGCTTTGGTTTGGGCTCTCGCAGAAGCAGAACCTGAAATGAGGATTTGCAGACAAATACCGTGTTTAGGACATGCCATGCCCTGCCAGGGCATGGCACCAAGAAGAGAAGGAGGCCTCCACAGTGCCCAATAGTCAGCACTTAGTCCCTCTGGGCACCCCTGGGAGCTAGTGTATGGCACACGCAGTTGTCCCACCAGAGCAGGAGTGTGGGTATTTACACACCAGCCTCCCTCGTCACTTCCTGCCTGCCATGCTCCCTGGCAGAGCTGCCACCTAGCAGATGGCAGTGGGGCTGGCAGGAAATGGAAATGATAAGGTTCAATTGCCACTCCTCAGAGAAGGCTGCCGGATTGCACACCCCAGGATCTCCGGACCACGTCACTCAGTTTCATCATCGTCAGGGCCCTTTGACCACCTGAAGCTACCTTGCTCATTACCGTGCCCTGGCTTATTGACACAGAACTCAAGCTCCACATACCAGGGGCCATCTCTGTCACTTACTTGCTGAGCCCCTTGTTTCCCAGGACAACACCTGGCATGTAGCTGTCACTGAAAAATATCAGTTCAGCAGAAGCCCAGATCCTTTCTGACAAACATGAGGGAAGTGGGCATCCCACACAGGCTCCCAGGAAGAGGTGTTCAAGATGCTTGCCAGCCAGGGACAGGGCACTCAGTGACAGGGACAGAGGCAGCCAGCACCTGGAGGTGCCCACTGGCAGCCCCAGTCCCCAGGACCTGATGCCAGGCTTCTGTGCCATCTGTGGGCTGCCCTCCGGTCATGCCCACAGGCTTCCCGCTCCAGGGACATCACATCAACTTGGCTTGCACACCTTCTGTTGTCTGTGGCTCAGCATTTGCCGAGCATCTGATCTGTACCAGATTCTGCTTGGGGCCGGGCAGGATTTGTCACAGTCCTGCCCTCAGGGAGCTCCCATTCAAAGGGAGCCGCTCATATGTGAACACACCAGGGCCAGCATCAGGCACTAGCCGAGCACTAGTCATCCTTTCCAAAGTCACTTCCCAAATCCCTCTGTGCCCAGGCCTGCAGTGGACAATAGGGGTGAACATGAGGTTCTGAGCGGTCCTGGGGAGTCTCAGGCAGTCCCACTAAAAGCACTAACACTCAGGCTGCATGAGGGGCTGGTGAAGGGTTAAGGGCACAGGCGTGGGGTCAGACTCTACTCACTGGCTGTGTGGGCTTGGGCTCTGATGCTTAACCTCTCTGAACTTGGTTTTGTTGTTGTTGTTGTTTTTCATTTGTTTGTTTTTCCTTTTCAAGGTGAGTAACAATCCTTGCCTTGCAGAACTTTGAAAGGAATACATTGGTTAAAATCTTTCAGTGCCTTACATACAGTAAATTCTAAACCAGCCAAAGTTTCTGTTAGCACCGTTTCTCTTCCTCATAGCTCCGTGCTTACCTGGAGGCACTGCCCTGTGGATCAATGTGGCAGTCAAGGCGCCTCTATACAGCCCACCCGGCCAGACCTGTTCTCAGCCATCCTCAGCCCTCGTCAACTGCCAATTCAGACCCTCCTCTGTGACCTCCCCCGTCCAGCCCCTGTGGTTTCTCCTTGGTCAGTCCTCTCTCTGCCATGTGAGAAAGGTTTTCCTCCTCCTCCAGACTGTGAGCCTTGCAGAAGGCAGGGAACACGTCCTGCTCTGTGTCCTTGGCCTAGGGCCTGGCACATAAATGACCAGAATGGAAGGGTCCCAGGGCCAGTGTGACGGGGAAGGTGGACGTGAGCTCCAGAGAGCGGCTCAGGAACTGTTCAAGCCACCCACCCCCACCGCCCCCATGACCCGGGACCTCCGGATGGGCCTTGGGATGACAAGGGTCTCCGCTGCGCACTCTCATGGTGACTTGTCTCTTGTGTATCAGTGGTCAGCCCCTCTGCTCAGTGTGTGGAGTCTGCCTAACCCCAAACTCCAATGCCATCTGCCCTGCACTTTGCATTTTATTTTTAGCGAATGCAGCCGGGCACCCTATTTTCCTTCATTCCTTGGCAGTTGTGCTCGGGGCGGATAGCGCCAGTGAATGTCTGACCGTAATCATCCACAGGCCAGTTTTCAATCATGAGGTTGATGATTAGCTCACTAACACCCTCTCCCCAGACCGTCACCTTGGGGCCCCCAGACTAATTACTGCAGGACGCGCTGAGTAAAGTTCACAATGCCAGGGAATTGGGGGGAAATCTTATCAGCTCTGAAACTACTGAACAGCAAATGTGTTCCGAAGATGCAATTAGCCGCGGTTGGAATGGGAGATTGTTGGAGAGGGACTTTGTGGGAGTCACGCCCACCCCTCCCTGCCACATGTGTCCTCTCCACACGTGAGATGCTGGTGTCAAGTTGCCAGTTAAATGAGGACACTCATGAGGGACGAGGATGTGGGCTGAGCTCCAGAGGACTGGTGTTTCCTTATCTCCATGGGACCCTGTCCTCCACCAGGGCCCCCAGCCCACCCCTGTCTGTGCATACCTCCACTGTCACTCCAGGGGAGCTCTGCACGAGGCCCCCCGGGTTCATTGCATGGCACATTGGCAGAGTCAACACCGGGCCGGGGACGCAGACGAGCAGACCTGCCCTTGTCTCAAGAAACAGCCGGGCCATAGCTGAGGTCTTTCCACCTGGGGTGGGGCTTGGGGGGGTCCTTAAGTACCTTAAAAATGCAGGCAGAGTGGTGTGGAGGGGGCACATTCTGTGCTCGGTTTTTCTAGGCAGCAAATCTGTTGATTCCATCAGATTCTTAAATGGTTTAGAACCAAAAGGGTCAGGAGCAATTGATCTAACAAAGGGGCCAACAAGTAAGTAGAGGATAGTCCAGTGCAGTCAGCACTACGATTGGTAAAGTCCCGGGAGCCAAGGTGGGTGGAAGAGCAGCCCCGATCCTGTGGACGGGGATGGGGAAGGGGAAGGCAAGGAGGATTTCCAAGCAGGGGCTCCCCGTGATGGGCAGGTCTTGGTGCCAGGGACTTTCAGATTCAGTCATTTAGTTACTGGCCATTCATCAACATCTCCAGGCATCAGCCCACTCCCGCACGCGTGCAGACACACAGACACTGAGAACGGAGGGTGGCACTGCCCATCTGGCACCACAGAACTAAGCAGGATGGCCTGCAGCCACCATGCAGCCCAGCACCCACACGTCTACATGGGCGCCCACTGCAGCTACTGAGGCTGTGAAAAGCAAAAGCCCACATGGAGCCAGTGACAGCTCTTTCTGAAAGACTTTAGCTGGTAAAGGCAGAAACCATGACCTCAGCACCTTGCAGGTGGAGCTGGGGCTTCCTGGCCTTCTTCTGGGTGTTGGATGAAGCTGCAGCTTGGAAGTTAGCAAAATCCAAGGAGTGTAGACCATGAAGCCAGAGAGACCAGGCTCAAGTCCTGGCTGAGATGAGTGGGGTTGGGTGCAGTTGGACAGTCATGGGACCTACCTGCACATAGATTCCTTCCGCCCTCTCAGCCCCAAGGGAAACCGGCCGACCAGCACCCTGAGACTGCCCAGCACGGTGCCCAGCCCAGGAGCTGTTGGGAGCAGGTCTCTGGTTTGTCATCCATTGTTCATGTCTTCATGTGGATCTGAAACATCACCCAAGGTGTCAGCCTTCAGGGCCCCCTGAAGGTGAGCCCCAAGAAGTGGGGACCCTCATGGCTTTGTCCACTGCCCAATATGTCAGGATTTGTTTCCACGTAGCCGCAGGTAAAACTGGTTGTTAGGTTTTTAAATGCTTGGGGAAAAATTCAATAGTTGCAAAAATGAGAAGAATAGGAATCCTCCATGGCACATGAAAATGACATGGAATTCAGTTTCAGTGCCCGTGAATGCCTCTTGCTGGCACCCAGCCTCATACACTTGCTTACACATTGTCAGGGGCTGCACTGGTGCTGTTAGGACAGAGGCCATAGGCCTGCAAAGCTGGTCCTCTCCAGACAGGCTTGCCGAGCCCTGGCTCAGGCTCTGTGGATCCATGCCGAGAGGCCAGGGAGGCCAGTGAGGTGCTGAGGAAGGATCGGCCCCATGCCCAGCTCTGGGCTCTGCCGTGGGTTCCGGTTTCATCTGATGTGATGGGGAATGTGGTGTGGGACAGAAGAGGACAGCGGAAGGTGACACATGTAGCTTTGCAGGGGCTGTGGGAGGAGTCATGGGGCCTGGGTGGAGGTGCTGGAGGCTGACGGGCCGAGTTTCCGGAGCTCAGAAGGCTGGGGAGGTAAAACTGAGCATCATCAGCCAGGATGCGGGAGTTTCATCCTGAAAACAATGAGATCACTCAGACAGGACACAACAGGAATCCAAAATGGCTTTTGGGAGGTCACAGGGGTGAAAGGACGGTGGCTTGGGTCTGGGGGGAAGGAGAAGGGCATGGAGACAGGGTGGGACAACTCTCCCAGTAGAGCTAGGACACACGCCTCCGCCACATCCCAGGCACCCTGCCGTGCCCTCCGGCTGCCTGCTCCCTCGGTCCTTCTGGCCACGATGGGGGTCGGGGGTCTGGGTTCATCTCCATCTCCTTAAGGACAGGCCTCTGCCTGAGTCACCGGTAACACTACATGGGGTGTGGCCGGGCTTGGGCTGGGGGAACCAGTCCCCAGCCCACCAGGGGCCTCTACTTGAACCCACTAAGACCCCAGCCTGCCCTGCTCCCCTGGGCCCCACGCAGTGACTCGGCTGGGTGTGCTCGGCTCCTGCAGGAGCTCTTGCCACCTGCCTCAGCCTTCTTTCTGGGGCCTGGTCTGCTGGAAGGGATCAATGTCAATAACAACTGTTCATGTTGCCACAGAGAATTCCAATCCATGCACACTCTATTATGCTGTATAATCCCACCCCACAGGAGCTTCGCGGACGTGGGAGAGAATGAACGTTAGGCCTGGTACAAAGCCTGGCCCACAGCAGGCACCTGAAAAGTGACTGCTTAGCTTTGGAGGGGACAGGTAGTGGGAGGAGATGGGAGGGGAACAAGAAGAAGGGCTGGGGGAGGAGACGCCATTCTTCGAGCCGGGCAAGGGCCAAGGCCAACAGCAGGGACTGGCTCTCGGGCCAGTGCTCTCCCCAACTGACTGCAAGCCCCTCTCTCTCCACCTCTTTCTGCGGGGAGGAGCCACAGGCTCTGCCTACCAGGAACTTGAGGTCCCAGGCCTGTAGGCCTGCAGAGCTCACAGACATCTCTCCTCTGAAGGAGGTGTCAGCCTTCCAGGCAGAGGGAGCATTTGGTGAAGGGCTGAACAAGCATCGGGGCATCCCAGCCTAGGTCTGCTGCCCAAAATAGGTCTTCCTGGTTCCCACTGAGAAATTAAATACATTTGTTGATACTCTACGTCTGCAGAAAAAAATGCAAGGAGGCCCAATAAACTAACGAATGAGACAGATGAGAGTGATTGAGGAAGAGTCGCGGGCGCTGTCTGTTCAGCGGGGCTCTGCGTGGCCAGGTGCCAGGAAGCTGCCAGCACTGCAGGGACCCAGCTGAGAATGTCAAGGGAAGCAGGGTAGGCCTGGGCCGCCCTCCACCCAGAAGCAATAAGTCCCCATTCACTGAGGTGTAATAAGGCATGTCTAGCAACTAAGGAGCACTCTGGGCCCCATGTGAGGATAACTCCAAAGTTAGCCTTGGAGAAAGTGGCCCACTAAAGAACAAAGAAGCACATGCACCTCACATGGCTCACCAAGAATGACCCGTGGAGACACTGCTTGTGGAGATATCTCCCACACTGGACAACCGATTCCACACTCTCTCATCGATTTCCTAGTGTAAGCTGCTACTGAATGCCCAGGTGTGAGGCCCTGGATGGCCAGCCTAAGCCCTACCATCCTTACACTTGCAGTTCATCCATCCACCCATCTACCATGTGTCTACCAATCTATCTTTCCATCCATTTATCCATCCACCTATCCATTCACTCATCCGCCATCTACCCATATACCCATTCACCATCCATTCATTCACCATCCATCTATCCACCTATCCACTCATCAAACATCCGTTCACTCATCCATTCATTCATTCATTATCCACCCATCCACCAGCCATCCATCAATCCATCTATCCATCCACCTATTCATCAATCATACACCCATTCACCATCATTCACCCATAATCCATTTATCCATCCACCTATCCACCAACCACGATCCATTCATCCACCCACCCATCACCATCCATTCATCCATCCTCTTACCCACTGTCCATCCATCCCATCCATCCCTCTACCCATCCACCCATCCACCATCCACCCATCAATCCATTCATCCATCCACCTATTCATCCACCTATTCACCATCCATTCCCCCATAATCCACCTATCCGTCCACCCATCCACTCATCCATCCACCCATCCACTCACCCATCCATCTATTCATCCACTCTTCCACCATCCACTTATCCATCCTCTCATCTACTGTTCATCCATCCATCCACCATGAATCCATCCACCCATCCACCTTTCCACCATCCACCCATCAATCCATTCATCCATCCACCTATTTACCATCCATTCACCCATAATCCATCCATTCACCCATAATCCATAACCCATCCACGCATCCACCATCCATTCATCCACCCACCCATCTATTCATCCACTCTTCCACCATGCATTTATCCATCCTCTCATCCACTGTCCATCCATCCATCCATCATGAATCCATCCACCCATCCACCTATCCACCTATCCACCATCCACCCATCAATCCATTTATCCATCCACCTATCCACCCATCCACCACCCACCCATCAATCCATCTATCCATCCACCTATCCACCCATCCACCACCCACCCATCAATCCATCTATCCATCCACCTATTCATCCAACCATACACCCATTCACCATCATTCACCCATAATCCATTCATCCATCCACCTATCCACCAACCACCATCCATTCATCCATCCATCCATCTCTTATCCACTGTCCATCCATCCCTCTACTCATCCACCCATCTGCCATCCACCCATCAATCCATTCATCCATCCACCTATTAATCCACCTACCCACCCCATTCACCATCCATTCACCCATAATCCAGGGACTAGCTCTCGAGCCAGTGCTCCACCCATCTGTTCATCTGCTTATCCATTCATCCATCCATTTATTCATCCATCCACCTATTCACCCATCCACCATCTCTCTGTCTACCCATCCATCCATCCATTCATCTACTCATCCATTGTCCTCCATCTGTTCATCCATCTGCCATCCATTCACTCATTCATTCATTCATTCATTCATCCATCTGCCTTCCTTCACTCCATATTGATTTGTCAGAGATTTACCTGGCACTGCTGTAGTTTCTGGAGATATAACAGTGAGCAAGAGAGACAAGACCCTCCTATCTGGAACTTAAGCTTGAAGTCAGGGCATTGGACAAGTTGTGTACTGCACAGGGGCAATTAGCTGAGGACAAATGGGGCTATGGAGTGAGGTGCCTTGGCCTGGAGAAAGGAAAATCTTTTTCCTGGTATAAGGGGGTTAACCATTCTCCAGGCATGTGCCAGGGAGGGAGAGGTGCCTTTTAAAATGTGGGTAAAGTCTTTGACCAGGAGAGCAGCAGCACTGTTGCACCCTGGGGTGATCTAAGAGGGACATGGTTACATACCTGCCCTCTCCCCAGTCCCACCACCTCCACCTCCACTCTTGCCACATCAGGTGTTCCTGTGCCTGCCCGTGCTTTTCCATCACCTGAAATAACTTCCTCCCACGGTAGATTTCCCCAACTGTTCTTCATCCTTCCAGTGATACTTCCAGGAAACTACAGATCCCTGGGGACTAGGTGGCTCCTCTGTGCTCCCGCAGACCTGAGCTTCCCTCTTCACGGTGCTCATCACTTAACAGTAGACAGCAAGGAGCCTCTGCTGGCCTCACAGCTGACCAGGGGTGACCAACAGCCTCCAAACCCACTTCAGTGGCTCCATTCTCTCATAGGGCTGCCAGCTTAAACAAAGAACTTTTTAAAGGATGCACAGTTAAATTTGAATTTTATATATCAACCAGTTAGTTTAGTATATCACAAATATTGCATACTTATACTAAAATTATGTGATGTTTGGGGCATACTTATTACTAAAAAAAGTTACTTCTTTATTGGAAATTCAAATATAACTGGGTGTCCTATATTTTCTGGCATCCCTAGCTTCAGCTGGACTCTAGCCTATAGGAACAGGTTTTCAATAAGGGATGGAGCCTGGCAGGTGGCCCTAAAGCCAGTATAGCTGGAATCATCTCCCTGAGCCCTACATCTCATACCTAGCCAAATAATTACCTTCATCTGGAGGCTTCTTTGATCCTCCCACTCCTGGCTGAAAAAGGTGCCTCCTCTGAGTGCCGCTAGCCAACCCACTCACATATACATACACACACATCCATCCATCCATCCATCTGTCATCTGTCCATTCACCCATCCACCATCCACCTATTCATCCACCTATCTACCCATTCACCATCCACTCATCCATAATCCATCTATCCATCCATCCATCCACTTATCCTCCATCCATCCATCCACCCATCTACCATTCATTCATCCATCCTCTAGCCCCTGAGCTACCCTTCATCCAAGTGGGGTGGTCATGTGTCTTTGTCAGACACCCACCACCCTCAAGGTGATCTCCTCCCGCAAGGACCCAGACAGACAGACCCTAAGGAGCCCCGATCTCTGTGGGTTGGTTGGGTCACACCAAGCCCAAAAGTGAGTGCAATAAAGTGGCCTCAGCCCTGAATGGATGTTTTTTCTGCCTAATTATAAAAATACATTGCAATAGAAATCACAAAACAGAACAACTTGGCTATTACAGGGACATGCTTTATACTCATAACTTAAAGAGCTTGTTTTAAAAACTGACTATAAAACCATTTAATTACTTGGTTTTAAAACCAGCCATGTGGAAATTATGTTCCCTCGATGGACGTTTGGAGGTGATTTCTGGCAGAGAACTCTGCGATGGTGCAGACTGCTCCAGGCTCCCTGGGGCTGCCTGACATTTGCACAGCCCCACAAGGCCCCTGAGCCCTCTCTTGGCCCTTTTGAGCTTTGCAGGGCTCCAGCAGGTGGACAATTGGTCACTCTTCTCTCCACACCAAAGGTGAGGAGCCCAGGGTTCAGCAACATGGACCTCGTGGTGCCTGGTCCAGCAGCTAGTCCAAATTGTGGCCAGGCCAGAATTCTGAATATTTTGACTACAAACCCTGTAGTATTCTATCCGTCCACCCGCCATCCACCATCCATCTATCCAAGTGCCATTGATCTATATATTTATCTATCCATTGGTTATCTCATCTATCCATCCACCTACTCACCCATCCATCCATCTATCTATACACACACCCACTCACCCCATTATCCATCCACCCACCTATCCATGTGCCATTGATCTATATGGTATTCGTCTCTCCATTGGTTATCCATCAATATATGCACCTACCCATCCACCCACCCACCCGTGCATGCATACACCCTTTCCTTCCATCCATCCAGAAAGGCTTTATAGAGCTCCTCATATGCCTAGTTTCTGGGCAAGCAGGGGTGTGGGGTGTGCATAGAATCTGCTGTCTGACGTCAAGGAGCTCACAGCCCAATGAGACTCTGAAACTACTATCCTGACGTAGAGTAAGTTCTAAGTGGAGGTGTGTAGAAACTGCCATGGAACCATGGTGGGGGATTGGGCACAAGCGTGGAGCAAGGAGTGCTTCATAGAGGAGGAGACATTTGAGTTGGCCTTTGGAGGGTGTATAGGAGTTGGCCATGTGGAAGAAGGGTCAGATATTCCGAGCAACTTTTAGTTCAAGTTCAAAATCCTGAAGCTCAGAATCTGACTTGCCCCTCATGGGCTGTGTTTCTAGGGACAAGCCTTGGTGATTTTGGAGCTCAGTTTCCTCATCTGAGAAAGGGGGAGAAGGGGGAAGAAGTGTGCTTCCTCTGAGCCGCCTACCGGTGCCGCCCCAGCTCTGCCTCACCTTCCAGCTGGGGCTTTCTTTCTGGGATTCGCAGTCAGGAGTGGGATGCTCGCCCATCCCTCCGTTTTTCCCTCTTCCTCCATGACCCTACCCAATGTCATGGCTTCAGATATTATGTCTGCACCCCCACCACTCCCCAGCCCTGATGCCCCAATCAAAGTCCAAACTCAGATCTCCTGCTGCCCCATGACACCCCCTCGGAGGGTGGACAGGCATCCCTGATTCATCGCGTTGCCATCGGAACTCTTCCACCTGCTTCACAGAAGCCTCCTCCGCAGGCTCCTCTCAGGAAGTGGTCCCATCCCCCTTCACGCTAAAAACTCAGGGGTCATCCATTCCCCCTCTATCCCCTCACCCCACCTCAGATGCACTAGTGAGGTCTGTGCTGCACAGTGAGTTCTCCAAACCACGAGACCTTTGTCCACATTTCAGCCCCAGGGCCCAAGCACGCCCATCTTCCAGGGCTTTTTCCAGGACCCCAGCCCCTCTGTCTGCCCTCCACTCTGCACCCGGAGGGGCATTCACCAGGGAAATCAGGTTGCATCTCCTCTGTTCAAGGCCCCCAATGGTTCCCCATCCCACATTGCAATCAGACTCCTCACGAGGCTCCCGGGCCCGCACTCTGCCTGCCTCTCCGCCCCCAGCACGTTCTGCTCGCCCCTTCATGCCTCCAGCTTCGGGACTCCTGTGGTTTCTCCAAACGCCAAGTTTGGTGCCTCAGGACCTTTGTGCATGCTGCCACCCTCCCTAGCATGTGCCCTCCCCTGTGCCTAGGAGGCTTTTCTGCCTCAGGAACATTTTTCCTTACCCTCCTTTCCCAGGTCACAACCCCCACCCCACCCTAGGACTTGCATCTTATTACCTTGCTTTATATTTGCCGTGGTTTTTTTCACTATTTGAGAGTATATTATTGCTTTTACTTATTGTCTGAGCCATGTGCGCAAACACACACACACACACACACAAACACACACACCACCGTCCTGGAAGTCTCGGGCGGGGGCAGGAAGCTCACCTGTGCCATCCATGCCTGTGTGCACAGTGCGGGGGAGACTGCTGGCACCCATAGGTCCTCGGAAGCACCTGAAATTTCTAACCGGCAAATGTGAGAGTAGATGCTTTTCTCTGAAAAGTACAGGTGTCAGACACACAATCTGTGATGTGCACCCAGGTCCTGCGCCTGTGCTACGTGTCTCTGGGCAAGTTGGTGAGCCTCTCAGAGCTCCAGGAAGCTATCACCCCTCTCGAGGGTCAGCTACGAGGGTTCATGAGACAAGATGCGTGTGCCACTCGGCACCTGGCTAATAGAGGCTACCCAATACTTAGCTACCCTTAAGCCAGTGGCAGCGAATGATGGCCAGGCGTAAGGGATTCATCTGGCCAGTCTGGGAAGATCCAACATTGTTTCCCTCCATTAGGGCAAGGCATCTTGGAGCATTTTTATTGGGAAGCTTATCCAGTAAGTCCAGGGAGCAGAGGGCTTGTGTGTCCTTCTGGAAGTCTGGGAGCGTGGCTTCCCCAGACATTTCCCTTAAAACAGTCCGGAAGCTTCTGGCCAGTAAAACCTCACTCTACCCTGCCCACTCCACCTCTTCAGTCCACACTCAGGGACATGAGGGACAGTTTCCAGATGTGCAGGGTCTTCTGCCCTGGAATTGGTATTAGGCAGGCAGGGGTCCCAGCTTGGTGCCCAATGACTGTGGTCCCTGGAGAAGCGGCCCTGCCTCCTTGGGTGCCAGTGTCCCGACAGAGGTTGGACTTGATGTGCCCTCCCTCTCCCAAGTCCTTAGGACAACAACCTTCAGTGGGTTTCCCTGCCTTCTCTCTCAAGGAGGCTCGGAGGCTCTGCAGTGAGCCCAACACACAGGTATCAGGCCGATACTCACGTGGCATAGTGCCCGAGTGGGAAGGGACGGCCTTTAGGAGCACACGCATGTACACGTCTGTGCACGTGTTCATGCGTGTGTGACGTGAAACGCCAGGATGTTGCCATGAGAAATAAAGAGGGTCTCGGCACAGATTCGTCAGCCCCTGCCCCTGCCCCTGCCCTGTCCCCAGGCACCTGGTCTCGCTCACTCTAGAAACAGCTGCATCTAGTTACACCTCTTTTTTCTCCTCCTCCTCCTTCCTCCTCCTCCTCCTTCCTCCTCCTCCTCCTTCCTCTTCCTCCTCTTCTTCCTCCTCTTCCTCCTTCATCTGCTGGGCTGGGGACCACTGGGCGTTTCTCCTGAGCACCCCCAGCACCTCTTCTGCGGATTGCGATCTTTTGGAGCAGAATGATACGGGATTCTTACAGGTTTCCCTAATCAGCCATCCCTCCCACAATATCACCATGCATTGTTTTCTTTGGTCTAAAAATAGGAGACGCACAGTTGGGCTTTGTTGGGAACAAGGCATCTTGCTGTGTTACGTGGATGTGGCCCATGTGTGGCTGCGAGTGTCCGGCAGTCTCTCAGCTTTTTAGGGTCCCAGCTTTCACAAGACATCCTGCTCCTGCCTGCAGCCCACGCTGTGGAGTCCCACCCTGGGGATACAGCCCTGGCCATTCACCCCCACATCCATCAGGCATCTGTCCATCTGTGGACTGCCTGGGGGAGGGTGCAACTTCCCAGGCGAGGGGCTCCTGTCAACCGAAGCAGATTCCTGGGGAAGCGGGCAGCTGAGTTGTGGGCAACCAACAAAAACAGTAGCAGGATGTGCGGCAGCCACAATGCCAGGCTCCAGGCACTTGTCACTATGGAGGCGGTGGGTGTTGGGTACACACACTCCATGTCCCTGACAAAGCTGGGTTTGTGCAGCTCCCCATAGGTTGGCCTGGAAGGCTGTGGGGCAGGAGCTCTTTGCCTTCTTCTTGCAGACTAGAAACTGAAGCTGAAGCTGAGGCCAGGGCTAGTGGTGAAGGCGCTGAGGGTCTCACGGTGGGGGGTCTCCCCTGCACTCAGGGCATTGTCTCCGACCTGGACGGGAGGGCAGATCGGTCTCCTCTTCTCCTGCTCCTCGGCCACGAGGTCAGCCCTGAGTATTCCAGGCCCCCGAGTGCCCCCCAAGTGCCCTTCTCCTGCTGCGACCCCTGTGTTAGCCCACCACCAAGAGGCCCAGGGAGGCAGTGGCTGGCAGGCACGGGGGGGTTGCCGGCCATGAGGTCCCAGCTGGCTCTGAGACCACAGCTGCTGACCACAAGGAGGGGGCTCCCAGGGCCTCTTGACCTCAGGCACCTCCCCTGCTGGGGGTAGGTCATGTCCATCCTGGGCAGTGTGACCAGGCCCAGCGGAGATGTGGCAGCCCGCCCAGCCCTGAGCCCCGCCCAGGGTGGTGTGTGGGAAGTAGGGGCACAGGGTCTTTCCTGGGTTCCGAAGCCTTCCTCTCCCACTCCCTCCCGGCATCTCACACCCCTCCCTGCATCTACAAATGTGTGTGTCTGTGTATGTGTCTATGTGTGAGTGTTTATGTGTGTGTCTATGTGTGAGTGTTATGTTTGTGTGTCTATGTGTGAGTGTTTATGTGTGTGTCTGTGTGCATGTTTGTGTGTGTGTGTGAGTGTGTGTCTATGTGTGTGTCTGTGTGAGTGTTTATGTGTGTGTCTGTGTGTGTTTATATGTGTGTCTATGTGTGTCTGTATGTTTATGTGTGTGTCTATGTGTGAGTATGTGTGTGTGTGTGTTTGTGTGTCTGTGTGTGTATATGTGTGTGTTTATGTGTGTGTCTATGTGTGTGTATTTTGGGGGTGGTGGTGATCAGATGAAATCAGAGGTGGTGAAACATATTTTTAAAACATGAAAACACTTTTGCTGAACAAAATCCCACACAGAAACCCAGTCAATAAATCTAATCAAAGACAGGTTGCCGGGGTGTGGCACACTGTCCACCGAGCTTCCCTGTCACCAGCTCGGCTCTGTCTGAGACAGGCGACCTCTGGGTAAGATGCTCACCTCTCTGAAAAGCGGGGCTGGCAGCAGCCTGGCCTCTGGGGCGGTGTCCAGCCTGGCGAGAGCCTGCTGGTGCTGCTGCCCAGCTATGATGGTTGAGATGATCACTGCCTGGCTTGGTGAGCTCTATCTGCTTGTGACAACAGCGCTGTGAGTTATTAATCAGTACTATCAGGACTGATATCCGGGTGTGCGATTTTACTGACATTCTGGCCTCAGTAAGGCCTGGAAATACCCACGTCCTGCCCCAGAGCACGGCCCCTGGGGGAATTGCCACAGAGTAGCCACAAAAAAGCCAGGATCCCTGCGCTCCTCAGCAGGCCTGAGGCACCTCCTTCTCCCCTCACCCAGCCCCTACTCCAACCTGTAGCTCGGGTGGGAGGAAGACAGGGAGCAAGAAGGAGGAGGGTGACCCACTTCAAAAGGGGCAGGATCGAGGCCCCCATAGACTACAGAAGTGACTCGCGGTCTCGCCACTGTATGTGCATGGCCAGAATTCCTTGTAGCTTTGCAGGGCTCTGAAGCCTTTTATTCTGTGCCTTGCAGGGTTGAGCTTGTTATAAAGAAAACACTTGCACAGGCAGCGAGGTAGGGAGCCTCTTGCCACTGGAGGTATCCAAGCAGAGAGGCCGGGGCACAACTGCAGTGATTCCAGCATCAGAAGATGTGCTGGTCCAGCCGGCCCCTCTGCTGCTGCGTCCTGCTTCCAGGCATCACTGTGTCTGGAGTCCCAGGCAGGGGCTGGACTGCCCTACCCTGCCTTCCCTGCCCACCTTCCTCTTTGCCTGTGGGAGGGCGCCTGGCCGGGCTCTGTCATGAGTGCTCTGGCACGGAGTCCCAGGGGGCTTCATGCAGGACGGATATCTGTTCTTCCAGATCTGGAAGAACCAGTGCTGATGCTTCTCACAGGAAACCAGAGCTTCAGGTCACAGTGGCCTCCACGAGATTGTAGAGAACCCCTGGGAAATCTCCCACTCCAGAGCTCTTTCCCCGAGAACCTTAATTAAATCATCTTTCATCTGTGGTAGGAAGGAGGAGAATAACTTGACAAAACAGACACTCATTTTTCCTGCTGTGCCATTGTTCAGTTCACCCACTGCTCATGATGCGTCTGCTCTGGGGTCCGCCCTGTCCAGACCCCAGAGCCACTCCCTGCCACTGAGGAGTGGAAACGCTAGGACTGACTGATGACCGATGGCATATGGTTAGAGGGCAGATGAAGGACAGAAGACGGTGCTACCTCCCACCCCATCCCTTTCTAGGGACCATTACCCCCCCGACTGGCAGCCAGTGGTGCCCAGGGACACCGATACCCCATCGCTGATAATCAGTAGTCCTCAGACACACCAATGCCCTGCCTTTTACAATCAGTGACACTCAGAGACACTGATGCCCCACCTTTGACAATCAATGGTACCTTCGGGAGACACCAATATTCCTGCCATTGGTGATTACTGGTGCCTGGAGACATCCATTTCCCACCATCAGTAATCAGTCACACTCAGAGACACCAGTACCCCATCTTTGTCAATCAGTGGGGCTTTGAAAGCTCACCATGCTTGAGCTCTCGGTGGCTGGCCCGTGACTTCTGCAGCACTTTGCTGTCTGGTCCTCCCCCTGCCTCTCTGGCCACTCCTTCTCAGTCTCTTCTCAGCCATGAGGAAAGTACCAGGTGTCTTTGGTTCACTGTTTTTCCCCCAATGCCCAAGGTAGGAGCCGGGGGCCTTCCAAACTCCCTGTTGCCCGACCTGTGGCATCCAGTCCTGCTCCTTCCACCTTTTCACATCTCCTGCGGCTGTCTCCTCCTCCCCATCCCACGGCGTCCTCGTTCCCTTCCTGCTGGATTGGTCACCTGGGCACCTCGCTGTCTCTATGGTCTTACCCCACTCCCCCTCTTGTTCAGTGACCGAGCCCTTGCTGGGGTTCACGGCTGCCGCTTATGCGCTTTGTCGGTCTTTGCCTGTTCACTAGACTGTGTGCTCCATGGAGCCAAAGACAACGAGGTTGTTCCTTGCTCCACCCCCAGCCCTGGTTCATGCAGGTTCAATGGAGGCTGAAATCAAGAGCAGAGGAAGAGCAGCGCGCGTCCCATATCCACCTCTGCAGCAGCTGTCAGGGCTCTACCCCACCAACCCCTAAGCCACTGGGTGGTGACTGCCCTCTCTGGGACTCACTTGCTTGGGGCCATTCAACAAGGATAATAATAACAACTACTTCATCAGAGGGTGGTTGAAAATATGAAGAAAGCATTTGGTCCAGTGCCCGGCATACAGAAGTGCTCAATAAATGCTATGCACAACTATTTGTTACCAGTATTGCTGTATACTCTATGCAGTAGAAGTTCTTCATTCATGCCCACCGTGATTCAAGCTGCTATCACTGCAGACCCTGACTGGGGCTTCTCCAGACAGAAGTGTAGCTTCCCCACCCAACTCTGAGGAGCTTACATTCACGGGCCTTTCTTATTGGAGTCTATGACCACGGAATACAAATGGTCCCTAAATGGATGACCATGACCTTGGCCATTCAATGCAGACCTTGTCTCATGTTTTGGCTTCAGACACCTGCTTCATGGGAACGATAAGGGAATGATAAGAAAACATTAAGAATGGCTTCTAGTTGAAGCTGATGCAAGATTTTAACCAATTTGACCAGCAGCCACAATACTATCTTGGCTTCTCATCACAAATATTTGAAGAGACAGTCTTAGGAGATTCCACAGTTATTTCCGAAAGCTGTCATCTTCACCCAGGAGGCTGCCAGCACTGCTGTTGAAAAGGCCTAACACAAAGCTACTGAGATACATTCCCTTGCCTTCCACTGTTCAATTAGGGGGCAGATAAATGAACAAATTGTTCACACGTCCAACCGTACATAGTTAATGCAACCATCCTGATAAAAGACAATCTTCCAAAACACCATCACTCCAGAGAATTAGCCGTCTGCTGCACTCTGCCCAAGCAAACAGGCTTTTTAGCATTGTCTGCAAAATGTCCTCAGACAGGCAAACAAAACACGATTAAACCGTATTCACTCTAGAGCCTCAGCGCAAAACCCCTTAAGAGAACTGAGATCATCAGTGATCATGGAGGAGGAGGACGGCGGGGGCTCTCGTCTCACAAATGCTACACACAAGATCATTAATAAATCAAGGCTACAAAATATCGATGATGAGTTATTTTATATGCTCTGAAATGTATTTGCCTTATTTAGTTATTATCGATCAGACCCAAGATTTTCCAAGTTAGCCTTCTGGCCAAAGAGAAAAGGTTTGCCTTGCCATTAAATTTACAAATGTTCTCAAGGATGTTTCCTGGCATTTTAGCAATTGTCAGGCCAGTAATTAAAACAGAACCAGCTCTTTCCTGACAGTCAATTCTGTAATCGTGTTTGAGTGGCTGTTTTACTAAATTATATTGGATGCTTGTCAGCTCAAGCCCTGGTGCAGAGGCTGGACGCCAGCTCCGAGTCAGACAGAGCTGGGTCTCATGCCAACATCATGGCTCACAAATTGTTTGGTCTTGAGTGGGTCATCTCACCACTCCAGGCTTCTGTTTCTTTGTCTGTAAAAGAGAGACAAGAACATCTCCCACATGTAGCATTGTGAGAATATAATGAGGACTGTGGGGGCTAGTGCCTAGCACAGAGCCAGGCACACAGTCACCGTCTCTCAACCCACTAGAAGGAGTTCAAGTTCAAGCAGAGACGAGCCCGGGAGCCAGAAGCCACTGGTACCCATGCCAAGGAGGTAGGTGCAGGAGCCGGGTTGCATGGAGATGGTTACAGCAGGTGGGTACGATGGTCACTGGACTCAAAGCACCCAGCACTCTTCATTAACCCTTACAGTCACTCCCCAGTGGATGGATGGATGGAAGGACGGATGGAGGGGTGAGATGAAGGAAGGAGAGAAGGAAAAGAGCAGGGAGGAAGAGAAGGAGGGAGGGAGGGAAGAAAGAAGGTAGAGAGGCAGGAAAGAAGGAACGGAGGAAGGAGGGGAGGAGAGAGGAAAAGAAAGAGTTGGACTGAAAGTATTTATAGGCTGGGCGCGGTGGCTCACATCTGTGATCTCAGCACTGTGTAAGGCCAAGGCAGGCGGATTGCTTGGGCCCAGGAGTTTAAGACCAGCCTGGGCAATGTAGGGAGACCCTGTCTCTACAAAAAAATTAAACAAAATTAGCCAGGCATGGTGGTACACACGCGCCTGTGGTTCCCAGCGACTCAGAAGGCTGAGGCGGGAGGATGGCTTAAGTCCAGGAGGCAGAGGCTGCAGTGAGCTGAGATCACACCACTGCACTCCAGCCTGGGTGACAGGGCAAGACCCTGTCTCAAAATAAATAAATAAATATAAATAAATAAATAAATAAAAGTATGAAATACCGACCATTCATAGATGACCTAGCAGGAAACCTTAGTTTGTAACAGGTGTCTTGCTAACAGACTTTCTTAAGCTTTTGCTTATAAACACATTCCTCTTTCATAAAAGTACATTATTTATTGGATTTTTTCCTAATTACAAATGTAACACTTTCATTTTAAAATATTGACTTAACAAAAATGTATTTAGTCATTCCATAGGTGTTTCACACTAGGCCATGTGGTACAGACTAGGAAATGTAGCCAGAAACATTCTCCAAAGAAAGAAAAATGTACTATCGTCTCGTCACCCAGAAACAAACAGTGCTGTTAACCTTCCGGGCTGCTTCATGCCTCTGTCTCTATAGATTCATTCCTACATATGTACATCTCTTTCTATAGCACATACATATATTTGTGTGTATCATATGTGTGTACGTATTTATGTACGAATGCATGTATATAAACACATAAACACATCCACATTAGTCATTGAATTACCTGATTTTATCTTGTTCATGGAACTCACTACCATCTGAAATGATCGTGTTCCTGCGTTTGTTTTCCTTCCTGTCTTTTGCACTCAGCTGTAAGGCCATGGGAGGGTGATTTCATCCTGTCCCGTCTTGTCCTGTCCACAGTCATAACCCAACATGTAATACAGTCCCTGGTGCTCAGTGCCTAGGTGCTGGCTCAATGAATGAAAAATTCGAGTCCCAGTATGGTACTGTTCCCCATCCTCATCCTCGATGATAATGATTCTCTTGACTTTTCTCCTTTGTAAGATTTTATTTATTTTTTATTCATTTATTTTATTTTGTTTTATTTTTTGAGACAGGGTCTGGCTCTTTCACCCAGGCTGGAGTGCAGTGGCATGACCTCAGCTCACTGCAACCTCTGCCTCCCAGGCTCAAGAGATCCTCCTGCCTCAGCTTCCCAAGTAGCTGGGACTACACGTGCGTGCCACCAAGCCCGGCTAATTTTTCTATACTTGGAGAGACAGGGTTTCGCCTTGTTGCCCAGGCTGGTCTCAAACTCCTGGACTCAAGCGATTCACCCACCTCGGCCTCTCAAAATGCTGGGATTACAGGTATGTGCCTCTGTACCCAGCCTTTTCGTGGGTTTTTAAAAATTCCCTCAGCTAAGCAGAGGACAGTGGGAGGCGTCCTGCTGAGAATGCCAGGCCTTACATATCCCTACTCAGGATGGATGGGTGATGCTGCCTGCCCAAGCCCTGGCATCAGTCTGCTTGCCTCCCAACATGTTTCTCAGAATTGTGCATGAACTCCCATGCCATGGGGGGTGAATGGGGCCCTCGTCCGCCTAGTTGAGAAAATCTCTTTTAGGAACCATGAATGCTGACAGATCTCTCCACCTTGGCCTTGCCCTGATTCCCATTTGGCAGAGAGCTTTTATTTGAGGGGCAAAGCTCTCATTAACTCATAATGTGCCTCTGTTGGCTGAGGAGCCATGAAAAATGCCTTAGCAAAATTCCTGGGTCTTGGCAGGGAAGAGGTTAGGCAGTCTTAAGACCTTGGGCAGGCTGGAATGAAGGCGTGCCCTCGGTCCACACAAGAGAAGGTTTCAGATCAACTCGTTTTATTTGGTAAAATAGTTCTAGATCCAGCCATTCACCAGTGTTGGTTAGAAACCACTTTCGGTATCTGGTGGAGGAAGGGGTTTGACACAAGGACTTAGAGGCTTCCTTACATAGTAGACACTGCAAGTATCAGGAGGTCAGGCACGCAGGAACCTTGAGAAACAGCTGCCAATTCTCAGCTCCTGCTGCACCCAAGCGGGGGCCTGGCGAGGACGCCAGAGACCCTGGCACAGCCCCGGGCCTGCCTGCAGCAGCTGCTGGAGAACAAGGTGTCTCCACTCTTGTGCCTGTCAGCGGTCATGTGAAGGCAGCTTGGGGGTAGAGTCTAAGGGAGGCGGGGGTGTGTGGTCTCTGGGCTTCCAGGCTCCTGGGCTTCAGGTGGGGCTTAGAAGGGCTGAGACATCAGCACACAGAACAGAACAGAACACAACAGAACAGAACGCCACCTCCATTAAATGTTAAAAGTTCGGCCAGGCGCGGTGGCTCATGCCTGTAATCCCAGCACCTTCGGAGGCCGAGGCGGGCGGATCACGAGGTCAGGAGATCCAGACCATCCTGTGAATGGAGAAACCCCATCTCTACTAAAAATACAAAAAATTAGCCTGGCGTGGTGGCGGGCGCCTGTAGTCCCAGCTACTAGGGAGGCTGAGGCAGGAGAATGGCATGAACCCGGGAGATGGAGCTTGCAGTGAGCTGAGATTGTGCCACTGCACTCCAGCCTGGGCAAAAGAGTGAGACTCCGTCTCGAAAAAAAAAAAAAAGCTAGAAGTGAGAGTTAAATATATCCCATCAGCATGTTCAGCAGCACTGAGCTCGTGGCCTGAGCACCGACTACATGCCAGGTAGGGCTTGGGATCTAGCAGTGAACAAGGCAACCCTGTTCCCTGACCATGTGGCCTCGTGCGGGATCGGCCAGGAAGTGAGCACAATAACACAAATGGAGGGGGTGGGGAGCTGGGGCTTCCCGCGGTGGGAGCTGCACTTTGGGGTGATGGTAAAGCTCCAGAGAAGGACAGTGGTGATGGTTCTAGGGCAGTGTGGATGCCTAATGCCACTGAACTGTACACTCGAGAAGGGCTCACAAGGGAAATTTTATGATATGTCTGTTTTGCCACAATAAGAAATAATAATATAAAAGGATGTTTTCAGAGAGGCTTAATAATTGCTTTTTAAGACAAAGGATAATCAGGAGTCAGGGCCCACTTAGATGGTGTGCTGAGGAAGGGCCTCTGAGACGGTGGCCTCGGAGCTACCAGCTGTGGGTTAGGAGGAGCTGGTCATCTGGAGTTCCCTTCCCTCGCTGTTTTGAAATTTCAAATGTCTCACCTCAGAAAACAAGTGGGTGAGGCGACGGCTGTGTTGATTGGCTTGATTTAATCATTGCATGTTGTGTGTCGTATGTATGTATATACACATACATATATCAAAATAGCACATCGTAACCACAAGTGTATACAATTATGATTGGTCCATTAGAAGTGATATTAATAAAAATAAAAATAAATTTTTAAAAAGAAGGAGCCAGCCACACAGCCTCCGGGAAGGGGCTCTCCGGAGCCAGAACATAGAGTGAGCCTGAGGCTGGGGTGGCCAGAGCCAGGTGAGAGGGACCTCGGATGTGGAACAAACATGGGTGTGAAACAAGTCAGAGAGGCTGTGGCAGGGCAGGCCCAGCTGAGAGGTGAGGGAGGGAGGAGGTGGGAGTCAGGAGGTGGGAAGGCCAAGCTCTCTCCTCCTGGCCTGCTGAAGCCCCTCACCCCTGGCCACTCTCCAGCGCCCTACCCCCCAACCCCCCTCGCTCCCCACCCGCTGATCTCTGCAGGGTCCCTCTGATCTCCATCCTAGGCCAGTTCTTTTTCCCACTTCCTGCCATGCCTGGATGAGCTGTTCCTTTCCGGCACCCCCAGCCAGGAGTCTGTGCATGGAGCTTCCAAATGCCTAGCCACCGTGCAGATTTCCTCTCCGAGCCCAGCCCCATATATCAAACCCCACCCTCCCTCTACTTGGGTGTACCTCAGGAACCTCAGCAGCTCAAACTGACCTCAGCTTCATCTCCCCCAAACCAGTTCTTCCTACTGCATCCCCATCTCTGCAACGCGCTGTCGGCCACCCTTTGACCCAAGCCTGAAACTTAGTGTGCTCTTGTATTTCCCCGTTTTATTTATTCCCCAGCAAAGCCTCTGAACTGTAACTCCAAGATGTCCTTGACATCTGCCCTCTCCCCTCCAGTTCTCCTACCTCTGCCCAAGGCCAGGTCACCAGGTTATCTCACTTGGTTAACCACCACAGCAGCCACCGGCATGTCCCCCTGGGCCCTACCCTGCAGGCAGTCAGAAGTTGACCAAGGCATCTGGCAAAGTGAGGCTTGTTCATACGCAGACTGTGAGGGTGTGGTGGGCCTCTGGGACCTGGACACAGCCCAGGACTGCTTGAGCTCAGGATGCGTGGGAGCCATGTCCACAGGTGAGGCTGGGAGTGAGTGAAAAAAGCTTGAATCCCAGGAGCACCTGGGAGACCCTAAAGGGCCCCAGCAGGAACGAACCTGCAGACCACCTGCGATTTCTCCAAGAGTAGATCTTTCTTTCTGGTTGAAGAAAGCAACAAAAAGAATGAAGACCCCTCATATTTCTACAACACTTGCAAATGTTTTGCCTCATTGGGAACCTCAGCACAGAAGAAATTATTATCTCCAATTTGAAGGTGAGGAGAGGGACTTGTCCAAGGCCACATCTCAGTGGGACTCTGTATCCTGGGACCTCTACAGCCCTCAGGGTCACCCAGACATGACCATCACGGGAGTGACTTTCTCCTGAAACACCAGGCTAGCCGCCGGAGTGTGTGCTGAACATCCAGCGAGCTGTGTGCATTCAGCCACAGGGGAAGCGCCGGGTGGAAGAATGCTTTCTGCTCATTGTGACTCACACAAGCTTGGATGAGACACTCTGGGAAGATTCTAATTTCAGATCCGGGGGTGGAGGCTGCAGTGTTTGTTCGCCTCCGCTGTTTGCCTCTCTCAGCATCAAAGCCAAGTTGTCTGTACCCTGAGCTGGGTGCATCTGTCTGGCCAGGAGTAGACTGGGCAATTGGGTTTTAAATAGAAAGTCAAATCCAAATGACACCAATCCTTAGGGCTAAACTTGGTAAAGGGCAGAATAAAAGCATCCTCCCCAGGACAGAGATTTGTGAATGGAAACCAGAGTTCTGCAGAGGCGAGTGTGATCCAGAGCTCTAGCGAGGCGAGAAGTGGTTTCTGGATGCTGTTTGTTTTCCTTTTCTTTTTTTTTTTTTTTTTTTAACTTGGAGAGTTGAGAGTTAGGATATGATGAGCTTAGCTGCCAGGCAGACTGGGACATTGGCACCACCTTTTGGAGGAGATGGGTTGGAGCCCTGCCAGAGGAAGATGACGTGGACCAGGGAAGGGAACTTGGCAGCGTCCCGCGGGCCGGGGAAGAGTCACCGCTGGCTCCTGCAGGGCTCAGTCACAGGGGTGCTTCTGACAAGCAGGTCCAAGCAGGAGACCAGATGGGATGCAGGTCAGGGAGGCAGGGAGGTGTGGACTCATTTTGAAGAGCCAGAGAAGGGCATCCAGGCCTCGGCTTCAGGCAGACCTCCTGGCCAGGCAGGGAGGGGGTGGGAGGGCCAGCTCAGCATCTCCCGGTGTCTGCCCTTGGTCCCTCTGGGGCATCTTTTTGCACAGTGTCGACTCTGGCCCACCCTGTGTGAGCTGTGTCTCATCTGCAGAAATGCTCCTGATGGACAGCCTCTCCTCCACTTTGGCCCAGCCTGGGTGAGGGGCCCTCTCTGCTCGGGGCTGCCCTGACTAGTACACCTCTCAGACCTACTCGGTGATGTTTCTGTCTGCTGTGACCCCCCCGGGGGGGCAGAAATCCCATGGGGTTCAGCTCCTATCCCGGGGGGTCCACACCTATGGACTGAATGAGTCAGTCAGTCCCCTCCAGAATGGGCTGAGGGGCCAAGAGGGAAGAATGAATGGGAGTCCCTCCCAGCCCTCCCTTCCCTCTTCACAGGGTCGGAAATCCATCGTGAAAGCCCTGGACAGAGCTGCCGCTGCAGACTTCTGGAAGCCATTTCCTGTCTTTGAGGGTGGGAGGGATCTCCCTAGACTCTTCCAAGCCTGTTGCATCAGGACCCCCATGTTAGCCAGCTGCCTTCTGGGCAGGTGCAAGGATACCATTGGCTGCAGTATTTGTAGAGGTGACACAGACATCAGGGGAGAAAAGCCGTCTGTGTGATCACCCACTTGGCACACAGGCTCCCTGGCCTCACTTTTCCCACCTGAGAAATGGGGATAATCACACCTACCTAGCAGGTATGCTGTGAATATGTATTAAAATAAGGGACTCACCTGACCATGTGTCTGCCCCTGACCATTTGCTGGTCCCCGTAAACTGTGCACCCGTTTCTCAGAATTAGGCTTCAAATAACTGGCCATTAGTGAAATGAATCTGTCAAGCATTTCTCTTTACCATGTTTTAGAATGTCGTCTCTAATTTCAAAAAACCAGCCTCCTGGGCCCCCAGAACCCAGTGCAGGTACCATATGTCTCCCCCAGAATAGTAAGCAGTAAAAATACACCATTTAAAATAGAGGCTGCTGCCCAATTTGGAGGAACCACTGCCAGCTCCGCCTGGCACGATGCTAATTGATTTGTTTTCTTTGCTCCAATAATCCTTCCCTGTCAGCACCTTCCTCTCCCCCGTCTTTCCTGGCTCACTCTCCCAACTCGGCACCAAAAATAGCCCCGGCCCAGATTGCTGGGCCCCAGGTTGTAATCATTTCCTCGGGCTTTTTCTCCTCTCGCCTCCGTGTCACCACCTGCAAAGCCCAGGGCCTAATGGAGGGTGCGGACTGCCGCAGAAAGGGCCTGTGATGGAGAAGCAAGCCCTGTACCCAGAGCCCCCCGGCTGTGTGTGAATAACACCAATGCCCATTCATTGGGATCACGGTGCTGGGAGAAATGGCAGCGCTGAAGACATGAGCACTGCCAGGCTGAGAGGCTGGCAGCAGAAGCAGACCCACCAAGAGGACCCTAGGGCCACCAGGCTGTTAGCCTGTGTATGCACAAGATGCTGGAGGGGGCAGAGGAAGGAGTGGAATAACTCCCTATCATAGAGGGCTTCCTGGAAAAGGTGCCCTTTGAAATGAGTCTTGCAGAACAGGGTGCTCAACAAGCAGATAACAAGGGGAAGGGCATCCCATCATCAAAACAGGCTCACATGTATAAATGAGAAGCATTTAGGTTTGTTGAGGTTGTTCAGAATTTTGTACTCAGAAAATTTGAAAGAAGCTATTTTGATTTGATCACACATGGATTTTGTGTCATTTTGAAAAGTGAAGGTTTAGTTCTGAGTCACCAGTGGCAGGAGTGGGGGTGTCTTGGTCCCACTGTGCATTCCACCCAGAGGGAACAGTACACACACAAGTGGTTGTCAGGATGCAAACATCCTCCGCTAACTGGAGACACACAAGGAGTTTGCCGTGGCTGATGCCAGGAGCCTGAGGGGTGGGAGGTGAAGCTGGACGAGAGGCGGAGCAGGGACCCCCACCTGCTTGCCTTTGGGGTCATGCCGTCCTCTCTGCCTGAAGCCCCGTCCCCCAGGTCTACCAGTCAAATTTCCATTCATTCTTCAGGGCTCATCTGGGTGTCATCACCTCCAGGAAGCCGTCCTACCTGCCTTTGTACCTGCCCAACACCTGGGTGCCATTTTCCCTCTTCTGTGCTCCAGCGGAGCCCTGTGTTTACCTGAATCCTTGCTTGGACCATGTGGTTTTGCAATGTGAAAGAATGAATGAATGAGCCTTCATTCATGTGCAAAACTTTGAGTGGTGAAGACGCATAAGTGGATGAGTTTTTTCTATGCGTTTTGCTCTCCAGGCTACTTAAATGTTCGTAAGGTTGTTTTCCTCCCAGAGGTGAAAAGCAAACAAACAATTCCCTTAGGAGTCGCAGACTGAGATGGCATTGTTCATTCACTCATTCCTGCATGCGCTCCTTCATGTGTCCGTCAGGCGGGATTAACGGCCAGCTCCGTGTCCTGTTTTGCTCGAGGTACAAAAATGGCACATGGGCCAGTGAGGATGGTGGACACACAGTTGCGTCGTAAGAACGTTTGAAAAACTGTATCATGGAAAAAGTGCTTTAATGAGGGGGATTTGGGCTTCCCTGGCCAAATGGCACAGACGTGTGGGTCAAAGTTGAATGGATGATGAATGAACCAAGAAGTCCTGAGGACTTCCTTCCTTCTTCCTGGTTATCCAGGGAATCCACGTGCAGTGTATGCAGAACTTTGGGAGGGACAGGCCGGGCACCGTGGCTCATGCCTTAATCCTAGCACTTTGGGAGGCCAAGGCGGTTGGATCACCTGAGGTCAGGAGTTTGAGACCAGTCTGGCCAACATGGTGAAACCCCATCTCTACTAAAAATACAAAAATTAGCCAGGCATGGTGGCGGGCACCTGTAATCCCAGCTACTGAGGAGGCTGAGGCAAAGAATCACTTGAACTTGGGAGGCAGAGTTTGCGGTAAGACGAGATCGTGCCGCTGCACTCCAGCCTGAAAACAGAGCGAGACTGTGTCTCAAAAAAAAAAAAAAGAACCTAGGGAGGGAGGAGGATGATGAGGGTGTGTCACAGAGACACAAAGCCCAGCTAAAAGGGCTCCCTGGGGCCAGAGCTGGAGCTATTTGAGCAACAAAATATCAGAACAGTCTCCAATTACAACTAAAGTATAAAATAAATATTTATTAGCTCATAGTGATATAAATAAATGATTGAATGAGTAAACAATGGAGGGGAAGAGACAAACCTCTCCCATGCTAATGAATTCCAAATCATAGATGTGGCTCTTCCATCTTCGAGGAGGGGGGTAACTCCCACACCCCTCAAGCGCGGGCTGTGCGTGGTGACTTCCTTCCAAGAGGACAGTGTGGAAAGGAGAAGAGTGACTCCACCAGGGAGGGTCTGACACGCAGGATCCTGGCCGGGAAGGGCAGTGCCATCAGTGACAAGTCTGCTGACAGCTGGCACTCGGTCTGATGTACCTCACTCACCCCTGCAGCCTTCCTCCCAAGAACCCACAACCCCATCCGATGCCCAGAAAAACATCAGACAGACCCACGTTGAGAGGCATCCTCCAGCGTGCCTGGCCAGCCCTCAGAGCTCACTAGGTCATCCAGCACAAGGAAAGTCCCCAGACTGCCCCAGCCTAAGATGTACTGTGGTGTCCTGGTGGGATCCTGGGACAGGAAGAGGAAATACTGGTGGAAGCTGAACAAAGCGTGGCATTTGGAGAACACTAAGGTGCTGATGCTGGCATCCTCCTCGTGGTGAGTGTCCCAGGCTAATGTAAAGTGTTAATAACTGGGGAACTGGGTGTGGTACAGACAGGAACTGGGAGGCTCAGCTAAAATGCCCCATCCTGCGTGGGTGCATCCTGCAGTGTGTGGCTGAGAACAGGGCTCTGGAGTCAAACACTCGGCTCCTGACCTCGGCTCTATCCTGACCATCCGTGTGACCTCCCTGTGCCTCACTGTCTCCATCTAGCAAGCAGGAACTCGCTAGGCTATCTCTGCAACTTTTCTGTAAATCTGAAACTATTCTATCAAAGTAAAAAAGTAAATTCCTTCTAGCGCCACCACTTAAGACCAATCACTCTTACGTCCCGCCAAGCTGCCTTCCATTCTTATTTCTGGCCACTTCCCATTGATAAAATTATACCTATTTGTCCACTCATTTGTCATTAACAGAATCATAATAGACTGCTTCATCGCCGTGTCAGCGTGGTATGTACAGTAAGCGTACTTCCTTGTAATTTTGCACCTTGCTTTTATTCATGAGCACATAAGCTCCCCAGTCGTTAGCTGTTCTTTGCCAACGTTATTATGTAATCAAAGCCTCCCCTAACCAGCCCTCGGTTCTTCCTTGTTTTTTTCCTACGGATAAACCACACCAAGAAGCACAGCTCTGAGCACACACCTTCGTCCGCATTTCAGGGACAAAAGTCGTCCAAGGAATCGCTCTCCACGGAGGCCACATCTTTCTCCGTCAGGCCCTTGGTGTGCTGGCAGAGCAGGGTTTTGTGCTAGCGGAGATTAATGACCGTAGCTGGGAAGTGCATGAAGCTTTCCCTGGAAAGAAAGAATCTATGGGATCACCATTCATTCACTTAAACGCAGGCACTCCTTGCAGACTATTGATTTTTGCTCCATGAGCTTAATTGTCTTCTGGAGATATTTTGGGGTCTAGCAAGGCCACCATAGTCGCCTCGTGCCATTGCCCACTGCCCTCCCCAGGAAAGCTGTGCTCATCTTCAGCAGGGCTGGTCCTATCCAGCCCCACGCGAGGCCCAGCTTAAATGCCCCATTCTGCGTAGGCGCACCCTGCAGTGTGTGGCTAAGAACAGGGCTCTGGAGTCAAATGCTTGGCTCCAAAGGGAGACTTCCTTTGGGACTTGCTTTGGGTCCCCTGTTAGGATGAGAACCACGTCCGGTACAGCCACAACTGCTCTCCTGCCTCACCCGCATCTCTGCGGCGCCCGGTGCCTGTGTAAGCCAGGACTCTACAAGTTTGTCGAATGAGGGAATGAATGAATGAGTGAATGAATGAATTAATGAAGGAACGAACGAACACTGTGTGCTTGTAGGATCGGAGCGGGGGGTGCACACTCAGTCTCTGGGTAACCTGGTTCAAATTCCATGGCTGTGCGACCTCAGGTAAGTTTTGTCTGCCGCCTTGTCTGCCAATTGCAAAGCAAAATGGCCCCGGGGCCACCTGTGAGTGTCTGGGTGTCTGTCATTCCAAATGTAGAGATGCGATGTCCCGAATCTGACCAAGCCACCAAACCCAGCCGGGATAAGGGTGTCTCCTCCTAAATGGCCCACTCCTTTGTGGGCCCCTTTGAAAACCTAAACCAGGCCACCCCCTCCCTTCCTCACGCCTCCCTAGAGACCTCCCAGCCCGAATAACACGATTCCCGGTTGGAGGAGCTATTGTGTGTGTTTCTTGGGGTTGCCGTTGCAAAGACCCACAACCTGGGGAGCTGAAAACAGCAGCAATGTATCCTCTCTCAGTCTGGAGGCTGGGAGTCCAAGGTGTCGGCCAGGCTGGTTCCTTCTAGGGGCTCAGAGGGACCCTTCGTTCTGTGCCGCTCCCAGCTTCCTGAGCTGCCAGCAATTCATGGCCGTGGTGATGTGCAGATGTGTCCCCTGTCTCTGCCTCTGCCTGTGTGTTGCCTTCTCTCTGCGTCCCTACCTCCCCTCTCCTTATAAGGATGCCAGTCATTGAATTTACGGTCTACCCTAAATCCAGATGGCTTCATCCTGAGATGCTTAGCCACGTCTCCAATGACCCTATTTCCAAGTAAGATCACAGTCGCGAGTACTGGGGATAGGGATGTTGACGAATCTTTTTGGGGTCACTAAACAACCCACTGTGCTGCTGTCCGAGGCCTTGCAGACCCAACACCTGGCTGCTGCTCCAGCCCCATATCTGCCTCCTGCTCAGTCCCCTACATCAGCACCTCGGGCCTGCCCTGAGTTCCCTGGGGACCCCCGGCTCAGCGTTCTCCTCTGCTGAAGGTAGTGGGCCCCACCCCGTCACTCTCTCCCCGTCCGTCCCTGGTCCTGCTTTGGAGCAGTTGTCCCTGAAACAGAATTTTAGACAGGGTCTTTGAGCGCTCACCTGTCTTGGCTCTCTGGAATGGATTCACGTTCATGGCAGAGGCTGTGAACCCTGAGTTTACGGTGGAGCCTCAGTGCCCAGAACAGTGCCCAGAACAGTGCCCCGCACTCCATGAATGAATGAATGAATGGCTATGATTAGCACTGAGCCAGCTGGGTTTGGGAGGAAGCTGCCATTTCTGCAGCACCCCCTCCCTGGTGTGTGGGGGGGCCCAGCCCAGGCACTCATGAATGAATGAATGAGTGAATGAATGAATGCATGCATGCATGAATGGATGGCTACAGTTAGGCTGAGCCGGCTGAGTTGGGGGTGAACCTGCCATTTCTGGGCACCCCTCCCTGGTGTAAGGAGAAGCCTGACCCAGGCACTCCATGAATGAATAAATGAATCAGTGAATGGCTATGATTTGCATTGAGCCGGCTGGGTTGAGAGTGGACCCACCATTTCTGGGCACCCCTCCCTGGTGTGTGGAGAAACTTGGCCCAGGCACCCCATGAATGAACAGACGAATGAGTGAATAGCTAAGATTCACACTGAGCCGGTCAGGTTGGGGCTGGACCTGCCATTTCTGGACATCTCCTCACTGGTGTGCAGGGGCGAGGGTCTGGCCCAGACACTCCATGAATGGATGGCTATAGTTAGGCTGAGCTGGCCGGGCTGGGGGCGGGCCCGCCATTTCTGGGCACTCCTCCCTGGTATCAGGAGGTGAAGGGGAGAGGCACACCCGGCCCAGGCCTCACAACCCCCTTTCTGGTGTGAGGGAGAGAGGCGCACCTGGCCCAGGCCTCACAACACCTTTCTGGTGTCGGGGGAGAGGGGCACCTGGCCCAGGCCTCACAACCCGCTTTGTGTTTCAGGTCATCCTTGTCAGCTCCTCACTCAGTGACCGGGACCAGAGCCTATTCCTCAGCGCAGACGAAGGCGCCACCTTTCAGAAGCAGCCCATTCCCTTCTTCGTGGAAACTCTGATTTTCCACCCTAAGGAGGAGGACAAGGTCCTCGCCTACACAAAGGAGAGCAAGGTAAGATATATGGGTGCCAGTCGCCTGGTCTGTGGGGCTGGGGTCTGCTCGACCCACCTGGAGGTGAGTGCCCACTTGGAGCAAGTGGGACCCGGAACCCCTGGGCTGGCTGAGGAGGAGCCTCCCGGGGCTGGGGGCCGGGATGCTGGACCCCGTCATCGCCCTCTCCTTGGTGCCCCCTCAAGGGACCGTGCCCACTTGGCTGTGCTGTGGGAGCTGAGCGAGGTGGTGGTGGGCAGTGCACCAGGCTCAGAGGCTCAAGAGAGGAACCAGTGAGTAGCAGGCGATTAGGATCATGCCACTCGCCATCCCTTTCTGCACACCAGTCACAAGGGCCTTTCTCCACTTCCAGAACATTGCGCACACCCTCATCAGACCTCACTAGGCCTTTCCCTCAGTGTGGAATGTTCTTCTCCCCTCGCCAAGAGCGGTGGCTTGTTCTTCCCCAGATCAGCATCTCCTCCTCTGGGAGCTGTGTCCATGGGGTTCAGCAGGGAACTGAGGCTTTGTCCCCCGGTGAGTGGGGGAGCGGGGGGCCAGCCTGGTGAGGAGCATTGGGCTGCATCTGCAGGGAGGGGCCCACCTGGGTTCTGAGGCTGTGGAGGGAGAGGGCCTGGGGGCTGGGGAGGGCCCAGTAGGAAAGGACTTTGTTCCTTTTCTGCAGCCGTGGGAACAAATGGCCACAGGCTCTAGCTTAAGCAACAGAAACTTATTCTGTCACAATTCTGGAGGCCCACAGTCCAAAACCAGCGAAGATCAAAGTGTCAGTGGAGCTGCACTTCCCCCTGGGCTCTAGGGAGGAGTCCAACCCTGCCTCTCTCAGCTGCTGGCAGCTGCCAGTATCTCCTGGCTGTGGCCACATCTCTGCACCTTCAGGCTTCAAATCTCCTCTGCCCCATCTCCATGCTGCCTACTGCATAAGTGTGTGTGTGTATGCACACTTGTAAGTGTGTGAGTGCATGTGTGTGGGTGTGTCAGTGTGAATGGGTGTGAATGTGTGTGGGGGTGGGTGTGAATGTGTGGGTTTGTGGGATGTGGGGGGGTGTTAGTGTGAATGTGTGTGACTGTGGGTGCATGTGAATGTGTGTGGGAATGCGAGTGTGGGTGTGAGTGTATATGTGCGTGTGAATGTGTGGGTGTGTGGGAGTGTGTATATGAATGTGAGTGTGTGCAAATGTGTGTGAGTGTGAGGGTGTGGGTGTCTGTGTGTGAATGTGTGTTCACCTGTGAGTGGGTGTGGGTGTGAGACTGTGAATGTATGAGTGTATGTGGGTGTGAACGTGTGTGTGTGTGGGTATGTATGGGTGAGGTTGTGTTTGAGTGTGAGGGTGTGTTTTAGTGTGTAAATGTGTGGGTGTGAGGGTGTGTGTGATTGCGTGTATGAGTGCATGGGTGTGCACGTGAAAGTGTGTTTGTGGGTGTGTGTGTGTTTGTGAGAATATGTCTGTGTTTGTGAGAATGAGTGTGGGTGTGAATCTGAGTGTAGATGTGAGCACGTGTGCGAGTGTGAAAGTGCATGTCTGTGGGAGTGTGTACGTGAGTGTGCATGTGTGAGAGTGTGAGTGTGTGTGTTTATGAGTGTGAAACAGCATGTCAGTGTGTGCTTGTAGGTGTGTGTAAGAAGCTATGTTAGCGAGTGTGAGTGTACATGAGTGTGTGGTGTGTATGGGCATGTGTGGGTGAGTGTGAGAGCCTATGTGAGTGTGAGTGTGTACATGTATGGGTGTGTATGAGCGTGTGTGTGTGAGAACCTATGTGAGTGTGTATGTATGTGAGCATGTGTGGGTGTGTGTGAGCATGTGAGTCTACATGAGTGTGTGGGTGTGTATGAGCATGTGTGGGTGTGTGAGAGTGTGAGAGCCTATGTGAGCATGTGTGAATGTACATGAGTGTGTGGGTGTGTGAGTGTGTGTGGGTGAGTGTGTGTGATCGTGTGTGTGAGTCTACATGAGTGTGTGGGTGTGTATGAGCGTGTGTGTGTGTGTGAGAGAGAGCCTATGTGAGCGTATGTGAGAGTGTGTGAGTGTATGTGGACGTGCGTGGGTGTGTGTAGATCTCCCTCTGCGCCTGCTTTCTGTAAGGACTCGGGCCTTCGTTTAGGGCCCACACAGATAGCCTGGGGTGATCTTCACATCTGGAGACCTCAGCAATCCCAACTGCAGGCTCCCTTTCTGCCCTGTGAGGTGATGGTCCCAGGTTCTAAGGATTAGGACATAGATACATTTTGGGGGCCACTCTGAACCTAGAACCTCTGCCCAACAGGAGGTGTGGGCTCCACAGTTGCAGGAAGGGTCCCAGTAGGAGGCCTGGCTCTGGGTAGAGCAACTGAGCCAAACTGTGGCTGGTCAGGGAACGAGAGGAATAGCACATGCCTCTTTCTCTCTCCAATGCACTGAGGCTTCCCACAGATGGAATCCAATCAGAGGCTAGAGGAAAGAGGCTGTGGAACTGTCTACACAGGTCAGTCTCAGGGCCAGAGAAGGGTGGATCTGTCTACGTAGGTCAGCTCCCAGGGTCAGAGAAGGGTTGGAAAGAGGCAGCATGGACCTGGAAGGCAAACACAAGCTGCCCAAATCAGCAGCCTTCCCTGTGCCACCGCAGGCCAGCTTGGGCCCCAGTATTTCACACTCTTCCATATTCCTGTGCCTCTCTTTCTCAACACTGATCACAATGGGTATCTATTAGCCCATTGTCACACTGCTATTAAGAACTACCTGAGACTGATTAATTTATGAAGAAAGAGGTTTAATTGACTCAAAGTTCCACATGGGTGGGGAGGCCTCAGGAAACTTACAGTCATGGTGGAAGGTGAAGGGGAAGCAGGCATCATCTTCACAAGGCATCAGGAGAGAGAGCACAAGTTGGGAAATGCAAAATACTTTTAAACCATCAGATCTCATGAGAACTCACTCATTATCACACAAGAACAGCATGGGGGAAACTGCCCCATGATCCAATCACTTCCCACCAGGTTCCTCCCTCCACATGTGGGGATTACAATTTGAGATGAGATTTGGGTGGGAACACAGAGCCAAACCATGTCAGGTAACTCTATCTTTGTGAAGTCATTTGATTATTGTCTACACCCAATACATGCAATTGGGGTAAGCTCTTTGAGGGCAGGGAAAGTGTCTGGTCTTTTTCACCATTTTAATCTAAAGTGCCCGGCTGAAAATATTAGTTGGATGGACAGATCGAGGTTGGGTGGGTGGGTGGATGGGTGAGGAGGGATGGACAGATGAATAAATGGATGAATAGATGTATAGATGATGGATGGATGGATAAATGGATGGATGGATGGATGGATGGATGGATGGATGGATGGGTGGGTGGATGGATGGATGGGTGGATGGGGATGAATGGATGGATGGGTGGGTGGGTGGATGGATGGGGATGGATGGATGGGTGGTTGGATGGATGTGTGGACAGATGGATGGATAGATGATGGATGGATGAATGGATGGATGGTAGATGGATGGGTGGATGGTGGATGGATGAATGGGTAGATGGATGGATGGGTGGATGGAGATGAATGGATGGATGGGTGGGTGGTGGATGGATGGGGATGGTTGGTTAGATGAATGAATGATAAATTTCTACCAACAGGGACAGTCCAGGTCAGGGACCTCCAAATGGAGATTCCTGGCTGTCCTTTGCCATGGCTCTCGACAGGACCTGGCCTCCTTGCCAAGGTTGGGTCCTCCCTGACTGGCGTCCCTGCATTTCTCAGCCTCCTGGGCTACCTCTTTGCTCCTGGCCCCTTCCTTGGGGATGGCTTGTGCTTCTGGGTATTAATAGCACTACTTAGCCTTCCATGTAATTAGACTAAAGCACAATCACGGAGACTTATTTTCCCGCAGAAATTGACTGCATTGCAATTGCTCTCTAATTTATGGTGCCCTGAAAAATTAATGGAGCTGAAATCTCAGTTATTTGCTTTGGTTCTTTTCTGTGACTATAAGGGGAGAAAAAGGCTTAGTTGCAGTTGTAAAAGGAATGAGGAATGTGAGGAAATTAATAACAATGACAAGAGGGCTTTAGTTTTTGAGGAGGCTATGCAGTTTTTCAAAGCTAATTCTCAAGAAGCAGGGTGGTGTGGTGGAACAACGTCAGCTTTGACTCCAACAAATCTGGTGTATTAGGCAGGTATCTGCAACAATCATACTGAGTAACACACAGCTCCAAGCCTCAATGGCTTACAGAAACAAGCATTATTTCTTCTTCCTGGGGCTCTGTGGGTGCCCAGAGGCTCTGCTGGGCTTTGCTGCGATTGGCTATATGAGGCTCCTGGTTACTGGTGGAGTTTGCGTCCCCATACGACTCTTATGCTGAGAGCACACTATTCTCATGATGAGGGGGCAGAGGCTCCAGGGGTTGCAAACCACACAAGCAGCTTTAGCATAACAGCTTTGACCTGGAAAACATCACATCTACTCACACAGCATCGGCCAAAGCAAGTCACATGACAAGCCCAGAGTCAATGGAGTGGACACAATTGCCCTGCTCTAAGGATTTGCAGATTTGTGCAAAGCCAAAGGCTTGCCTCCCTTTCCTTCCCTACCTCTTCCTTCCCATACGCCCGCCCTGCCTCCAGCAAACACCTATCCACCTACCCTCAGACTGCCCTGTTCCATGACTTTACAATGCTTCCCTTATCCTCGTTATAATTTGGGTCACTGTGAGTCTGCCTTACTTGGATCCTGGACAGCCTTCCTGGGTGACAGCATAATATGCATTTCTTCCAAGGCTCAGCCGACTGCAGTAGGCTCTTGGGATTGGTAGGAAGTGAGAGCCCAGCAGTCCCTTCCCACGCCAGCTTCCTGGGGGCTGCTGACATGAAACTGACCAGCCTGTTTCCTCTGTGCCTGGTCTTCAGACCTGCTTGCTGAGGCAGAACCCTGGGCACTTACTTCTAAAAGCATAAACTCACTTTTATATTTTATTGAATTTTATTCCCCATCAAGCACTTCTTCTGCTTCCCAGCATGGTGAGAAATTGATCTGAGCCCAGGATTGCCTTTTAGAAACTTAGTAGGGCAGAGAAGACACCTTTGGGTGGGCAATCAGGGAAGACTTCCTGGAGGAGGAATGTTCGAACAGGGGCTTAAAGAATGGATCAGAATGTATCTTTAATTTGTAATACATCTTCAGGGCAATAAAGATGATCACATATGACAAGAAAAAGAAAAACCCTCACAGTCCCCCAGCCTTAAGTAAAGCAGTGTTTGCATTGATCCATATTAAAGAAATAGTAGAAATTGCTGGCAGTGGGTGTGAGGAGAGCCCTAATATTGAGTGAACAGAGGTGCAGCCTTCGCGTTGGCTGCTGTGAATATCAGCAGGTTCATGAACTGCCCAGCAGAGCTACAAGCTTCGATACCACGTTGATGGCTCGCTCTGACCTCAGACTTGAGAACAGGGAAAAGATTGGGCATCTCTTGAGTAACAGAACAATTCTCTTAGCAATGAGAAGCCCTCACTCAGCATGTGTTCATTTTGCTCTAAGAATTTTCATCTGCTGGGGCTCAGGGCAGGAACAATACTCCCCTCTGGATATGTAAGCAGAAAAGGGATTTAACAGGAGGGATCAGTGCTTTCTAAATTGTTGGGAGATAAGGGAGAGGGTTTTACACTAGACCCCCCTTCCCAGGATGCCTCCTGAAAGCCTGCAGTGTAGACCCACCAGGAAGTTTCTACCTCTGCCCATCAGGAAGGTGGGGACCAGAACCTCCCAGACTTATCAAGCTCAAAAACATGTGGCTGGTGCAGCTGATGTTGCCATTGCTGCAGCCTGCACCTGGTAACTTCCATAAAGCCAGTGACTGGACACCGGAATGTGGAGTCCAGCTGCTGCCTTCACCACCACCACGTCTCCACCCTCCAGAGGTGGAGGGTGGACACAGCACCATGTCCTGTGACCTTGCTGGCAGCAGACATGGCCCAGTGGGGCAGGAAAAAGTCTCTGCCTCACTTTCATCTTCCAAAATTGGCACGAGTGCATCCACCTGACCTGGAAATCTAGCTGCAAGGGAGTCCAAGTGATGCTGGGCTGCAGCTTTCAGGCCTCTGCAGTGAAACGAGGCACCCTGGAGTGAGGGATGAAAGCATGTTGAGTGCCACCAATCACATCCAACTGCCACTAAGAGTCCAGGGCAGACTCGAAGCACCTCCAGAAACCATAGAAGACACTGGCACACTCTTCTATGTGCCCTTCCTGGGCCCTCAAGCTGCTCCTTTCCCTCCCTCCTGTCTTGCTTCACTCTGACTTTTTATCTTCATATGAGAGTGGGAGGCGTGTCCTCACTCACCACCTCCACTGCTTTCTGAGATGTTGAGTGATGAAATTCACCCTTCCACAGGATGCACCCATGCAGGTTTCAGCTGCAGTAACTGGGCTGTCCCGGATGTGTTTATTCTTGTTTATTTGCTGGTGTTTGTCTTTTATTAAGCAGAAATGTTCTATTTCTGCAGCAATTGATGGTGGATAGTAAAAGCGCCTCCCAGGAGAGTGAGTTGGAAAGGCTTCATAAAGCTCCAGGGCAGGCGTCGTAAACGCAAGCGCATGAGGCAGTGATGCCAATGGTAACGCCATCCATTAATGTGGAGGCTTTATTACCTTGCTCACAGGAACCCACGGTGACGACTCGCTTTTTAGGCATCTATTGACTGTGGGTATGAGCAGTGCCCTCCTGATATGGTAAACTGAGACATGAGATAGAAGGGTGCCTGGCCTGAGTCACTCGGATGACCCAGAGAAAGGGCTAGAGGTGACCAACCATCCTTCTTGAAGGCAAGGGTGACTCCTCAGCCCCTGGTACAGTCCTGTGAGCTCAAGTCTGTGAGATGGGAATTGCTGACATAAGGGAGTGCTGTGTGACCTTGAGTAACTTACCTAACCTCTCTGAGCTTCAGTTCTTTCATTTGTCAAGAGGGAAAATTGCCAGCTTATGGGTGTGTTTGTGAGTATGTATATGCATGTATGTGTGTACATGTGTGTGTGAGTGTGTGTGGGTGTGTGAGTGTGAAGTGAGGTGGCATTCAACAAGCACAGCTCAGTGCCTGGCTCCGTAAAAGGCCACAGCTGCTGCCAGGCTCTCTCACACTGTCTGTCAGGCCCAGACAGAAAAAGAAGTACAACCAATGGCTGGAGCTGCAGGTATTTGTTGAACACATACTGCATGCCAGGCACTGCTCCACAAGCTTATTAAAAGCTCCTTGCCCTCATGAAGCTTATGTTCTAGGGGATGAAAACTTTCTTTAAAAAGTCCTTTCTGAATATGAAAGGTGATGGCTTCTTACCATAGCTGTGTGCCAGTGAAGCTCCGTTTACAAACCCAGGTGACAGCCCATGGCTTGCTGACACCTGCTCCAGGGTGTATGGTACACCATCTCTGTGCACCACTATCCCTGGCTGCCTTCCTGCTCCCAAGGCCGTGGTGAGTGGTTGCTACAGAGACCACACAGCCCACCCGGCTGAAAATATTTACTACCTGGCCCTTTACAGAATGCACTTACCAGCCCCTGCCCTAGAGTCAAACGTGTTCATTCGGTCAGCAAATGGGCCTTGCGCACCCGGCAGCCACGGATTCCGGGCTACCGCTGGTGCCGCAGGTGAGCGAGGCAGGTGTGTGCCCCCGGGCTGTGAGCGGCTTAGCCGAGGAGCAGGAGATAAACTCCCAGGACGCAAGGAAGTCAGCAAACAGCTGTGCAGGCGTGAGCTCCGCACAGCGCACACGGGGCCGGCAGGCTGGGGACAGTGCCGCCAAGATGCAGGCAGCTGAGCCGGGGCTGGGCTGGGAGGACTTCAGGGGTGGGGGTGGAAGGTACGCATCCGTATGGCTGGATTGTGTCCCCCAAAATTCCTATGTTGAAATTCTAACCCCTGGTACAAAAGAATGTGACCATATTCACAGATAGGGCCCTTAAATGATCATTAGACTATTAGGGTGGGCTCCAATCCCATTTGACTGGTGTCCTTATAAGAAGAGGAGATCAGGACACAGACAGAGGCGGGAGTGGTGGTGCACACTGATACTCCCAGGCAGGAGGATCGATTGAGCCCAGGAGTTTCAGGGCTGCAGAGAGCTATGATTGCACCACTGCATTCCAGCCTGGGTGATGGAGCAAGACTCTGTTTCAAAAAATCAAACTACAAAAAAAAGACAGGCACAGAGGGAAGACCACATAAAGACGAGGGAGAAGGCGGCGTTTGCAAGCCGAGGAGGGAGAAACCAACCCTGCCGATACCTTGATCTTGGACTTCTGGCCTCAGAACGGTGTGAGAATCTGTTTCTGTGGTTTAAGCTGAGCCCTCTGGGGTACGTTGTTACGGAAGCCCACGTCAGCTAATACAGCTTCCTGTGTGAACAGAACATCCTGGACAAAAACCCAGGGGCGGGAGGCACATGCGCGTTTTGGGATCAGGGTGCATCCTGTTGGTGGAGTGTGACTTATGCTACACCAGAGGGGGTTTGGTGGGAACAGGGCCCAGGGCAACCACTCAGGGCCTCGTCTGTCAGGCCGGGAGACCCGGACTCTTACCTGTGGAGATGTGGAGCTGGGAATGACGCTGTCCCGAAAAACAGGAGGTAGCCAGGGGACGAGAGGGAAGTAGGGATGCTCCAGGCAGAGGACACAGCTTGCGCAAAGGCCTGGAGGTGAGAGAGCAAAATGACCCCCATTCCAGATGATTGAGCTTGGGGAACCGTGGGAGTGGGGTTAGCCAGGGTTTAGATGGGCTGAGCAAGACAGACTCTCAACCTCCTTCTTTAAGACAATTTAGCAATCGTGGGTGCTTTCTCCATGCATGTGGCAGCAAAGGAGGGTGGCTTAACAACGTGAACTCCCAGGATTGCTGAAGAGAAAGAGATGATTTCACTCATGGTACCAGGAGCGCAAAGTATTACCAGACAGCCACACTCACAGCTGCCTTTCTCACCGCTCACTGTCAGCGTCACGGGTGGAGCCTTCATCCCTGAAGACACCGTGGAGGCGGGACACCTTTGCCAGGACAGTTCCATGATGCAGGGCCCTGTCTGCTTTTCTTCAGCTGAGGGGAAGAGAGAAGGGACGTTTGCTGCAATTGCCCTTGTGACAGTGGTGGGGTCTGTAGTTTTCAAGGCGAGTTCAGGAATTCATCCACTTTGGTAAGGGAATAAAGGCTGTGTGAGGAAGATCCAGTTCTGATATGGACGAGGAGGGCAGGGGGGTCGCCAGCCACCCAGGATTTGCTACGTTTCACACCTGCAGTCTCCTGGCCGTGGTTCCTTGGGCAACATCCTGGCCAGTCTTGCAGTGGGCTCAGCCCTCGGCTGGTTCTTCTGATCTGCTCATCCTCAGGGAACCTGCCATGGGAAGCCTGCATGAGAGCTCCGGGTGTGTTCATCTCGACTCTGAAGCGTGAACCGTGGTAAAGCTTTGCTGCTGCAGGACCGGCTAATTGGCAGCTTGAGCATCTGAGCTTCACTGCGGTAGCTTGCATAGTGTCTCATCGCTGAAGTTTCCGAGATGGGAGACTAGGGGAGGCAGGAGCAGCCGAGGTGGAGTGGGGAAGTGGGGTGGCCTGAGATGGAATGGGGTGCCGGCCCCTGAGGGCTCTGCTTACGGTGGGGCAGGTGGGGTGGCGGGCACCTCTGGGATTGTGGTTGCAGGACCTGGTGGATGGTGGGAAGGAGGGAGGCCATTTACTGAGACCGCAGAGGAGGAGGAGGAGGAGGAGGAGGAAGACACGGAGGCTGGAGGAGCAGGGCTGGTTGAGAAAGGAGCCAGCTTCTGCTGGGCCCTGCTAAGTTGGGGGTGGTGCAGGGAGGAAGTGACCGTGGAGAGGGTGTCAAGGAGTCAGGGGTCATCAGGGCAGAAATGGGGACTGAGTCACTTCCTGGCAGGAGAGGATCCTGGAAGGGGGATGTGTGGCATGAGCCTCAGAGTAGGCCTGATGTCACCCCCAGGCAGCAGCGACCTTGGGACTCAGCCCCCGCCTTCCTCTGCCTGGGAGTATTTATAGAGGGCCTTCTAGGTTTCAGGAGCTGGGGCAACTGCTGGGAACAAAACAGACCAACCCCTGCCCTCGTGGGGCCTCCTTTCTAGATGAGGATGGGGGCGCAGAGCAGATGACGAGGGATGGGTTAGAAGCTGCTGGGTCTACTGAGGGCGGGCGGGGAGTGAGGGGGCTGCCAAGCGGCTTGGCCTCTGCATGGTTGGAGAGCTCAGAATGTGAGCTTGGACCTGCCATGGTGGAGGAAGAGAGGCTAGAAACCAGGGACAGGCACCAGGGCGGCCCCGGGGAGCAATGGGAGTGGACTGAGTGCCGTGGTAGAGGAAGAGAGGCTAGAAACCAGGGACAGGTGCCAGGGCAGGCCTAGGGAGCAATGGGAGTGGACTGAGTGACACAGGATGTCCTGGATCTGAGGAGCTAGAGGCCAGAGAACCAGAGTTCTGAGCGTAGCATGAGGGGACACGCCTGGGGATCCCTCCCCCGAGCCCAGCTGGCACTGGCACCAGGACATGAGGGTGTGGCGGACGAAGGCACTGCAGCCCCGTCCTCTCTGGCACCTGGGCCCTGAGCACAGACTCTGACTTCACAGACAGGGCTCTAACCCTGGCTTTGCAATAGCAGGGGCAGGGCCTCTGAGCCAGCGGCCTTAGCAAAGGCCTGACCCGGGGGAGACTTTAAAGTGAGTCTTGAACACCGGCTGGGGATGAGGAAGGGCATTCCAGGCAGGGGGCACAGCACGCGCAGATGCTCAGAGGACCCTGTGCACATATTAGTGCCACATGTGTGAGTGAGCCCTGAGCCGAGCGTGCCTGGGGTGGGGGCATGCAGGGAGTGAGCAGGATGGCAGCCAGAGGGGGGTCCAATGGTATCGGGGGGGCTGTGTACCCATGTGAGGGTGTGGGCTTTTTTGGAGGCCACACCTCTCCTGGAAGGTCTGCGTGGAGAGTGGCAGGACCAGGTGTGCTCTGCAGCTGCAGGACCGAGGGCTGAGAGCAGGGGTCCACGGAGATGGTGTGGCCCAGCTGGGCCATGGCCCTGGGTGGAGAGGGGTGCAGTGTGCAGCTGGTGCAGGGTACACAGTTGCATCTGAAGCGTGGTGACTTATTAGACATGGCAGCAGGAAGGTGAGGACAGGAACCCAGGGAGGAAAAGGCCCTGGGCACTGGGCTTGGAGGCTGGGTCAGGAGCAGAGGGTGATTAGGCCCAGGCGGGCTTCCAGGAGGAGGGGGCACACCTGCCTGTGCTGAGAGGCAGGGCTGCACAGGGTTGGGCTTGATGACCTGTTTCCCTTCTGAGATTCTGCACATCCTTCTTTGGTGAACAGCAGTGGTGGCAGCGGTGTCTGCAACAGCAGTGACATCCATGATGTCGTTGGTTCGTCATAAGGTGGTGCCCGTGACAAGGACACGTGGGAACAGAAAAGAAGCACGCGGCACAGAAGAAGTCAGTTGTGGCGGCCCTCAGAGCCAGCAGATGTGGCCTCTGATCCTGGCGGCTATTAGTGTGAATGATGTGCCCGTTATGCAGATGAAGAATTTGGGTTGAGTGGTCGGCTTGAGCCTTCCTTCCTTCCTGGGCCAGTGACGGAAATTGCTGTGGTCAAATGATTCATTCTAGACAGATGCTGATCACAGAAGAAATAAAGAGAAGTGCATTCAAACCACAGATAATTCAAGTGCAGGTCTGACAGGGGGTGACCCTGGGTGAATCACTCAATTGCTGCGAGCCTCCATCTTCCGTCTGCACGAGGTATTGTTAGAAGCATCTACTTCCTGGCGATGTTGTGGGGGCACCTTGAGAGGCAAAGGGCCCGGCTGGTGCTCGCACCTGGAGCGGATCCTGCTATTACGGGTGTTATCAGGCGGTGATCGCGACAGAACGTGCTGTGTGCGTGGCAAGTGCAACCACTTTGCAGCGTGCCTGGATAATCCCCAACATCCCTCAAAGCGGGAGGCCAGATTCCCATTTTAAGAAGTGGTGAAACTGAGGCTCAGAACAGCGTTGGAGCGCACGCAAGGTCTCCTGCTGTGCACGGTGGGCGCTAGTGGAGCCAGGCCTGCCGGAGCCCAAGAACCCTAGACTCACAGACGCTCCCCTTTGAAACACTACAGCTGGGGCATCATTTTATAGATGGGGAAACTGAGGCAAGAAACTGACTCAGAGGCCATGACAGGGAGGCAGACGCCAGCTCCGCAGACCCGGGTCCCCGCCTCCCTCTCCAGCCCTCTCTCCCCGCCCCGCCCAGCCCAGCCCAGCCCAGCCCAGCCCAGCCCAGCCCAGCCCAGCCCAGCCTGCCTCCTCCATCAGCTGCACCTGTGAGGCGGCGCCAGCGACCTCTCCTGGCCCAGGCCTGAATCTGCAACAAAACACGGTGAGCTCTGAGCTTTGCTTCTATAACAAGGACTTCAGCATATGATGCTTCTGGGGTGCAAAGGATCCCCTAAACACCACATAGTCCATCCTCCCTTGAGAAATGCAGTGCGGACCGTATTGCACCAATACAGCCCCTACCCCCAGAGGGGCAGCTGGCAAAAACATAACGCAAATCAAAGATGAACTGGGGACATCAGTTATAGAATCACTGGCCCAGCCCCGATGTCTGTGTTCACTCATCACCTAGGAGTTAGGGATGAAACATATTGAAATGCAAATGAACACCGAGCCAGAGTCAGAGGAGAGGCAAGGGAAAAGGGACAGAGTCTCCTGTTGTCCAGGATGGGGAAAGGCAAACGCGTGTTGTGGATAGGCTGCGTGTCAGACACGGGCTAGACTTCCAAAGCACATGATCGGGTTGAATCATCCCGACCTTCTGAGTGAGGATGAGGATTGTCAGCCCAGTTTTATGGCTGGGGAAAACTGAGGCCTGCCCCGGTAGCTGGTTCCAGGTGAGGATGGGAGCCCAGGCTTCCTGGCATTGCTGTTAAGAGATTGGCCTGGCCACTCTGGAGAGAGAAGAGGAGGACAGACTGCCTCCACAAGGCCCCTCTGCTATCCCGTTAATCTCCTCTGGAGTGGACAGAGGCTTTTCCCAGTTGCTGTGCCAGACCCCTGTTGACTCCAGAAGGGATGGCACCGTGCCCAAGAGGCCACAGAAGAGACCTAGAAACAGCGAATGAGACACAGGGTTTATTGGAGGAAGTTACATGCAGGGACAGTCTGCTGGCAGTGGGCTGGACAGGGGAGCCGCTCCAGTTTGTAAGAAGCCTGCAGTTTATGTAGCTTTTTCCCTCCGCACCCTCCCCCTAGCAACCTCCTCCCAACCCAGAACAGAGGGCCTTGACCCCCGCAGGGCCTGCATTCCAAGGGATGGGCCAGGGCCTGTTCCTCATGGGTAAGAGGTGAATCTCTGGGTTGGCCACTCCTGGATTCCTTAGCCGGGGACTCGGAAGGCACATTCTTCTTAGGCCATGGAAACATTCTCTGGGTGTGCTTTGGTGACCTTCATCGGTTTAGGGGCTGCTTCAGGGAAGAAAGGGAAGGGAGCGGAGAATAGGCTTCCTGCTTCTGCTGTTTTCTCGGTTTCCAAGATGCCACATTTGCGGTAGCGTTGCCAGCACCCATAACCAGTTTCTCATATGGAGAATGGCACTATGAAGTCCCACCCCCTGGCATGGTGGGGCTTGGTGTGGCCAAGAGGAGAGCTCTGATAGAGATGCCTTCCCCACCCGACACGCTGCTGTGCCCAAGAGCTGGCTTCCCTCCTGCCAGAGGAGATCTCGGCTCCCTCCAGGACTGTCTCTTCCATGAAGGAGGGGGAGGCCCTTTCCCACGGGCCACTGTGGAAAGGGGAGCGGCTCTGGGCCTTGCCCGTGGCCCTGGCAACTTCACCTGGCATTTCCAAAACTCATAGCTTGATCAAGGTCCTGTCTCTACCTGAGATCTCCAGGCCAGAGCACTGGGTGTGAACCTGAGGATCAGCTGGCCCCTTCCCTTCTCCCCAGGCCTGGGGCACTGACCCAAGGAGCCCCTGGCTCCATTCATTCCTCCCAGACCTGGGGCACTGACCCGTGGGCCCCCGACCCCGCCCACTCCTCCCAGGTCTAGGAGTGGGCTCCCTGAGTATCCCTGGCCCCATTCACTCCTCCCAGGTTCCGGGGCACAGATCCAAGAACCCTCTCACCCTCTTTGCTCTGCTTACCCCTCAGAGGACCTGTCCAGCTGCCTGCACAGGCCTCTCTCAGGCCCTGTCCTCCTCTCCATTCTGCTGCTGCCCCCAGCTGGGCCCAGGCCTGGCCTCCTCAGGGCTCCCTGCCTCCACCCACAGCCTCTGGTGTGGGCTACTTGAAACGCTGTCTGACCACGGACCCCCTGAGCGCCTCATCTTATCCGGCCTTGGTTGGTGGTTTTGGGCAGGGCCAGCTGTGTGATTTGCAGGGTGCAGTGCAAAGTGAAAAATGTTGACAATCAGGTCAAATGCTTTTCCTTTCTTCTGCGCTCTCTCTCTGGGCCTGTCACCATGTTCTTTATGAGCCATTTAACATTGTGCTCCCTGGCCCACAGGGACACCCTCCCAGGCCCCCAGGACCAGCCTCAAGACAGTGCTCTGGGCGCCCACCCCTGCCCCTTCCTGGGCCCAGGCCTGACCCTGGCACTCACCAGGGACAAGGACAGTGGTGGTCACTGTGTGGAGACAGGACCACAGGCACAGGCAGCTGAGAACCCCTCCCGAGGGCACAGGGCTGGAGAGGGAGCCTGGGCAATCAGCCCAACCCATGCTCTCTTGCCCCCTCAGCCTTCACTTCCAAAGCTCCAACTAAAGACACAATTTTTTTTTTCAGGTGGAGTTTTGCTCTTGTTGCTAGGGCTGGAGTGCAGTGGTGTGATCTTGGCTCACTGCAACCTCCGCCTCCTGGGTTCAAGTGATTCTCCTGACTCAGCCTCCCGAGTAGCTGGGATTACAGGCATGCGCCACCATGCCCAGCTAATTTTGTATTTTTAGTAGAGGCGGGGTTTCTCCATGTTGGTCAGGCTGGTCTCGAACTCCCAACCTCATGTGATCCGCCCGCCTCGACCTCCCAAGGTGCTGGGATTACAGGCGTGAGCCACCGCACCTGGCCCTAAAGACACAATTATTAAGAAGTTCAAGTTGGCAGCTGCAGAGAATTAAGCCCCAGATGTGGGGCCCTTCTGAGCTAGGTCCCTGGGCGATGGCACTGGTCATACGCTGTGAGGCTGGCCCTGGTGTCAGGCCCCAGCCCACCTGCGCCTGCACTGACCCCTGCGGTAGATGCCACACCCCTGCTCGAGGCCACTGCTGTGTCCTGCTCTGCCATCCGTTCACTGCTCCAGCCCTGGCAACACGTGGCTCCTTCCTCCCAAACGCCCTTCCTCCCATCCTCACACAGGATTATAAAGTCCCTCCCACCTTTGAGGCTCAGACACACCTCCTCTGTGAGACCCCTCTGGATTTCACCCTGGAGAACCTCATCTCCTGGCTCCTGCCAGCTGGCCCGGGGACAGGAATGGTTCCTCCTGGAGGCGGTGGGGTTTGGTCTGCATCCCAGCATGAGCACAGCGCCTCCGCGTGTCCGCTGGACAAGGATGACTTCTCCTGGGGGATCTGCTGTGGTGAAGACATCACCCTCTCTCAGAAGCAGCTTATTCCTGACGTCCTGACCAAGCTTTTGTTTCTTTTTTCTGCCCTAAAGCTCTACGTGTCATCTGACTTGGGGAAAAAGTGGACACTTCTGCAAGAGCGAGTGACCAAAGACCACGTGTTCTGGTGAGAGCACTTCCCCACCCCAAACCCATGGGGCCCGCAGCTCTGGTGAGAGCACTTCCCCCAAACCCTTGGGAGCCCATCCCTGCAGCTCCCTTTCCTCCTCTGGACCCTCCCCATCCCGGGGCTGGGTCCCCACCGTCCACTGCCTCTGCCTGCAGCCCCACACCCTCCTCATCCCAGGGGAACCCGCAGTCGTTCTTCCTGCTCCGCATTGGGTGGTATCAGAAATCGTAGAGTCCAGGGGTTGGTGTCCCTCAGGCCACGTTTTTACCCATGAACCAGCTATGTGGCCCTGTGCCACTGCTGTTCCCTCCCCGAGCCTCACAGCATCCCCAGTGGAGAGAGGTGCTGATGTACACATGTCCCCAGCGCAGCACCCGGCCCACCACTCCGCACTCCCTGCCCGACCCCAGGCCCTGACTCAGCCCCTGACTGACAGACCCCGTGGGTGCCGACCCGGCCTGCCTCAGCCCTGCTCTCCTGCTTATCCACACCTGGGCCCCCCTTCCACTGCTCAGCCTGTCACCCTTCCCAGCCCCTACTGGGTGCCAATGAGCAGGATAAGTTTGGGGTTGTACCCCAGACAAGCCCCCACCCTGGCCTCCTGAGGAGCCAGACCCGAGAAAGGAGGCTCCTGTCCCAGGCAGAGGGCCACTGGGGGCCCCTGTGTTCCGATGGTGGGTACCAGCCACTCGAGTGCATCCTCAGGGGAGCCTCTCAGTGTGCCCCCTGAGCACCCCAGCCTCACTGCACGGGGGGCACTCGGCTTTCCTTGAGAAATGTCTGTGGGATGCATCTATGAGGGCTGTGGAGGATGAGGGCTTGCCCAGGGTCTTAGGCAGCAGCATGGGGCCAGGAGCCAGTGCAGCCGTTCAGAACTCAGGCCTGCCTCTCTCCTGCTGGGGCCATATCCCGTCCTTCTGGTCACACTGCCTTTCATGTTACACCGCTCCTTGATGTGCTGATTCCATGGCATTCCTCTTTCTTGTGCGTGTACACACACACACACACACACACACAGTGCTAGCCTTTCTCTTTCTTATCCCACGTGTGGAACAGACCATTGCACGGGCCTCCTGCGCAGGCCACAGCCTGGTCTCCGCAACAGAAAAACACACGGAAAGGGCTTCCTACCCGTCCCGAGGGCTCAGGGCTGGAAGGGGAGCCCGGGCTATCAGCCCTACACACACTCTCTTGCCCCCTCAGCCTTCCGTTCCAAAGCTCCAATTAAAAACAATATTATTAAGAGGTTCAAGTTGGCGGCTGCAGAGTGGGCAAGGGCCCTTCGTAATGTCACGCTGACCGTGGCAGGAGACTGGCGTCCTGGCCACCCCACAGGCTGAAGGAAGCCTTTTTCCTCTGGAATGCCGATGGCTGGTGTACACGCCGTTGGCTCATGGGGAGAGGCGACGGCCGTCTGTCTGCGGATTGCCCACGGGAGGGCCCGGTTCCTCCCTCGGAAACCAGAGCACAGCCATCCATCACTGGCCTTGTCATTGCTGTCAACTGTCAGCAGCCAGAGCTGCCCTGCCTGGGCCTGAGCGCTCGCAGAGGTGGGGAGCAGAGCCAGGAGGTGCGATTTCTGAGCCAGGTCGCTCTGGGGGATTGGTAGAGCTCTGTTCACTCCCGGGCCAGGCCGGGCTCATGGACAGCTCTCCAGCCAGAGAAAGAAACCGACCCACAGCGCCCAGAGGGAAATTGGCGATAATTCAAACGTGTTATTATCTCAGGCAAATCAAATTGTTTCCTCCCCCAAGTTTCCCTGCTGTTACTCGAGGGAATCACAGCAGACACTGACCACCACGGCCCCGGCCCTGGGATCTCTCCTGGAGCGTGGTGACAGCGGTGGGGATATCTCCCCTCCCCTTGTAAGCGGTGAATAATGCTGTTTTGACAGCATTTCCAAGGAGCTCTTTGTCCTTGAACTGACAGCGGGAATTGCCAAAGCCCCGTGTTCTGTCTGAAGCTCAGACTCATTAACGTTTTGTGAAGCTACACAGCAAGCAAGCTCATTAGAGTGGCCTGCAAGCGAGAGGGAGCAGCCCCAGGTGCCCTGATACCTGCTGCCTCCTGGGCAGGGCCGCGGGTACCCGCCCCCCACCCTGCCCTCAGTGTCTCCACGCCCCAGAACAGAATCATAACAGCAGCTGCCCCGCAGCCATCCTGCTTTGAATACTGAGTGTCCGCTGGGCAGCACGTGGAGGCTCTGAGTGCACCATTCCACGGCATCCCCACAGCAGCCCATGCGGGTCTCCCTCATGTCACAGGGAAGAACTGAGGCTCGGGCACGCATTCTAGGTCTCATGTCACAGGAGGGAACTGAGGCTTGGATAGGCTCGGGCCCACATTCTAAGTCCTGCTGCCCCCAAGCTGTGGCCCTGAGACTCGGTCCACCTCTGGCTGTGGCCAGGGCCCTTGCCCACTCTGCTGGGTGGTCTGGCCGCTTGGGCTTCACCGGGTGTTCCTGCATCTGCCTCCTTGCTCAGCCCCACGCTCACCCAGGGAAAGCCTCAGCCTTCCTCTCCATTCGCTCCAGGCCTGGCCCTGGTGCAGGGCATGGGGGTGGCAGGGCCTCTGTCCATAGAAGGAAGAGGTGGAGGTCTCCCCACTACAGCCTTGATGATCACACCTTTCTGGGCTTAACAGAACCATTTGCACTGGAGCTGCCCTCAGCACAAATGGGGTGAAAGTCAGTTCCCACCTCCCCAAAACACTCACTCCCTGAGGGCCGCCTGCCCCCGGCCAGCTCACTGGCCTGCCATTTCTAAGCAGTGGAGACCTCAACAAGCAAGAAGTCCTGTGTGTCAGGCTTGCCATTTCCTGCGGGGAGTGGGGCTTTATCTGAGTTGTTAGAAATACGGTCTAACAGAGTCTTCAAAACCTATGACTGAGGGGCCTGGAGCAGGCACCAGGCCTCAGGCCACCTGTACACCGGTGTCTAGCCCAGGGCCTTCGCCAGTACACTGAGAAATGGCTGTGGGAAGTGCTCAGAGCAAGAGACTAAAGGAACAAACGTGGTAAATAAATGAATTTATAGGGTGAGTGACTCAGGAAATGAATGAGTAAATGGCTCAGTGAGTGATGAGTTAGGTAATGAATGAATGAGTGAATAAATGAGTGAATGAGTAGGTGAGTGAGTGAATGAGTGAATGAGTAACAACTGAGTGAGTAAATGGATGAGTAAATAACTGAGTGTGTGATTGAGTGAGGGAATGAACGAGTGAATGACTGAGTGGTGAGTTAGGTAATAAATGAGTGAATAAATGAGTAGGTGAGTCAATGAATGAATGAGTAAATGAATGAGTAAATAGCTGAGTGTGATTGAGTGAAAGAATGAATGAGTGAATGAATGAGTGAGCAAGTAACTGACTGAATGAATGAATGAGCGGGTGAGTGAGTGGGTGAGTGAGTCACTGAATGAGTTAGTGAGTGAGTGAATGAGTGACTGAGTGAATGAGTAATTAGTGAATGAGTGACTGAGTCTGTGATTGAGTGAATGAGTGAGTAGCTGAGTGAGTGAGTCTGTGACTGTGAGTGAATGAGTGAGTGAGTGGCTGAGTGAGTGAGTCTGTGACTGGGTGAGTGAATGAGTGAGTGAGTGAATGAGTGAGTGGGTGAGTCTGTGACTGAGTGAGTGAGTGAATGAGTAAGTGAATGAGTGAGTGAGTCACTGAGTGAATGAGTGAGTGAGTGAATGAGTGAGTCTATGGTTGAGTGAGTGAATAAGTGACCGAGTGAGTGGACGAGTGATTAGTGAATGAGTGACTGAGTGAGTCTGTGATTGAGTGAATGAGGGGCTGAGTGGCTGAGTGAGCGAGTCTGTGACTGAGTGAGTGAATGAGTGAGTCTGATTGAGCAAATGAGTGACTGAGTGAGTGAATGAATGAGCGAGTGGGTAAGTGAGTGAGTCGGTGATTGAGTGACTGAGTGAGTGACTGAGTGAGTGACTGAGTGGGTGAGTGAGTGAGTCTGTGATTGACTGAGTGGTTAAATGAATAAGTGAGTCTGTGACTGAGTAAGTGAATGAGTGACTGAGAGAATGAGTGAGTGAGTGAATGAGTCTGTGATTGAGCAAGTGAATGAGTGAGTGGGTGAGTGAGTGAGTCTGTGACTGGGTGAGTGGGTGAATGAATGAGTGAGGGCAGAGGGAGCCTGTGCCCCAGGTGTCATTGCCCCTCTTCACAGATGATGGATGATGAGGCTAAAATTCTGTATTGCTGGTGGAGGGCCTGCTGCTGAAGGGAACAATGCCTGTCTGTATTCAGGAGAGAGCAATGTCAGGCCTGAGACCTCCTTTCCAAGGAGCTTACAAATGGTCTATTCACAAAAGCCGAAATCAACACTCCACCTTGAAAGGGAGAGCTCTTTAACTAGGGTCAAAATGATTGATGCTGGTGCCCCTGTGTTTGAAATCTCAATAGACTACAGGGGAGTCCCAGCTGGCTCCTGCCACATGGCACATATGTGGGGTCTGTGCCACTCAAACCCATTTATGGATTTCCCCTGTCCACCTGGGGCCACTTGGGTAGACCTGGTCCCTGGAGAAGGTGAGGCAAATGGGGATCCTGGTGCCAGGCAGGTTGGGAGGAAGGTTGGGAACCGAACGGGGCCAAGTCTGGATGGGAAACTGTCAGTGGTGGGGAGAGGCCATGGGGGACTGGGCACTGTGCCTGAGACATCTCAACCACTTGCAAGCAGGCTATGTGGGTGCTCCTGCCCCCAACGCTGAGTGGCCACTGATACCAGGAAGTGACTTCCTCATCTTGAGGCTCAGTTTGCTCTTGGGCAGTGTCCATGAGAGGGACTGGTGTGGTAAATGGATAAGCGGCTTTAACAGTCATATTAGTTGGAATGTGTGTGATAACAAACATGACCAGCCACCAAATCCAGGAGTTCCCAGGGAGTCTTGCTTTGCAGAAGGCTAAAGCAGGTGGAAGTTTTCAGTGTGAAGAAAGTGGCAGGTAGATGACAGTTCAGTGGGCACATGGAGATGGTGAAATCTGGGAGATGGGATGCGGTGCTTGGTTTGAGAAACCCTGGACCAGGTCCTCACTAAGGTTCCTTTCATCAAAAAAAAAAAAGAAAAAAAAAAAATCCGTACTCCCCTCCTGGGAGCCAGGCCCAACACTGGGCATATATTGAATATGACACCAAAATTGGACTCCATCCCTGCCTTCCCTGGAGGACCAGCGTATGAAGCCGTGACCCTAGGACATGTCTTCTGTCCCGTCTCAGGCCTCATTCCAGGTGCTTCATAGGCTTGGCCCCTCACAGAACCCCTGTGAGCCAGGTGGTGAATGGATGGGTGGATGTCCCTCAAAGGCGAGGCTTTCAGACTTGCCAACCCTGAGCAGCAGCCTTTGCCCTGTCATTGCTGCCTCTGCAGCACTGAGAGGACGAGTACTGCATAAATTCAAGGCAGAATTGGTGCCAGAGTACTTACTGGAAAAGCCAGGAGAGAGTGTCCAAGAGGGCAAGCGAGGCTTTCCACCTCCAGCCAGCCCCATGCAGGTGGGCAGTCTGTGAGAGCACAGGGAAGAGCCTTGGACAAAGGGGCCAGGGCACATGTAGACTCCAGCTGAGACCCTGGACTGAGGGTGGGGCAGCTGTACTTCTCCCCCCCACCACTGTCCCTTCACTGTATTATTTGGTACGCAATGCTGTGCATAGCTAGGAAACAACCTGTGTGATGAAAAGATGTTGCTTTGGAAATGACAGAACCTGGGTAGTGGATCTTGCTCTACTAGCTTTATGAGCTTTGATCTGTTTTCACCTGTCTGGGCCTTGGTTTCCTCGTCTGTAAAATGGGTATAATCAAACCATTCGGGATCATTCAAGATAAGTATGATAAGGCAACTAGAGCACCTAGGACGTTCCCTGTACCTGAGCACCTGCCACCAAATGGAGGTATTAAATGAGTTCAAGTGACATGCTGTGTGCAGCACAGACTCAGGACCTGGCTTTTGCCTCTCAAGACAGAAGCTTCCTCCCTCTCCTCCTGCCCAGTTAAAGACTTCGCCCAGCAGGGCAATGAAACGGGGAGGGGAGTCAGACAGGGATGAGGTGTGGGTGGATTGAGGGTGGAGTGGGAGAACCACAGCCCCCGCCTGAGTGTCCTGACCCAGGAGCCCACAGGGCAGCTACAGTGTCTCCTTTATCTCTGTCCCCAAGGCCCGCAGCGGGCCTTGGACACCGTAGGTTTGTCCCACTGGGCTCTTAGAGATATCTATGGAACTCAGCCACTTGGCAAAACTCCTGCATTTCCTTCACGGCTTCTCTGAAGCTGGGACCACCCCCAAAGGAGGCAGAGTCCCATAACAGATGGGACATCTAGACTCGTGGTATTAGGAGAAGGCCTTGGTTGTGAGCAGGGCAGTGTGTGCGGTCTGAGGAGAGCATGCATTTTGGGATCCAGCAGACCTGGGCAGGAGCCTGAGACTGCCCTGGTCTGAGCCATGTTGCCTCAGGCAAGTCACAGACCCGTTCTGTCCCTAGTGGGGTCACCTATGAATGCAGATGAAGGCACCTACCTCACAATGTACAGTCCAGGCCCATGTGTGGGGACAGCCTGGTGCAAACTGTCGAGTGATGGGGTAGGGGGTGCATTCCTCTTGCTGGAGCCTTCGCCACCTCACGAAAGGATTCAGGCAAATCCCTGGAGGCAGCACCAGGGGGAGGGCTGATGGCTGAGAGAGCAATCTTCCCAAGGCCACACTTGACCAGGTCATGGGGAGCAGGAGACGGAGCAACAGCTCAGGTGAGCCTGGCTTGAATCACAGGTCAGCCCTTAGCACTGTATGGCTCTGGGAGAGTCATTTTGCTTCTCTGAGCCACAGTTTCCATATTTATAAAACTAGGATAGGATGGGAGTCCCAGGCCTGCCTGCCTCCTGTAGTCATTTTAGATGATCAAAATAAAACAAAACAAACAAAAATGAAAAAGCAACGTGAAAGTCTTTTATGAAGAAGAAAGTCTTTTACAAACACTCCCATGGCAGGAAGAAACCCAACCCCCTCAGCTCACGTAAGGAAGATGCAGAGACTCCAACCCCCTCAGCTCACTCAAGGAAAACGCAGAGACTCCAACCCCCTCAGCTCACTCAAGGAAAACGCAGAGACTCCAAGCACCTCAGGAGCAGGTGGGGTCCTGGGGTGGTGATGCCCTCCGGACCCACAGAGCAAGGGCGGCTTCAGAACCAGGGAGGCCACGTGGCTGCAGGGAGTGTGGGGAGCAGCTGGGGGACGGGCATGGTGACTCCATTCCCGACCCCAGCCTCAGCTCTTCTTTTCCAGGTCTGTGTCTGGGGTGGACGCTGACCCTGACTTGGTCCACGTGGAAGCCCAAGACCTCGGTGGAGGTAAGCCGGGCAGTGCACAGGCACCGGGTATCCCTGAGTCACCTCGCACCCGACACAGCTCGGCTGCACGTGTGTTCAGTCGCTTGTCCGCAATGGCTGGCCCTACACAGCCGGCCTCACTGTGTCTCGATGTGGCATGATTTTAAATGTGCTTGTTTTCCAGCTGGGGAGGAATCGAAGTCAGGGAGCTCCACTCCAGTGGAAAAGTCTATTAAGGGGGCGATTTGTTCTGGCTCCTGAGCATTGAGTGTTTCCCACTCACTCAGCCCACCACCCCTGGCATGTGCTAAGTGTGGAGGTGGGGGGCGGGGGTGGGGGCACGGGTGTGCACACCGGACCCAGCCAACTTCCTGCCCAGGGCCGTACATGCTGTGTGACAGGAGGGTGCTCTGAGGAGGGCAGAGCAGCTGAATCCCCACAGAGACATCCTCTGTGCAGGATCACCTGAGCCAGGATGTGTCCCCATTAAAACAGAAATGCCGGCATCAGCTCCCAGCCCTGCCGCTGGCCAACCTCGGGGCCCGAGGCCAGTCACCCCAGTCTCCTGGCCTGTGAAATGGATAGTGATATGAAATAAGTGAATGCAGAGTCCTCAACGCGGGGTCATCATGGCCAAGCTTTCGGGGGCAGGGTCAGTTGCTAGGTGTGGCTCCCCACCCTCCCCCCCCTCCCCCACCCCCACCCTGCCACACTTGGGCAGGCGGGGCCAGTGCTATTACCGTTCTGTGTTGATAACCAGGGCAACAGCTCAGGGGCAGTCCAGGTTTGCCTGGGGTCACAAGGTCCCAGCTGGTGCACCTCTCACCACCCCTGCTGGGAATGCTCCTCCCTTTCTGAATTTCTTACCTTTGACCTCAGGCACCCTGCCAGCCACCTCTGCTGGGCTCCACCATCCCAGCTCTGCACTCTCCAGGGCCTGCAACTCCTTGAGTACCAGTGGGGGCTACTGATCACCTGTGTCCCCAGTAAGGCTGCTGAATGAATAAGCACCTAGCCAGATGCCAGGGTTGCCCCTGAGTAGCCTACTGGGCAAAACATTGCAAAATAACATGTGCTACAGAGAGAAAGATTCACTGTCCGCATCACACCACGTTGTCAGGGTTAGCTGTCTGCCCTTTCCAGAGCTTCAGCTGGCCCTGGCTCATGAGCACCCACTGTCCACAGCTCTTTTCAACTCCATATTCACCAATTTCATCTAGGTGGCTCCTGCATGGCCATGTGGGGTTGTTTATACCACAGAAATTGGCAAGCACTATCATCAGGGCTACTATACCCAGCGCACAACCCATCAGCCTGAGAGGTGGCCCTGGTCTGTTGTGTTGGCTCCAGGCCTGGAACACTGAGAGCCTGACCATGGTGAGATGGATGAATGAGTGAGTGATTGAGGGAATGAATGAATGAATAGGTGAGTGAGTGAGTGAGTGAGTGAGCGAGTGAGTGGATGAGTGAGTGGGTGAATGAGTGAATAGGTGTGTGAGTGAAGGAATGATTGAGTGAAAGAGTGGGTGAATGAGTGAGTGAGTGAGTGAATGAGTAAGTGAATGAGAGAATGAGTGAGTGGGTGAATAAGTGAGTGAGTAATTGAAAGAGTGAGTGAGTGAATGAGTGATGAGTGAATGAGTGAGTGAGTGAAGAGTGAATGAGTGAGTGAATGAGTGAGTGAAGAGTGAATAAGTGAGTGAGTGAAGAGTGAATAAGTGAGTGAGTGAATGAATAAGTGAGTGAGTGAATGAGTGACTGAGTGAATGAATGAGTGAGTGAGTGATTGAGTGAGTGAGTGAGTGAGTCAGTCAGTCAGTAGACTGTTGACTGATCCTGCCCCTGAGCTAGTCATTTCACTGCATCTCCAGCCAGGCAGCCCCACTGCAGGAAGTTCAGTGGTTCAGTGTTGAGTGCCGGGCACACCAGTCAGTTTCAAGGGAACATGGATGTGGCTCAGGAGGGCTTGGCAGTGGCCTGGTGCTGCTGCCCACGTACCCTCTGTGTACACTGCCTTCTGCCTCCTCTGAACAGACCGGGCAGGTGGGCCCACCCCATTGTTCAGTGCAGAAACCTGAGGCTGAGCTTAGGGGTGGGCTTTTCTGGTTTCTAAACGTCTTCCCTTAACCATTCTCCATGCTGCCGGGTCACCCAAGGCTGGGGGCAGGAGGAGGAGGAAAAGGAAGAGGAGGAAGAGGAGGAGGAGGAGGCACCCTTCCCTTGGTCCCCTTGGATAAATCTTCCTCCTGGCTCACAAGCTGGAACGCAGAGCTTCCTGAGGCCTCCAGGATCTAGCCCCTCCACATAAATTTGCCCCGGGGAAACAGAAGAACTTCAAATTAGCAGCTCCCTGACAAAGCATGCATTCAGTATTGCTCAACCATAAATATTTGGAAAAGGGTAGAAGCAGTTGCTTAAAATTTGGGGGAAAAGAACCCTTGAGCCCCACCCGCCCCCATCCCTGCTTAGGTGTGAGAGACTTCAGGAGGGTATGGGGGCCGTGCATGTCTGGGTGTGGCGAGGTACCCACCGTCGCCTGTGCTGACCCCTCCTGCAGGGGATGGCAGGCTCCAGAGTAGCACGAACACCTTCCTGAGGGTTGAAGGAGCTCGTGTCAGAGTGCAGGTGGCCCACAGTGAGCGAGGATGACACCCTCAGCCGCAGGTGTCATCACGGTGGCCTTTAGAATTCAAGCCCATGAAGCCACACCACAGCGGTATTGGAGGAAGATGGAGTCCAGCACATGTCTCGGGCCGTCTCTGGCTCCGGCTGGAGTCTGACCGCCTGGGTCGGCGCCTCTCTCCTGTAGATTTTCGGTACGTCACCTGCGCAATCCACAATTGCTCCGAGAAGATGCTGACAGCCCCATTCGCAGGCCCCATTGACCACGGGTCTCTGACCGTGCAGGACGATTACATCTTCTTTAAGGTAAGGTTGCTTCTGGGGCTTTTGGAAATTGGCAACAGGTGACGTGGCGGATGACCCGTTCGCGGCAAAAATGGCATCGCTCAGAAAAGAGGCAATAAAACGGGTATTTCACTCTCAAATGCTACTTCGCAGGTCACGGTTTCTGACCGTGGCTGTGGCTGCAGCCATCCACAGAAGCCCTCGCAAGCCCAGAACTGTGGCTCAGGGACACTGAGGCTCCACCTCCCTTCTGGCCACCACGAACCTCCCAGCCACTCGGGGTCCCCAAACCTAAGCCCATTTAGCCCCATTTGGCTTTATCAGTGACTTTGGAACTGACCAGGACTGCTTCTGGTCCCGGCTCTTGGCCACCAGGCACCGGCTATCCACAGCCCTGTGACCAGGACTCTGCTGCCTGTGCCCTCAGGTCACAAGTGGGCCCACCCTCAGCAGCCATGTGGTCCCAGCTAATTCAGAAACTCTAGCACACAACCAATCCATCCAGCTTTTCTTCACCTTCATGGATGGGGAGCTCAGCCCTCCCGAAACAGCCTAGCCCTCTGCTGAGTAGCCCGTCACTGGCCTGTTTCTTCTGGCCCTGAGACAGAGTCTGCGTCATCGGACTCCCATCCACTGGGTTCTGTTCTGCCCTCTGGGACCCTGTAAAACAAATCCAAAGTTTCCCCCAAGGAAGCCCCTTGAGAGCAGCTGCTGGGTGCCCTCTCCCCAGAAGGGCCTCCGTGCTTCCCAGCCTCCTCCTTTCCATGTCTCAGCCACACTTGGTCACCCCAGCAGCCCACTCTACACTCAGTCTGTGCCAAGGGCCACCAAGGAGTTAGGCGCTAGGGCAGGCAGTGGGCATCCCATCCCCCACTGTTAAAGCAGGCCAGACAGGAGGCTGCTGCTGCCACTGATCCTAACCTCCAGCCCTGCCCAGTCTCCACTGCTCTCTGCTGAGCCCCAGCCCCTGGCTTTTGATCCTCAGTCCATGCATTTGCTCGTACTGTTCCCTGTGCTGTGCCTCGCTTCTCCACTGGCTGATTCCTGCTCCTTCTCAAAGACTCAATCATGCACTTCCTCCTCCAGGAAGTCTTCCCTGACTTCTGCCTCCAATTCAGGGTCACTGGTGCCTCCTCTGAAGACCCCCAGCCCTGTGCCTTCCTCCATCACAGTCCAGGCCCCACTGTGTCATTCCGTACCATTTACTCCTTTTGTCCCTACACCTGACTCAGGCAAGCTGAGGCTGGGCTCTAGGTCTGAACCCCCCACCTGCTTTCCCAGCTCCTAGCATTGCATTTCTGCAGATGTCCACTAAGTACCAGAGCAAAGACAGTGTCAGCTCTCTGGGCAACCATCTCCCATGTTGAGTGGTTTCTAAACGTTAGACAGGCTCGCCTGTCAAAGCCCTGCAGCCTAAGACCCCCGGAGCTCACCTATGGCCGAGCAGGCTGGGTTATCACTCAGTGCAGCAAGAGGGAACACATGCCCTGGGGAACCTGGGCATCTCAGAGAGGTTAGGAGGGCCTGATTGTCAGGTGTGGGCTGCAGGAGGTGATTTGGGGGGCTTGCGAGGAAACCGGGTGTGACTCTGGATTGAGGGATGTGAGGAGGTGAGGTCCTGCTAGGATTGGGCATCTCAATCAATCTTCTCTAAAGGGAGGGGCGATTCAGGGGAGGCAGGAGACTCAGGGGGAGGCAGGAGCCGGGCAGTAAAGCAGCAGCCCTTGCTCATCTCAGCCAGGGTGGGTGTCTGGGCATCTTGGGGGTTTGAACGACGTCCACGTCTGGTCTGTGTTCAGACCCGATCGCAGGGTGGTCTCGTTCTGCACAAGGTCACAGACTTAGCTTGTCTGGTGTCGGTGCTCGCGACATTGTTTGTGAGGGGCAGGAGAAGGTGGGGGCCACCGACTCCATCCAGTTTCTATCCTGGTTTCCGTCATTCTCAACAACTGCAGAGGAAAGCTCTCCCTACCCCAGCCCAGGCCTCCCCTGCCCTCTCCCTTCCTCCCTCCTCCCACCCTGGTCCTCAGAGGATCTGGGAGCCTGTGCTGGGATGGGAGAAACCTCAGCCCTTCCAGCCCCACCTCACCACCAACAAGGTGGCGGTGCTGGTGGCTCAGGAAGCTGCACCTCCTGTTCTGTGGCAGTGAGGATATGTGGCCTCTGTAATCAGAGACCTGCCACAGTCCTGTCCTGACGGGCCTTTCTGTCTCTGGGAACAGATGCCCATGGCCACAGTTCATGGGGTTGATTGTTATGAGGTCAAATGAGCTGCCTGGGAAAAGCACTCGAGATGGTGCCGGCTTTGTTTGTCATGCCTCGAGGTTCAGTGATCACCTTTGGTAACGAGCGCATCTTTGGCCTGTCTCCTTCTCCATCGGAACTTTCTCCACCTTGTTCCATAAGTTGGATGCAGAGCAGCAAGGTGCTGAGAGAGCATAGGGAAAGAAGTTAGTTCTGACTGAAGGAAGCAGAAGACAACTTCCCAGAGGAGGGGTGTTAATTTGGGGCTTTGAAGGATGAATAGGAGTCTGTTCATTTCAAGCAGAACAGGTAGAAGGAAAGTAAAAGGGCATTTTCACTTGCTGAATATAACATGTAGTTTTTCATTCATGAGACTGTGGCTGGAGAGGGAATCAAGCCTCTCAAAAATGTGTTTCTTCCCCCGGTTAGGCAACATCAGCAAACCAGACAAAATACTACGTCTCTTATCGTCGAAATGAATTTGTCCTGATGAAGCTGCCGAAGTATGCATTGCCAAAGGTAAGGTGCTCCCCATTCCGCCTGGTCCTGTGGCCAGACCCTAAGCTTATCCTGACTCATGGGGCAACAGGACTCACACACAGGTGCTTGGCGGTCCCAGGTCAGGATGGACAAGAACAGTGTGGCCACGCTTCGTCCAGCTGCTCACCCCTCACACCCTCCATTCCAGCCCACCCAGCCCTTCCAGACTCAGCTGTGCCCAGCTTCATCCTAGGCCTCTGCCAGGCTCTTCCCTCTGCCTGGTTCATCTTTCCCCGGAACCCTTGCACATGTGGTATTTGAGGAGAAATATCACTTGCTAAAGGCCCCCCAGGCGGGCCCAGTCCTCTGTTTTCTGGTCCCATCCCTCTCTTCTCCTTGCTGGTGCCCAGGGTGCCAGGGACCCCTCCCTCCAGTGTCCATCTCCTGCTCTCCTCTGATATTGCTGGGGTGGGGATGATCTCTGCTGTACTCACCTCTGCATTCCAGCCACCTAGTATGCTGCCTGGCATATAGTAGGTGCTCAGTTATTGCTATTGCCTTTCCCTTGCCTTAGAAGGCGAAGAAGGGGGACCAGGGGAGCTGGGGATTGCCCAACTCTGCCCCTGCCCCTGCCTTGGGGCCTCTCTCCACCCTATTAATATATTATTCCCACCTAACAGAGGAGGTGATGGAAGTTCAGAGAGACACTAACCTGTCTGAGATCACACATCTAGTTAGAAACAAAGGCAGATCTCAAACTGAGGTCCAGGTGAGTCAGCCCAGCCTCATGCCACACCTCCCTCGTGAGGACATTGAGATGACACCTTCTGAAGATCTCTGTCCCACATGCATAGTTGAGAAACAGATGAAGCTTCCCTTCCTCCACATTTATTTACTGAGCACCAAATATAAACCAGAATGTGTGCTAGGAGGCCATGCTGTGAATCAGAAGCCCCAGGTTCCTGCTCCTGTGGGCTTTACAGACGGGGAACAGGCAGGAGATCCAGTAGACAGACAAATGCATAAAATAATTGCAAGTTGTGGTTTCTGCTAAGAAGGGAACAGGAGGGAGAGACACAGAGTGATGGAGGGCGTGTGTATGAGTGTGTATGTGTGTGTGTGCTCGAGTGCTTGTGTGTGTGGCTGATTTAGGCCAGGCAGCTATGGAGGCCCCTCTGGGGCTGGGATGGGGAGGGACTCTTTATCCAAAGCCCCAAGGCAGCTCCAAGAAGAGCAAGGGAGAAAATGGTTCGGGTGGAGGGCAGAGCAGGCGCTAAGACCCTGAGGTAGAGAGTGAGAGTGGAGTGGGAGGGGCCAGCAGCTCTGGGCCCTCCAAACCCAGGCTGTGGCTTAATGTAAAGTGCTTGCACATGGGAGCTTCTGCACTGGGCACCCTCAGACCTCTCCTGAGCCAGAAATGGGAAAAGTCTAGGAGGCCTTTTAAAACCTTCGCTTTAAAAACAAGAAAAAAATAAAAGGAAAAAAGGAGTGAGCTTAATAGACTGAACTCCAGGCTTGGCTGAGTATGTAAATTAAAAGCTAATGGTTTCATTTCAGGCAAAGGCAGTAGGTGTCTGTCCCTCTGAGGTGAGGGACCTTTTCAGCATCTGGGAAGCCTTCCCTCGACCTTTGGGGGCTACAGCATTAGAAGCTCCTGTGTCCTGGGCTCTTTGTCCTGGTGTAGGGGAGAGGAAAGTGCACAGCCGAGAATTAGGCCCATACAGGGACCCTCTCTGCTCCCCTCTAGCATTGGAGGCTGGGGTAGCTGGGCCAGCAGTCAGCCTGCTGCCAAGGGTGCTCTAAGGAGCCTATGGCTATAAGTCATGACCTCTGTGACCTTGAGCGATGGCTCCCTGGGCGTCTGCTCCCTGGACCTGCAGATGCAATGTCAGTGAGATTTGCAGGAAGCACCAGGTCATGTCTCCCGCTGTGGACCCTTGACAGTGTGCATTTTACACTGGTTTTCTTCTTCTTGCATTTCCATGGAAATTGGAGGTCATTGAAAAGACTCAAGAGACTCTCACAGCAGTGACAGACACACACCCAGCCTCAGGTCATTCAGTTTCAAGGGCATACCAGGGAGCCATCCAGGGCAGGTGGCATGTGCTGTGACTATCGATGTCCTCCCTCAGGGGTCCATGCACAGGACCCAGTGACCAGCAGTTGAAGATGATGGTCACTTCCTCATCAAGAAGTGGGCAAGCTGGGCTGCTGTCAGGAGAATGGGGCCCCCAGAGCCCTACGGGGTCTTCAATACCACATCTCATGTTGCTGAGACCTTTGCCCAGCCAGCCAGCTAGCCTGCTTCCTCTCCACCCAGGTCAGGACAGCAGCCTGCCCAGTGTTTCCCACCAACAACTTATAGAAGTGGCTAATTGAATTTCCTCATCAGATGTTGTTGTTTTATGGTGAATTTGTAACTTGCCTGTTTCCTCTTCCCACAGACTCAACTCTCTCTTTTTTTTCTTTTTATATTTTTAATTGCTTAATTAACATCATGAAAATCATAGACATTGGAGCAGGGGACTCACCCGCAAACCTCTCACCTCATCCACCCAATGTCTTCTCCCCCAGTTCTTGGTCTCCCGGCATTCCTCAGCCATATGCAAAAGGGCTTTTACGTAGCTGAATTATGAGCAGTCCTGGGTCTCCAGCCTGCTTTCACAGGACACTATAGCATGAGACTGTTTCTTGAATGATGCGTGATATCTACTTTAAATGACTGTGAAGCTTTTTATTGAGGAGAGTGTACCTTGTTGAGCTAAGCCAGAGTCTTGTTGCTTGGACATTTGGGTTGTTTCCATTTTTTTATAATTATAAACAGTGCTGCAATGAATCTATGTGTGCCCACAGGTATTTCTTTTTAATTTTCTCATGTTAAAGTCTAAGAAGAACAACTTCAGAACAAAGGATATAAATATTTGTGTAGCTTAGTTGCTTGGGCAAGCTGGGCTGCTGTCACAAACAAAGTTGGAATAGATCAGCTTCAACATAGCTTTGCCATGTTTTTCTATTTTCCTTCTGTGTTAAAGGGTATAAATGATACCGTCCTGCTGTTTTAATTTACCTGTCTGTGAAAACTATAAAGGGTGGGCCGTTTTTATATTTGTCAATATCTTTTGCTTATTTACTTGTCATCATTTTTTTTAAATATTCATTTTCCCTAACAGAGGTAAACAATAGGCCAAAGCTATAAATAGAGAAAAGAGAAGAAAAATCCAAATAACTATCAATTATATAAAAGCATTCACAAGAATGGGTAAATGCAAATTTAAAGTGAAATATTCCTGTATTTGCCATAAATGTATTTAAAGTAAAATAAAATTTCTAAGCCGTATGAATAAAGAAAGAAGTGACATCAGGATCAGGTAAGATGGCAGAGCAGGATGCCCCAGAATCCATCTTCCCACCTAGAAGGCAACGACACGGGCAGAACCCATCCAGTGTAACTGCTTTGGAATTCTCAAGTCTATTTGAGAGCTTGCAGTTTCCAGGGCAAGGCATGGATGGCATATCAAAGTCGATTTGGATAATGTCAGCTCTTAGCCTGGTAGAGGCTTCCCATCCCCCACCCCGGCCCCATGGCAGGCAAATGTGCGTGTGTCCCTAGAGCAGCGTGCACAGAGCTTGAAGGAGCGGGAGGGTGCAGGGGTGCCATAAGGACCTTGTCTTCCAAACACTGAGGATCTGTGCTCTGATTACTGACTGCTTCTGATGATAGACATGCAGATACCCAGACAAGCAGTCATTATTGCAACCACCATGAGTTGAAACAGCTTCCAGGAGATTTAAAGGGTTACAGCCTATTTTCCTCTCTTTTATTTTTCCCCCTTTTCCCTTTTGGGAGCCAGACATTCAAAAGCAACTGTATATATGGGACAATGTAGAAAATCAGCAGGCATGCCCAGGGAAAAGCAGAGGCTCAGAAAAGGCCTAGGAAGATGTTAAGCTTACATGTAAGGCTGATTCTTGGTAAAGAGATAGCCAACAACCATCAAAAAATAAGAACAAAACATGGCAAGCTCTATGGAAAGGGGACAAGCTAATTTCCAGAGTTACCATATTATTAATGTCCAATCTAACTGGACATTAGACTCAACTGTCCAGTTTTTGACATAAAAAAGTTACGAGGCATACAAAGAAACAGGAAAGTATGAGCATTCAAAAGAAAAAAAAAATAAATTAACATAAACCTTCCCTGAGAAAGACCAGATGGCAGATCTACTAGACAAAGACTTCAATATGAGTGTCTTACAGAGGCTCAAAGAACTGAAAGGAAAAATAGAGAAAAACAAGAAAATGATGTATGGACAAAATGGAAATAGCAATAAAGAGATAGAAAAAATAAAAAGGAACCAAAAGAAATTCTGGAGCTAAAAAGAATAATTGAAAAGAAAAATTTACTAGAGGGATTCGAAAGCAGAATTGAAAGGCAGAAGAAGGAATCTGAGAACTTAAAGATAAGACAATTAAAACAATATCAAGCTGAGGAGCAGAAAGAATAAGGATTGAAAGTGAACGCAGTCTATGGGAGCTTTTGGACATCATCAAGCAGACCAACATATGATTGTGGGAGTCCCAGAAGGAACAGAAGAGAGATAAAGGCAGAGAGACTATTTGAAGAAATAATGGCCCAAAACTCCCCCATCAATTTATATTGATGAAAGACATGAATATAAGTATCTAAAATTTCAACAAACTCTAAGAATGATAAACACAAAGAGATCCACACCAAGACACATAACCAAACTGTCAAAAGACAGAAACTTTTTTTTTTTTTTTTTTTTGAGATAGAATCTCCCTCTGTCACCCAGGCTGGAGTTCAGTGGTACAATCTCAGCTCACTGCAACCTCCACCTCCTGGGTTCAAGCAATTCTCCTGCCTCAGCCTCCTGAGTAGTTGGGATTACAGGTGCCTGCCACCATACCCAGCTAATTTTGTATTTTTAATAGAGACAGGGTTTCACCATGTTGGCTAGGCTGGTCTAGAACTCCTGACCTCAAGTGATCCACCTGCCTCAGCCTCCCAAAGTGCTGGGACTACAGCCGTGATCCACCATGCCTGGCAAAAAGTCAGAAACTCTTAAGAGAGAATCTTGAAAGCAGCAAGAGAGAAATGACTTATTACATACAAGCAATAATCAATATGATCATCAACAGATGTCTCATCAGGAACCCCGGAGTTCAGAAGGCAGCGAGCTGATACATTCAAAGCGCTGAAAGAATTTGATGAAGGTGTTGGTTCATTAGACTCTTTCATGAATTTTATATAAACATCTATGAAGAAATTTCCTCTGTCATGTCTATTAAAAATGTTTTTAAACTTTTCCAAAATTACTCATTTAAAATGCATTCACTACAACTAATGGAAGAATACATCTATTTACCTTATAATACAACATAATAAACAATACTATGTATATGTGTAGATACCCTTTCTACCTGCTTGCCTCTCTAGTCCTCCCTTCCCTGACAGTCTCACTTCCTCACTCCTCAAGGAGGTATTGTTGAAAGTCCTGGATACCCCTCATATCCATTCTGCCCCTTCGTCTTAGTTCAACAAACCCCAGACTTTGGCTAGTACATTGCTTCCCAGCTAAAAGACTGCATTGCCCAGCTTTCTTTGCAACTACATGTGGTCATGCTTGTAAAATCTAGCCAGTGAGATGCTAGTGGAATTGTCCTACGTGGCTTCTTAGAGCTCTCTAATAAAGAGAGCTTTTTCCTGTTTCTGTTACTCACAAGCAAACCTAATTCTACCTAATAACAAATATTGGCAACGTTGGTGTTTCCTTCCGCATATTTCTCCAGGTCATACAAATATGTACAATCACATATACTATATGTATATTTGAATGTGTCTTACATCCTTCATGTAAAAATATCAAAATGTCTCTGCTTCTACCTTTTCTCAAAGAAGACAGTAAATGCAACATGAAGCGAAAATTGCCTGTTATTTATAACTCTAATCAGCAAATATTTTTAAAAGACCATTCTCAATATTGGAATACATAAAACGAAATACGTGCCCTCTACTACTGCTGGTGGGGGAGATACTAATGTAAATTTTCAGGACAGCAAATTAACAGCAGATAACAAGAGCTTTCGAAATGTTGCGATGTGGCAATTTCCCTTCTTAGGAGTTTATGTCATGGAAATAACCAGAGAGCCAGAGATCTGTGTCTAGAAATGTTCATGACCATCTCGCAGTTATGTTGAGAACGCTGACGGTTTCCCCGTAGGGAAGCAGCTCAGTGGAATATGGCCCGTCCACAAAATGGAATATCATGCAGTCATTAAAAGTGCTGTGTATAGATCACTTTAATGGCAGAGAAAATGCTCTGCCTGTGATGTAAAGGGGCAGACTATAAACTACACATGAAAAAAATATGTGCACCACACTTGAGAGAAAGCCCAAACGTAAACATTTGAAAACGCTGGTGCGAGGTCTCTCTAGGGGGCACCAGTCATAACCTCGAGTCACTTTATGCATTTTTCTTTGTTTCCTAGATTGTAGAACACATTTACCCAATGCATTTACCCAGGTTATGTAAACATTTACCCAGGGGCATAGGAGGCACCATGTGACTTGCTGCAATCGCTGTAAATACGGCATCCTGACGACATGGTTGACGCCAAGCCCCCGAGCTCAAAGCACCCATAATCTCAGTCCCCCCACCACCCCTGCAGGAGTCTCACATCCTCCCTGACAATCTGACTGCACGGTCTAATTCCCTGCCACGGCCCAGGCTGGTGGACAAACCTTCCCCTAGTCAGGCAGCAGAATGACCAACGCCCGGATGACAGAGTGCATTTTGGCCCATGGCGCTGAGCAGGGAGGAAGGGGGAGCTGAGGTGAGGAGGGCAGAACAGCCACAAGCCTGCTGCCTCCGGGCACTTCACATGCCTCCGTGGGCTCTGCATCACCCATGGTCCCACTTCACACATGGGGACGGCCAGGCTCTGGCACCCTGCCCCATCATCCTTCCCTGGTTCTGTGTGTCTCGGTGCCAGTCATTTCTGTGTGTTGAATTTCGGTCCATAGACACAGGACTGTGGCTCCTGCCACTGTGGGGTCCTCTCTGCCTGTGGGCTGCATGGTAGCTCCAAAATAGCAACACTCGGCCGGGCGCGGTGGCTCACGCCTGTAATCCCAGCACTTTGGGAGGAAGGCGGATCACGAGTTCAGGAGATTGAGACCATCCTGGCTAACACAGTGAAACCCCGTCTCTACTAAAAATACAAAAAATTAGCTGGGCATAGTGGCAGGCGCCTGTAATCCCAGCTACTCGGGAGGCTGAGGCAGGAGAATGGTGTGAACCCGGGGGGGCAGAGCTTGCAGTGAGCTGAGATTGCGCCATTGCACTCCAGCCTGGGCGACAGAGCGAGACTCTGTCTCAAAATAAAAAAAAAAAAAAAAAAAAAAAAAAAGCAACCCTCTCCTTTTCTGCACAGCCCTTGGGGCTGCATAGCACAGGGAACAGGCAGGGCAGTGAGGGGAAGGGGCCGGGCCTCAGCGTTCAGGAGTCCAGCCCGACCCTGAGCCACCTGCCAGGGCAGCTTCTTCCTCATTCTCCACTGAAAACTGAGCTCCACTGGACAGAATCGGGATTTGATCTGTTATTGTACAGAAAAAAAAAAAAAAAGCCCTTCCCTAGGCCCTCCTATCAGATGAGAACATGCGAAGGGAGCCATCCCCAAGCATCCCAGCCACAGCTACACCGTAATTGGGAGGGGCGGCTCCGCAGGTGGGGCCAGCCGGACCCTCCTCTGCCACCTGTCCTCTGCCCCTGGACCTTGGCACTGTGTTCTCAGAGGGTGATGAAGCTCCAGAGTGAGAGAAGGCAAAGGAACAGAGGTGGGAGGGAAGCTGGTTAGGGCTTCAATATGGGCCTGTCTGGACCCTTTTACTCTTGCCTCCCACATAGCATTTGTTGCTGGCTGGGCAAGAAAAGAAAACAAGAAACTGAGGTATTCCCAGTTTTCCTTTTTATTCTTTTGGGTTTTGGCTGCTTCCTGAATTTAAAAACCTGGGGCTGAACCCGAAGCGCTGAGCCCACTCCAGAGCTGCCCAACACACCTGCTTCTGAGTGGAAACCGAGGCTGGGGACTTTGCCCTGGCTGCCCTTCAACCTCTGAGACTAGCTTACAGGGTCCTGGTGGGGCTCCTTCTCTGCCTCCCCCTCCAGACTGTGCCCCCAGGGCTCAGGGCTGGCAGGGACCGGCACAGGGGGACTGGAAAGAAGTCTGGCACATGTACAGGTGGGGATATTGTCCCCAGACAATGAAGCTTGAGTGGATGAATCCACGGTGCCTCCCTGCAGGTCGCAGAGGACAGGGCCACACCTGGCTCCCCACTGCACTCAGGGCCTTTCTAGGCATCCAGTGGCTGGAAAGTTTCTGGCATGGAGTTGGTACTTCCCAAATGTGTCTTGAATGAAGGAGGGAGCAGAGACTCACCTGGGCTGTGGATAGGAGGAGAGGGAGGGGCTCCAGCCCTCACCCCCTGGAATCAACCATCTGGGGGTGCATAGAGGAAGAACTCCGCCTCCCCACTGTTGGACGGATGGATGGACGGCCTGATGTGGGACCAGGAGGAGGAGGTGTCCCCAGGCCACCCTCCCATAACCCGGCGTAGAGCATCCCAACGCCATCCCCATTTTAGAGATGGGGAAATGGAGGCCCAAGGAGGTGAGGAGACTTGTGCAAGGCCACAGAGCCCAGAGCAGCCGAGCCAGGAGGCAAACCTAGGCCAGGCTGGCTCCAGGAGAGCCAGGGGTCTTCTGCACCCTCACGGCCTGTGCAGCCTGCTTCTTCCTCCCTCGTGCAGCCCCCAGCCTGGCTCTGACCCTGTGCTCCCTGCACATCCCCACAGGATCTGCAGATCATCAGCACGGACGAGAGTCAGGTGTTCGTGGCGGTGCAGGAGTGGTACCAGATGGACACCTACAACCTGTACCAGTCGGACCCACGGGGCGTGCGCTACGCGCTGGTGCTGCAGGACGTGCGCAGCTCACGGCAGGCGGAGGAGAGCGTGCTCATCGACATCCTGGAGGTGGGTCCAGGGTGGATGTGGGCCAGGTCTGCCGCCGACCCCCTGCCCTCTGCCCTCTCACCCCACCTCTTCCTCCCCCCTCCCCTCCCGCCTGTCTATATAGCTGTCTCAAGGGTCTGCACACATCTTCTGTACACAGCCAAATATTTTAGGCTTTGCAGGCCAAGAGGCTATTATGTAGGTATTTTTAGAGAAAGAGAATTTCCTTCTTGAGGAAATTCGAAATACAATGATCATCAAGTATAAGTTCTTGTCATGAGAAGAATGGAATTCTTTGAGGGAATAACATTTTACTGACTTGGGTTCAGCCTGAGTGTTCTCTGCCAGCTCTCTCACAAGCCCTCATCAGACGTCCTGGGCTGGGGTCACCCCTGAGGGCAGTGCTTCTCTCTGAGTGCCCCATCTCTCTCCCTCTCTCCCTCTCTCTCTCTACCCCAGCCCCTTCGTCTCCTCCTTCCTCTCCCTCTGTGTGTCTGAAATCTGCCTTTCTCTCTCTCTCCCTCTCCCTCTCTCCACCCCCGCCCTGTCATCTCCTCCTTCCTCTCCCTCTGTGTGTCTGAAGTCTGCCTTTCTGTCTCTCTCTCTCTCTCTCTCTCTCTCCCTCTCTCCACCCCAGCCCTGTCATCTCCTCCTTCCTCTCCCTCTCTGTGTCTGAAGTTGGCCTCTCTCTCTCTCTCCCTCTCTCCCTCTCTCCCTCTCTCCCTCTCTCCCTCTCTCCCTCTGCCTTCCTCTCTCCACCCCAGCCCCTTCATCTCCTCCTTCCTCTCCCTCTCTGTGTGTGAAGTTGGCCTCTCTCTCTCTCTGTCTCTCTCTCACACTCGCTTGCTTTCACTTGCTTGCTCTCGCTCTCTGTCTCCCTGGAACCCAGCCCTCCACCCTCCCTGCTGCCACTTCTCTCACCACCTACGAAGCTCTGGCCTCCCCTCCTCAGTTGCCGTCTGAGCTCAGATGGGAGCCTTCCTCGCTGCCCTCCTGGGTCCCCCTCGGCCTCCCGCGTGAGCCTCCACTGACCCCAGAGAACGCCCCGTGCATCGCACCAATGTGGCTCCATTTCCATCTGGATCCCTGCAGCAGCCCCGCCCCGGCCAGGCCGCTCACAGGCCTCTCCTTTGTTCCTGAGATGCCATGGCCAGCGAGGGGGGCTACTTGACCCATGTACAGGCCAGAAAACTGAGGCTCAGAGAAGGCAAATGACCTGCCCAGGCAGACGCAGACATAAGCAGGAAAACCAGGACCGGCCCAGGCCTGTCTGCTTTGAGCCTGGTGCCCTCCTCTTGGGACCCCTCTCAGTTGTTCACCTCCAAGCTCCTTCCTCTTGCCTGTGGGGACACCCCCCAGTGGCCCATTGATGCAGGCTGGGAGAGTGTCCCGTGGGTGGCCAGTAGACCCTGGGCAGGCAGTGGCATTGACAAGCTTGTGAGTGGGAGGCAGCAGGCTCAGCATTCATCCCTCCCTTGACAGCAGCAGCAGAACTGTGGTCCCCAGGAAAATCACAAATGGAACCATTTGTTTGCAATAATAACCCATTTGTCAGGGTTCATCTCCCCAGCAGACGATGCAGATGCAGCCTCACTGCCAAAAGCCCCCTGCAGGCGGCCCTCCTCCACCTGCTAGGCAGCGCCCACCCCCACCCCTAGTGTCCCAAAGGCCCTGCCCTCTGAGCCTCTAGGAGGGGACTAGTTCCAGCACAGACCTGCCTCCGGAAGGCAGTGGGTGGGTGGTGATGGGATGGGAAGGGTGCCAAGAACAGGGTGGGGTGGGACTCCACGGCCAACCTGTCCACAGGCATCTGTGATGCCTGCACCACCGCATGCCATGCTCTGGTCCCTGCCCTCGGGACACAGGCTGGGTACAACACGCACCATTCACCCCTCATGAAGCAGGAAGACGGCTCCCAGCTGTGGCTCTGAGTGAGAGTGCTGGGGCCTGGAGACACAGCACAGGGGCGGTTGGCCAGCCTGGGGCAGGAGTCAGGGAGTGCTTCCTGGAGGCGGCTGAGCAGGAGTTAGCCAGGTGAGGAAGGAACTCAGAGCCACACACACAGGCATCAAGGCGAGAGGAAGCAAGGAGCCAGAAGAAGTTCGCAGTGGCCCGGTCCAAAGGCGACACCCACCGTCCACCAGCTGGGTGCCCTCCCAAGGGATGGCCCTTCTCTGAAAACCATCAAACATGGGTCACAGCTGGTGGTTACAAGCACAACTCTGGAGCCTGACTGCCCGGGGTTCAGGTCCATGAACTGGTATGTATTTGCTGTGTGGCCATAGGTGGGTTTCTTAACCTCTCTGTGCTTCCTGGAGACACAGCACAGGGGCGGTTGGCCGGCCTGGGGCAGGAGTCAGGGAGTGTTTCCTGGAAGAGGCTGAGCAGGAGTTAGCCAGGTGAGGAAGGAGCTCAGAGCCACACACACAGGCCTCAAGGTGAGAGGAAGCAAGAAGCCAGAAGAGGTTCGCAGTGGCCCGGTTCAAAGGTGACACCCACCATCCACCAGCTGGGTGCCCTCCCAAGGGATGTCCCTTCTCTGAAAACCATCAAACATGGGTCACAGCTGGTGGTTACAAGCACAACTCTGGAGCCTGACTTCCCGAGGGTCAGGTCCATGAACTGGTATGTATTTGCTGTGTGGCCGTAGGTGGGTTTCTTAACCTCTCTGGGCTTCCCTATGTGCAACAGGAATGGTAGTGGCACCTTCCTCACAGGGTTGCTGTGAGGTTTAAGGCTGTCATTCCTATTAAACAGGCAGAGCAGCGCCTGTTTCCAAGTGAGCACTCACTTTGTTTTCCCAGCACTTGCCCTTTCTGGGGATCAGGGATAATTCATGGTGGGGCTGGCACCTGAGTCTCACTGCCCACGGCCAGTACTGTTGCTGTCGTGGTTGTTGTGCACCCAGCAGCACATCCAGGAAAAAAATGTTTGGTACAGACGGCAGAGCCAGGTACTGCCTCGGAAGGCTGCAGGGGTCTCTCCCCCAGCAGGGCACAACCCAGGTGTGAGGCAAGACAGCAAACATTTCCTAGGCTCCTCTTTTGCTGGAGCTTGGGTTATGAATGGGGACTTAGGGGACATAGCCCTGTCCCCTGCCCCCAAGGAGCCCTGGCCACAAGGCATCCTAATGGGCTGAATGGTGGCCCCGAAATAGACATCGAAATGGTGGCTCACATGCTAATACCCAGGCCCTGCAATGTGACCTTATTTGAAAAGGGATTTTTGCAGCGTCATGAAGTGAAAGACTCAAGCACTCAAGAGATCATCCCATATTATCCAAGGGACTCTAAATGCAATCACAAGTGTCCTTATCAGAGACAGGAGAGGAGCCACAGGCACACAGAGAGGCCCCATGGAGACAGAGGCAGAGACCGCGGCCGCACGCCAGGGAGGGCTGGAGGCGCGGAGGTGGAAGGGGCAGGAAGGATGCTTCCCTGGAGTCTGCAGAGGGAGCGCAGCCCTGCCCACGCCTTGAATTTGGACTCTAGCCTCCAAGAGAATGAATTTCTGTTGTCTGAAGCCACACAACTTGTGGGACTTTTTTTTTTTTTTTTTTTTACAGCAGATGCAGGGAATGAATATAGCTGTGATATGGGCAGTTATGCAGAGACACACTGATATTCTAAGCTGATGCTCAGCCAATCAGACCCACCCGGGGGCCTTGGCCTATATCTGGATCCGTGTTATTTATTGCTGAGCATTTTCATGGAGACCCAGCTGGGATATAAAATGGCAGTTACCCAATAACACAAACCATCATGGGAAAATCATCCTTCTACCTGCCCTGAGGACAGCAGAAAGGCATCTGCACCAAGCACTAGACAGGGCAGAAGCCCTCTGGGTGATGTCCCTGGGTCCCCATCCTGCCTGCCTTGTCAGGGTTCTATGAGCTTGTAAGACACAAAGACTTGCGGCACATTCCCCGGGCCTCCCTTCAGCTCCAGACCACACAGCAAACGATGTGCAGCCATTTGCTGGGTGTGCGGCTTGTCCGAAGTCTAGCACAGAGGGACCTGTCTGCAGCCAATCTATAGGCAACACTCACACTCATACTCACACACAGAGACACAGGCTCACACCCATGCACGTGCCCCACCCTCTCCCAGCCGCCGGCAGCTCCTCTCCTGCAGACCAAGGCCAGAGTCTGGGGAGAACTCGAGACCCCTGTGACATGGAGTCCTGGGTTTCTGCAGGGCCTGCTCTTGGTACCACATCTCACAAAGAAGCTGGACTCTGGGCCAGGGGCCCCATCTGTAGTCACTGAGTCGAGTGAGCAGGAGACAGAGTGATGCCACATGGGCAAGAAGGAGCTGGCTCCTCCCGGCCCCTGGGACTGTCTGCCCAACAGGACCATTGATGAAGCTTCTTCTGCAGAGAGGAAGGCTACCCTCTAGACCACAGCATCCTATGCAGATAATACAGGCAGCTGAATGCTCTGTGCATGGATTTGCCACATGTATGGCGTTCCCTAGAAACTCTGGGAGGCTGCTCGCAGTGTGATCCCCTTGGCTCCTGACTCTGTCTGCCTGTGTTGATAAGACCTGGTGGGTCCCAAGGAAAAGAGCCTGCCCTGCCCCCCAACTCCCACATCCAATGAAGGCAGCCCTGAGTCTCTGAGAGCCAACTCCGAGGGTAACCTAAACAAGCCACAGCCATCAGTGGGAGGCAAAAGATCTGTACCACCATGTGCCTGTCCCAACCTTGCACTTTGAAACAGATAATTTGTTTGCTAGTTTCCCAGCTCCACAGATGGATTTTACCCAGAGCTCACCCACATCTGGTTTAGATGACTCAGATGATAAGGTTTGGAACTTTTGATCTGGTGATATTTAGATGAGACTTTTGACTTTGAATGAATGCTGTAATGAGATGAGAACTTTGGAAACCTTGATGGGGTGAATGTATTTTACTTGAAGACTGATGCGTGTCCTTGGGGGTCAGGGGAGGGACTGCACTGGAGAGAATAGTGACCCCCTCAAAGATGGCCACATCCCGAGCCCCAGAACCTGCATGTATGTTACCTTATGTGGCAGAGGAGGAGTGAGGTTGCAGAAGGAATTAAGGCTGCTCATCAGCAGACAGGAAGATGACCTGGGTTATCTGGAGGGGCCTAGTGTCAGCACATGGATCCTTAACATTGGAAGAGGTAGGCAGGAGAGAGAGTCAGAGAAGATGTGATGGTGGAAACACGGTCAGAGAGATGCAGCGTTGCTAGCTTTGAAGATGAAGGAAGGGGCCATGAGCCAAGGAATGCCGGTGCCTCTAGAAGCTGGAAAAGGCAAGGAAAGGGAAGCTCCTCTGGAGCCTCCAGAAAGGAATGCGATTCCACTGACACTTAACTGTAGCCGCATGCCAGGCTTCTGCCCTCCAGAGCTGTGGGAGAATACGTGTGTGTTGTCTGAAGCCACTGGGTTTGTGACCATCTGTTATAGCAGCTGCTGGAAGCTCAGACCCCAGTCTGCTGGTTTCATCATCATGGCTGCTGTTGTTCTCCCCATAAGGACCTGCTGGAGTTGTGAGAATTCAGTGAGAGGACACATTTTAAGCTCAGTGCCTGTAACATAGAAGCACTTAATAACTGTATGCCGTTACTATCCTAGAGGGAATCTTTGGTTATGGGCCTTTGGGCAGGTTGCACCCCCTCTGAGCCTCAGTTTCCCATGGTGCATGCTGCATATACAGGTGCAGAAACAGCTTCTGGCCTGGCACACAGGAGGCCTTGATAAGTGGTGGGCATTCCCGTGCCTCTTCACACCACACTAGTGGGTCTTGATAAATACGGGTCAAAACCCTCCATGAAATAAGGAACTTGCAGGAAAAGACCCTCTCTGGGAGCAAACCACTCGGTTGAACTATGTGAAGTTGCTGATAGTTGCACGTTTCTTATAGGTCAACTTAGTAACCACTCTTGGATATGTTTGGGTCACTGCCATGGGCCTCTTAGGAAACCTTGAGAAAGGGACCAGGTTAGCCCTGAGCAATGAAGGCAAGTGGAGCCCTGTCCCGGGTGTTCTAGGGTAAGCATGGACCCTCCTGTCTTCATTCCTTGGCATGTTTGTATGGGGATTGAGCTGGGGGTCCGCAGAGGCAAGCCCAGAGGCAATTCTATTGGTCCAGGATGTGTGGTCCAATAGAAAGAAGAGGCACTGGGAGGATCTGAGCTCTGAATCAGGACCTCTGAGGCAAGGATGGGGTGACTCTGAGGGACAGGCAGGTCAGGGCTCCAGAACCCCACTTGCCATCTGATGGTTGGTGTCTGGACCTGGGAGAACAGCTCAGCACCATGAAAATCATTCAGGCTTCAGAGCTAGACAGAACTAGCTTCCCACTAAAACTGGGGCCAGAGTCTTGAATCCCTGGCCCCTCTAAACCTCACTCACCTCTAGAATGTGTCTCAGCTGCTGGACATTGTGACTGTGAAATGAGGCCACATGTGCAGAGCACTTTAGCAAGGGGCTGGAGCATGGTGGATACTTGGTCATCAGAGTGCTCCAGTGTAAGTTTACAGTCCTTCTTTTATTTTTGTCCCAGGTCAGAGGGGTGAAAGGAGTCTTCCTGGCAAACCAAAAAATTGATGGGAAAGTGATGACGCTTATAACCTACAACAAGGGCCGCGACTGGGATTACCTGAGGCCACCCAGCATGGACATGAATGGAAAACCAACCAACTGCAAGCCTGTAAGTACCTCTGCTCACATCACACACCATCCTTGGCGTGGATGCTAGATATAACTTCAGTAATCAAGAAGGTCAGAGGTGGTGATGTCTGAGAAGGACCATCTGAGACACATGAACCACCTATTTCTGCTGGGTGTGGTAGAGAGGGTCAAATGAAACTCCTTGTTTTACAGAAAAGTTAATTGGAGGTCAGAGAGGGAAGTATATCAGTTTTTGACACAGAATTGCTGTGCAATAAACCACCCAAAACAACAACATTTACTCCCCAGATCTACAGGTGGGCTCAGCTGGGCGGCTCTGCTGATCTTGTCTGGGCTGAGCTGGGCAGCTCTGCTGACCTTGGCTGGGATCAGCTGAGCGGCTCTGCTGACCTTGGCTGGGCTCAGCTGAGCGGCTCTGCTGACCTTGGCTGGGCTCAGCTGAGTGGCTCTGCTGACCTTGGCTGGGCTCCGCTGAGCGGCTCTGCTGATCTTGTCTGGGCTCAGCTGGGTGGCTCTGCTGATCTTGTCTGGGCTCAGCTGGGTGGCTCTGCTGATCTTGTCTGGGCTTGCTCATGTCAGGGAATGGACTGATTTAGGCTGGTCTCTGCTCTGCACATCTTGCATCCTTCTCCTGGAACCAGCTTAATTCTCATGGTGATACCAGAAGTACAAGAGGATAAACAGAAACAGGCAAGTACAATTCAAGCCTGCTGGTACATCTGCTAAATCTTACTGGTCAACATCAAGGACCTGGGAATTGTACTCTGCCCATGGGAGTGAGGGCTGAGGAGCAGACACTTGCTTCTAATCTGCCATGGAGGGCAGTGTACCATCGCACTGCCAGTAAGTGATAGAGCTGGGCCAGAGTTCAGACATCCTGAGCCCCAAAGCTGGTCCACTATCCCAGGGGCACCTTTCTACATGAATAGAAGTATCGACTGCCTGAGTCCTTGGTTGCCTAGAGTGGAGAATCTCTCAAAGTAGCTGGGACTCTTGCCCGCTCTCATGTGGCTACCAGGGATCCAGGTGGTGCACAGGCCCATGCTGGTGAGGAAGGAGAGACAGAGCTGTAAGGAGCCCTGGTCCTAGCTAAGGTGAGCACTCAGCTGCCAGGGACCAGTGGATGCAAGGGAGGAAGAGGCGAAATGGGCCAAGAGAATCTGACCAGGCTTCTCACTCCCCTTCCAACACCCCTGTGAGACACGGCCTCTCCCGGGGCTTCTCTCCTTGCATACCGCAGGGAGCTCACCACCACCAGCATCCCTGCCCCTTCCTAGGTGCTGGGCAACTCAGGGTGGGAGAAGGGTCTAGTGTTAGAGCCGCACAGAGCTGCAGTCTTAGCCCCCTGACTATGTGATCTTGGCTACATCAACCAGTGCCTCTGAGCCTCTGTTGAAAACGGAGGAAGATGATAAACATCCCTTTGGCATTGGAGTGAGGATGAGATGAAAGAATGCAGAGACTGGCCTATGCCTGACATGGAGCAATCTGCAAGGAAGAGCCAATCCCTTCCCTTTCAAGCTCTCCCTCTTTCTACGCTGTCCCCAAGGCCTAGAATGCCCTTTCCCTTTTCCTCATCCAGCAAGCTCCTACTAACACCTGAAAACCCTACCCACATGTTCCTTCCACTGAGGAGCCCTTCACTGGGCATACTGCTTCTCTGTCTGTTTCCCACTGTCACCCATAAGCCCTTCTTAGAGACTGCACCCTGGGGACACCTGAAACCACCCATCACTCTTCCTCAGCTTCCTCATGTGTAAAATAGAAAGAACAAAAGTACCCGTTTGACAGGTTTATATTCAGCAAATCTGCGTGAGCACTTGCAATGTGCCAGGCACTGTTCTGCAGGCTCAGAACACACCAACCAGCAAAACAGAAGACAATTCCCTGTCTTCCTGGGATTCCACCTGGCACACAGCAGGGCTCAGAAAATGGTGAGCCCCCTCCCCACCACCACCACCAGCCCCAGTGTTGGCCCATGGAGGCCGTGGTACTAAGAGGGGAGGAATTCCTCCTCCCAGAGAGCCCTGACCCTGGGGCCAGGGTGGGACTCTGTGGCCCCCAGGGCAACCCCTTGCTCTAAGCTGAGGCTTGAGCTCTGACTCGTGAACACTCACCTCTCAGGGGCCGGCTGCCCGCCTCTGCTCAAGCCCCGCTCCTGCTGATAACACCTGTCGACCTGTGTGGAGAATTAATTACCAGCCCTTTGTAAAAACGCTTCCCAGAACAGAATTGCTGTGAAAGGGCTAATTTTTGTATCATCATTGGCAAAGTTAAGCCATATTAATCTGTCAAAGCAAGTTTTTGCTAAGAATAGACTCTTGTCTGCGATTATGCAGCTCAGTGAGGAGATAACCTCGGTGAGATTTATGTCCTGGCCTTGAAATAATGAAATGGGAGCAAACTGGTGAGCGTGTGGCCTCAGGCAGGCATGTGGGAACCCGACTGGGCACGGGGAAATGCAGAGCCAAGTGCATGGAGCCCACGTGGGTACAACAGACATCAAATTACAGCCTCACGGGCTGGGCACAGTGGCTCACACCTGGAATCCCAGCACTTTGGGAGGCCGAGGCAGGCAGATCACCTGAGGTCAGGTTTGAGACCAGCCTGGCCAACATGATGAAACCCCGTCTCTACTAAAAATACAAAAATTAGCCAGGCATGGTGGCACATGCCTATAATCCCACCTACTTGGGAGGCTGAGGCAGGAGAATCGCTTGAACCTGGGAGGTGGAAGTTGCAGTGAGCTGAGATCGTGCCACTGCACTCTAGCCTGGGTGACAGAGCGAGATTCCACCTCAAAAATTAAAATAAATAAATATATATATATATGACAGCCGTATGGCTCAGAAGGCCTGGGCTATCCTGTGTGTGTGGCCATGGCATCTCCAAGGGTGAAAGTGCAGGGGCAGGACAAGTTGGGCCACTCACAGCACCTCCTGACTGTGTCCCTCCTGCAGCCACACAGCCTCTCAATGAATGGGCAAACTGTACCTGAGGACTTAGCGCTCATAAAAGTGATGCCTGATTATTGCAGAATGCTTGGAAGATACAGAAAGGTATAAAAAGGGAAATAAGGTATCACCAGAATCACACCATCCAGAAAAACAATAACTGGGCATTTTTGTTCTTTACAATCTTTTCGCTCATACACACGTTATGAAGTTGTCATTGGGATCCCACACGTGCGTGATTTTTCAGCCCTCTGTTTTTCTCTGAACTCTGGGTCACAAATCTTTGCTCAGGCCACTTGACCAGCTTCCCGTCTGGGGATACCTCCTTCCCTCAATGGGGAAATGCAGGGATGGCTTTAACAGGAGTGGTGTGATCAGATCTGTTTTAGGATGATTCAGCTTCATTGGAAAGTGGTTTGAATCTGTTTGCATCTTGAATTCAGCATAAAACTTCATTCACCGTGCAGTCCATGGTCACTCTTCTAAGGCGTGAGGCTGCAGTGAGTGCCAGGCGTCCAGGTGGCTGGTGCTGCATCTCCCGGCCCTGGTCCATCTGGTAGGCTTTGATGATTTGCTAGACACTTCTTTAGGGCACCCTCTGGCCCCTATGTGCCAAACGGACAGAGAAGGGAGAGTCCTGGAGCAGTGTGAGTCCCCAGCTTGGCCTGCCTCCAGCCCTGCAGGAACCCGGGCCCACCTCGGTCAACACTGGAGCATTCTGCATGCACTCCCAGGGCCACAGCCTGCCCCGGGGTTCTCCTGTCCTCGTCCCTGGGTGGCCTCAGAGGAAGCCCTGTCTCTGACCACATGCACCCAAGGCGGGTTCTGGGGCTCCTGATGCGCACTGGCCTGCCACCTGTGCAGGACATCCTGGTGCCCCATGGGCAGGCACCTCCAAGCCTGCCGGCATTGCCCTTCTTTTCACCTGGTGTCCCAGGCTTGCGTGGGAGTGCGTGTGTCAGACACCAGCATGGCACCTGCAGCTGCCCCAGGAGAAGGGGGAGCCGTCTGTTTGGCCGTCAGCAGGCCGCAAGGCGAATGCAAAAGGGTTCATAGAGCCGCCTGTGTTCACCAGTGGCCTGCAGGCCGTAACTGGCCACCCCACAGGGAACCCTGAGGAGGGTTCCACTTCTCTGGCCTGAGTGCCAGGCAACCAGAATAGGCCACTAGTGGCGAGGGGTGGGGAGAGGTAGCTAGGGTTTGTGAAGCAGCACCCTCTAATTCAACTCTAACCACTGTGCACGCAGCAAGTGACCAGATGTGCACAGCTCATCGGGGGAACGGGAGAGGTTGACGGAGACCAACCCATGAGCTCTGGCCTTCTAGGAAACCTAGAACAGCAAAGCATGGCAGAGCCAGGGCGTCCTCTGCCGGGCACACTGCTGCTGGGGACTCCTGCACTACACCTTCTCCTTCTCCTGATTAGAGCTCCCTTCTGCAGCGCAGAAGCCCAACCCTGCCTACCAAGATCACAGCAGCCTCCCTCCTCAGCAAGTCGCCTCTGTCTTTCTGCCTGAGCTATCTGGGGTGGGGCAGGAGGGTAGGACTGAAAGGTGCCAGCAAGTCTATTCACTCGTAGGCCTGCTTTTCCACTGTAAGAAATCAGAAAAATCTATTGCAGCGGGCAACGTCTTAACACCTCACAGGTTTTCATTGGGGCCCATTTGTCACTATTGGATCCAGGTGTTTCCGGAACCCTCAGATGGCTCTCCAGGGGTGACACAGTGCCCAGGCTCCTGCCACCCGAGGCCCTGTGGTATTCAGCTCCGGGCTCCCCAGGTTCCACTGGGGATGGTCTCAGTCCCTCAGTCATCTTCAGGATGTGCGTCTGCAATGGACACAGGGCCACCTTTCAGCTGAATTTTCAACCTTTCTTTTTTTGGTTTTTAACAGCTTTGTTGAGATGTCACATCCTGCACAGTTCACCTTTCAAATGCATAGTTCAGTGGCTTTTAGTCTATTCACAGAGTTGTGCCACCATCACCACTGTCCCTTTTAGGACATTTTCACCACCCAAAAAAGGAAGGCCCCGATCCTTAGCTGTCACCTCGCTATCCCCCATCAGCCTCCAGCCCCTAGCAACCAACTGTCCGTTCCTGGCTCTGTAGATTCCCTGCTCCGGGCATTGCTCATGGGTGAATCGTACAACATGTAATACAACCAGTACATCTGTTAAACCCTTGAGCAGACAAATAAAGCCTGTCTGCCAACTGCGGCCACCACCTGGTCGCATCTTATCCAAGTCAATATCCAATTTCCTGAATGGTTTAACTTTTAAGTTAGAGTCACCTGTGTAAAACGTAAGCAATTCATGGGCCAGAAGAAAGTGTTATAAAGACATGAAATGAAGAGAGAGGATACCTCTGACGTGATGTTAGTAGATGATATGATACCGCAATGACGAGGGGATTCTGGAATGACCCCTGCAGAGCGGGTCAGCAGGCCTCACCGTCACTGTCTTCATTTTGCAGATGAGGAAACTGAGTCCCAAGGCTGCCCAGAAAATTAGTGGTGTCTCCTAAGTTACAATTTGGATCTCTGAGTACCCAGTTCTAGCGTACTTCTAAGCTGGAGATTTTTAACAGAAAAAAGTAATTTTAAGGTGGCAAATACAATGTTTACCATTCTTATCAGTAAACAATTGGGCAGTATCTTGCCCAGGGGAAGGGCTGGACCCCAGAGCTGTGCCATAGTAATCCAATATCCTGTGAAGCAGAGGTTATTGCCCCATCTCACAGAGAAGAAAGAAAGGCACAGAGAGGCTAAGCATTTTTCATAAGGCCACACTGCCATTTAGAGGAGGTACGAGGAGTCCAAGCCCTGCCCTTTCTGTGACCAGCCTGAGGATTGCGCTGCCTCACTTCACCCTATGGAGTTCCCTGACTTGGGGAAATTAGGAAGGCTGAGCCCAGAGTCATTACCCCACAAAGCCTTTTGGCATCTGTTGGTTCAGTGGGGTCTCTCGTGGTGCACCCAAGGAGGGCTCGGCCAGCCAGACCTCTGGGACCCAGTATCTCAGGCTGCCAGAGAGAGATCAGGAGGAATGGGGTCTCCAGAGACAACCCCCTGGAGCTCTTGCACACTTAACCCACCCCTCTGTATCTCAAAGTGAGAGGGTCTTACGGGGTGACCCCAGCTGTCCTCTGATGCCAGGGATACTGTGGTCACATAAGAGGCTCCCAATAAAGGTTCTGGGTAGGTGAATGAATAAGTATGAGCTTGGGCTGTGCAGGCTCCAGGAATCACATCCCATGGCCCGGCACTTGACCCGGCACTTGGGCTCTTGACCGATGCCCAAGAGCCCTCAGTGGGAGAAGCCCCAGCAGCTGCATCCGTGAGCAGAGGCACCACACCCAGGGGCTGTAGGAGTCCCTAATCTAGATTAGGGAACCAACAGATCCTCCCAGGTGCCTCACTTGTGCCCACTTCCCCCTCCCAGGCTGTCAGCACAGCACCTGCTGAAGCTTCCCTTGTACTTCCCACCCTTTCCCTAAAGGTCAGCCTCACACCTGCTTCCCATCCTCCATCCGTTCCTCCAAGGCACTCCTGGCCCAGCCTTCTCTCCCAAAAAGCCACAGGGGCAGATTTGTCATCAGGCTTAGTTTTCCTAAGGATGCTCCTACTCATGTGTTGACAGTTGCGTCCTTTCTCTTCCTTGCAGCCAGACTGCCACCTGCACCTGCACCTGCGCTGGGCAGACAACCCCTACGTATCAGGCACCGTGCACACCAAGGACACCGCCCCAGGCCTCATCATGGGTGCAGGTAGGTGGCTTCCATCACAGGTGGCTGGCAGGTGCCATTACAGCCCAAGAGTACCTCCAATCTTAAGGGTAAAAAGGGATGGTCATGAGCCTGAGGCCATAGTATGTCCTTTAGGAGGCAGTACCACTGCATCTCCAGGAAGCTCAGCTCTCATGGCAAATTCCGAGAAATGAATGCATGGCCCAGGGTGGGCATATGGTATGTGTTGGCAGAATGGAAAGATGGACAGATGGAAGAGTGGATGAATGGATGGATGGACAGACAAATTGATAGATGATGAATGATGGATAGGTGGATGGTGGATGAATGATGGCTGGCTGGATGATGGACAGATGGTGAATGGATGGATGGAGGATGGACAGATCAATGGATGGATGATGGATGGATGATGGTGGATGGGTGGTAGATGGATGGATGAGTGGATGGATGAGTGGGTTCATGGATGATGTATGATGGATAGATGCTGAATTGATGGATGGATAGATGAATGGATAGATAGATGAATGGATGGATGATACATGATGGATGGATGATGGTGGATGGGTGGTGGATACGTGGATGGGTGGGTGGGTGGATGGATGAGTGGATAGACGAGTAGATGGATGGATGAGTGGATGAAAGGATGAGTGGGTGGATGGATGATGGATGATGGATAGATGCTGAATTGATAGATGGATAGATGAATGTATGAATGATGCATGATGGATGGATGATGGTGAATGGGTGGTGGATAGGTGGACGGGTGGGTGGGTGGGTGTGTGGATGGATGGATGAGTGGGTGGATGGATGATGAATGATGGATAGATGCTGAATTGATGGATGGATGATGGTGGGTGTGTGGGTGGGTGGATGGATGGATGGATGAGTGGATGAATGGATGAGTGGGTGGATGGATGATGGATGATGGATAGATGCTGAATGGATGGATGGATAGATGAATGGATGGATGATGCATGATGGATGGATGGCGGTGGATGGGTGGTGGATAGGCAGATGGATAGGTGGATGGGTGAGTGGATGGATGGATGAGTGGATGGGTGGATGATAGACGGATGATGGGTGATGGATAGATGGTGAATGGATGGATGGATGACGAATGAATGATGAATGGATAGAAAAACTGATAGATGGGTAGGTGGATCAATGGATGGATGATTTATATCATGGTTGATATTTATTGGCCCCTGAAGAAAGTTCTAGTTTAGTGGGGGGAGAAAAACAAGTATACAACTAGCACTTTTTAAAAAACCCAAAATTATAATTTTTGTGTTTGTCTCTTCCACTAAACTAGAACATCCAAGAATCCTGGTGTACTGATTAAATAATACCATAAAATGAGGTTGATTTGCTTTAGAAGAACCATTCAAAATACAAAGTAGAGCCACCTGTCTGAGGTCGCTTGGCTGGTGTGTGGGAGAATCGGGGAATACTTTGCACATGGGGTCTGTGACAGTCAGACAGGCAGCATCTCCTGCAGACACTGAACAGCAGAGGCACAGGCCCAGAGTTCACACTTCCTGAACCCAGGACCCCTTCCCTCCATTTCCCCCAGCACCATCTGCCACACAGAGGGGGTGGCTGTGTGGCCAGTGGCCAAGGACCATATGGATGTGGACCCCAGACTCTGAGCTGGACACCACATCTTACCCTTCACTATATCGCAGCACCGAGCTGGGGCCTGGCCCAGGGTGGGCCCTCCAAGGCTGTTTGTGAATGAGTGAGTGAAGGGACAAGTGAAAGAGCGGCCATGTTGTGATGGCAGGAATGGCCTTCTGGGTGGAAGGGGGAACGTGGGGACCCCAAAGGACCAGACCAGAGTGCAGGGAGTGGCTGGAGGTGAAGCCTACGTGCAGGGCTGGGTCTGACGGCAGAGACCTGGCCTGTCTGGGGAGCTTGGAGCTTTGCACCTGGGAAGGGAGGGGATTGTGAACAAAGCCCTTCAGCTTCCGGAGTTCCTCTGCATGCTCTATATGCCCGGGGTCCTAGGCAGTGACAGCCCATCTGGACAGCCTCTGTCTGCCCCCACAATGATCAACGAAAATGTGACCCATCAGCATCAATGTGAAGCCGCTGACTGCCTATCAGCTTCCACGCACAGACAGGCTCACCACCCACGTTAGACACCCCCAATCCTGTACACTTGGTTTCCCGGGCTCCTCAATGACAGGGTATTTAAAATGCACTGTCTTGATTCGCTGAAACCCCAAATTCTTGACCAAAGTGCAAAAAGGCATGATTTCCAATGTTTCCACTGCTCAAAGGCCCTGAGAGCCCAGAATGAGGGTCTCGGTCTCCCAACATCTCTCAGTGCACCCCTGAATTGTGCAGGAGTCATGCAAAGCACCGAGAGCAGCCCCCCTCACTCTGTGGGGGTGTCAGTCACAGCCTTCCTCCCTCCCTGCTTGCCCCCCACTGTCCCTACAAGGGCAGGAGACTACACTTCTATTTTATCCACTTCTATTCAGTCTTGGCCAGGGCTTTCCTGGAAGGTGGAGCCAGGCATGCAAGGTGGGCCAATTGATGTGTCCATTGTTTCCAGCCTCCTCTCCAGCCCTGAGCATCTGCTGGGAGCAGGAGGAAAAGGCGCGTGGGCTGGCTTCACATCTGCTGGCCCGACATGGCTGCCTGCCCTGGCACAGGTCCCAGTGCCACGTGACCGCACTGCTGGAGGTGGCTGGGGATGATGGCTACCTGTTTCCACAGGGTCGCTCCCCTGCCCACCCCGCCGTTCATTCCTGAATTCCATCCCAGAGGCAGGCAGACAAGAGGGAAAAGCCCCAGGCTCTATGCCTCCCAGCTGTAGGACTCTGAGATTTCACTGCACTTCTCTGAGCCTCAGTTTCATCTGCAAAATGAGAGGATAAAACCTCCACTGTAAGGATGAGACAGGGTATGGCAGGAAACCTTCAAGGCAGGTGTGGTCTGCCAGGCTGTCCTCTCATCCAAGGGGACACTGGGCACTCCTGCCCCCATGCCAGGCACTGCACTGGGTACTGGAAATGAAGGAGCTAAGACTCAGCTGCTCGGGGTTGAACAGAGGAGCAAAGGGATGATGACCGCAGGGCCAGAAGCATCCTGATGCCGAGTGTTCCTACAAGATGGTCCAGAGGGACACAGGGTATGGGCACTCGATTCTTCCCTGGGGTTTGGATTGAGTCTGCTGGGCAAATGGGCATCTGCCAAGCCGACACACAGGGAGGACACTCTAGGCAGAGGGCACCGCGTGTGCAGGGTGGAGGTGGGGGAGTGCCGCGCTGGGGTCTCGAGCTCGAGGAGATGCATTCCAGTCTCTGGGGCCCATCCTCAGGTCCAGCCTCCAGAGGTCAGACTGCAGAGGGACCCAGAAAGTGGAGCCATGGCTCCAGCTACTAATAGAAGGGGATGGATTTGAGAAGCAAAGACAAAAACTTGACTTTTAACCCCCCGGTGGAGAATCAGCCATGTTGATCCCAGAAATCAACCCAGCCCTGGCCGAGGGTGCCGGTGGCGGGTTCTTCCCGACTGGGCGTGTTGCAGGACTGAACGGCTGGCTCCCTTCTGAGTGCTCCTGTGTTGGAGTGAGTGGCATCTGAAGGATACCTCATCTTCACCCTTTCTTCCTCATCTTCACCCTTTCTTCCTCATCTTCATCCTTTCTTCCTTTCAATAGACTAGGATAGGAATCCTCACACTGAGTTATACCCTGTGAGATCAATGTTTCCTGCTCCACACCTTCGGGGATCCCAGCGAGCCAGTGTTCCCGGACCCTGCACGGCCTGTGGCCAGCTGCCTCCCACCACCCCTTTGCCAAGGCTGCTCTCCATGCCCAGGGCAGGTCCTCGGGTTCCTGCTCCAGCTCTTGTGCCTCCCCTAGAAAGCCAAAGAGTGCAGAGTGTGTGCCAACCCCCACCTGCTCCTCAGATGCTGTGGGTGCCCCAGGTGATTATGGAGCCTGCTCCCTGCACTGTCCTTTGCCCCATCCTGGTCACTGGTCTGTGTCCCAGCTGATCATCCAGACGTCCTCAGGATCCAACACAGAGCAGAGGCCAGTGAACACTTCTCCATCCCTAGCCCTGGCAGAGGTGATGGTAGCATTTAGCCAAGAAAAGCTTGAGGGGGCCGTTTGGGAGCTGGGAGCACCACAGCCTGCCCTGTGCTGCTGGCTTGACTCAGGGAACTGAGTCTCAGAGCCAGTTGCAGGCCCAGCCCTCCCTAGCACAGTCCCTTTTTTGGCGACTCGGCCAGTCAAGGGCCCATCAATGTCAGGACATGTCTAGATGTGAGGGCGAGAAGCCCTTGGGCCTGGCTGAGGGGCCTGGGTGGGGTTGGGAGCTGAACTGAGCCCCACCAGTTCTGTGGACACTCACCGGGCCCTTCTAGAGATGGGAGCACCGGCGGAACCTGGAAGACTATGGGGCAGCCCACTCACCTGGGCCCCGGCTGTGTCTTGGTGATCGCCGGTGCTCCCTGTCTCGGGAGCCATTGGCGTCTGCCCCGCAGTCCTCCTTGGTGAAGTGTGGGTGGGGTAGATTTTGGTGTGTGGCTTTGCTCTGTTTTCTGGCTGCAGGGGCAGAGGAAGGATGGAGAGGAAGCATGTCTTCATTCAGTGAGCACTGACTCCTACCACTCTGCTGGCATCAAGGAAGGGCAGGGGTCCTGGGCCTGAGGAGAGGAGGCCCAAAGAGACACCAGAACACCCAGGCAGGGAGGCAGCAGAGAAGCTTCTCCCCTCATCACCTCCCTCCACCCTGGGACCTCAGTTTCCCATCCATAAAATGAGGGTGTCAGCCTCAGCTTTCTGGAGGCCCTTCCACTCTGACAGCCTGCAACGTGTTCCGTGAATCGCTCCTTCTTTCCCCCGAGACTGTTAGGTGACAGGCAGCCTGACAGCTTTGGTAGACAGAGCAAGGAAAACAGATAGCATTTCTTAAAAGACAGACGTGTGCACATTTGAAATTACAAACTGCAAATTGGCCCGCGCAGTGTGCTGACGCGGCAACACTCCCTGCCCGGCTCCGCCTGTGATGCGTGTGTCCCAGAGTGGCTGCTGGCGCCTGGGATAGCAGAAAGATAAAAGGCATCTTTTCTTTCTCTCCTCCCTGCTGCTTCTTCTGTTCATTCATTCACCTCACTCACTTCATTCATTCAGCAGCCATCGCTCAGCACCTTTTGTTTGCCAGGCACCACACTGCACAGATTCCACACCTGCCCCTCTGCCCCACCCATCCTATCTGTCTTGCACCTGCCCGGGTCCACATTTCTGCCCAGGCTGCTCCCTCTTCCTTGGACACCCAGTCCCCTTTCCCTTGGACAGCCACGTTCAGCTCTCCAGGCTCCACTCGGAGGCTCTTTCCTGCCTGAGTCTCTCCTTGAGGCTCTCCTTGAGGCTCTCCTCACAGGTCCACCGTCCTGGCTCTGTGTTCACCTGCACGGCCACCCTTGTCTGCTAGATTCAGAGCCCTCAGGGAGCATGGGCCACAGCTCATTCAGCTCAGCTCACCAGAGCTCAGCACAGGGCTGTGCAGAGAGTAGACACTCAGTAAATGCCATTGAATACATGCAGGAGAGAGTGAGTGGTGGAACTCAGATAATAGGTAGATGGAGGGATGATCAATTGGATGGATATTAGATTAATAAAAGATGGATGGGAGGATGCATAGATGGATGGATGAGTGGATGGGTGGATGGTTAGATGGATGGGTGGGTGGATGGATGGATGGATGGTTGGATGGGTGAGTGAATGGGTGGGTGGGTGGATGGATGGATGGATGGATGGATGGATTGGTGGGTGGATGGATGGATGGATGGATGGATGGATTGGTGGGTGGGTGGTTGGGTGGGTGGGTGGATGGTTGGATGGATGGATGGATTGGTGGGTGGGTGGGTGGATGGTTGGATGGGTGGGTGGATGGGTGAGTGGATGGGTGGGTGGGTGAGTGGATGGGTGGGTGGGTGAGTGGATGGGTGGGTGGGTGGATGGATGGATGGATGGATGCATGGATGGATGGATGGATGGATTGGTGGGTGGGTGGGTGGATGGATGGATGGATGGATGGATGGATGGGTGGGTGGATGGATGGATGGATGGATGGATGGATGGATGGATGGATGGATGGATGGGTGGATTGGTGGGTGGGTGGATGGATGGATGGATGGATGGATGGATTGGTGGGTGGATGGATGGATGGATGGATGGATGGATGGATGGATGGATGGATGGATGGATTGGTGGGTGGGTGGGTGGATGGATGGATGGATGGATTGGTGGGTGGGTGGATGGATGGGTGGATGGGTGGATGGGTGGGTGGGTGGATGGATGGATGGATGGATGGATGGATGGATGGATGGATGGATGGATTGGTGGGTGGGTGGGTGGATGGATGGATGGATGGATGGATGGATGGACAGATGGATGAATAGGTAGGTGGGTGAGTGGGTAGATGGGTGGATTTACGAGTAGCTAGGTAAATGAACTTAATAAGACAGGCACACAAACACCCTGCCACTCTGAGAACTAACTTTTAATTCATCTATTTGAGGACAATCCATCTTCTTTGGAATTTTCCAGTGACTTCTAAACTTGACCCTGGATAAAGTACTTCTGAAAGTGCCACCTAAATAAAGCTTCAAAGGGCAAATGATATACAAGTCACCCAGGGTGGGGCCTCTGGGGCCCCAGAACAGCTTCAATGCCGTCATCAGGGTCCCCATCATCCTGGAGACTTGGACCCCTGTCTCTGCCACAGCCATTGGGTACAGTGGAAGTCCCAAATCTGTCTCATCAGAAATCCTTTGTTCAAGCTATTTCAGGATGCTGGTTAGGGTGGGCCAGGTGCAGCACCAGAGGCTGTGATGATTTTCCTGGTGCTTGTGCTGTTATGCACGGCCGTTGTTCTTTCTACAGGAGACTCACGTGGGTTCAGCTTCCTCATCTGTAACATGAGGTTGGCTTGGATGCTGGCCATGAGTTCTTCCCATTCTGACACTGCCCACAGCATTAAGTCTGAGCCCCTCCGAGTAGGCATCAAGGCTGGAGATGGACCCAATCAGCCCAGTGCTGGGGCTCCAGTAAACCCAAACCACATTCTGCACCCCCAGTTGGTTTGGTGCCCACCTCACCTTCCTCCCAAATGTCCACCCAGCAGATAGTGAGACCCTGGTGTGTGCCCACCTGCCTTCTCTCCTGCACCTGCCTCTGGCTCCTCTGCACCCGGTGCCCAGGAGCTGTCTCCAAACACAAACTCGGCCATGTCCTGCCCTGCTTTCAAGCCCCACAGGGGCTGCCCATGATTGGCCCACCTGGCCCACGTCCTCTCCAGCCCATCCCTAGCCACACTCCATGCTTCTTATTTGTGGACCACACTGGTGGGTTCTCTGAGGTACCTGAGCTCCACCTGTCCCGGGCCTCTGCTGGAGTCCCCTGAATGTGGCTGTCTTTGGGCAGGGCTGATCCTTCACTGCATAGACCCAGACCCAGGGCCCCAGCGCAGCAGCCACAGCAGGTCTGTGGGGGATATGGAGACCCGGGGCACTGGCCACCGTTGCTTGAGGTTTTTCCATGCTCAGACTTGTTAAAGGGGTAAAGCTGGACGATCCTAAGGGTAGTACTGCCCCTTTTCTTTTGGACCAGGTAACCTGGGCTCACAGCTGGTGGAATATAAAGAAGAAATGTACATCACGTCAGACTGTGGTCACACCTGGCGGCAGGTAAGCTGGCTGGGAGGTGCCTGGTACCCCCCACCCCATCCAGCCGGGACCCTCAGGAGACACTTCTGTTCTGTCATCCCGTCCATTCCAGAGGCTCTGTGGGAGAAGCTCTGAGCCATGTCTCCCATCTTGCAGCCAAAGTGGCTGGAGCCAGGGCTCACTTTAGCAGATGTGCATCTGCTGGGTTTGAAAAGCAAGTCCAGGCAGATGGCTCGGACCACCCAGCTGCTCTTCCCATGGCCACTGATAGGGAGTGACAGATGCAAGAAACGTCTCCACACAGTTGGACGTGTCACTGCGAACATCTGAGAAACGGGGATAAATGCCAGGGAACAGCACAGGGAGGAGGTCCCAGCCAGGGAGCCACATGGTGCTTCTGAGCCTTGACTTGGGCTCTTTTGGGAGCCCAGAGAGAGGCCAGGAGGGGGCTACGGGGGACTCCGGGTTCCTGGCAGGGGCTGTGGACACAGCAGTGAAAGAGAATATGGGGGGAGGAGCAGGTTGTGGGGGTCATTGTGAGTCTGGGTTGGGGTGTCTGGGGGCTATCCCAGGGCCCGAGAAGAGAAAGGAAGTGAGGAGCGGAGAGGAAGTGCACACTTACGCAGGATGCGGCCACTCCCACCAGCACAGGATGGCCTGGGCAGGGTCCCTCTGTGCTCCATGCAGCCCCACGTGGAGCTCAGATTCGCAGACCAGAGGCAATGGTGCTGATGGCCCTCAGGGTGTGGAGAAAGCGAGGCTGAGGGAGGGATGCCAGTCGGTACCACGTGTCCTGCGTGGTCCAGGCAGCTCTAGGATCCACGCCTGGGCTCCCCACCCCAGGAGGGGGCACCGCCTCACTGTACACTGGCTGTTTCTTTCCAGGGGGCGGGGAACATGGTCTTTCTGGCTGAAGCTGGCCTGCCAACCTCATGGAGTGGCAGTGTCTGCTTTATATACTGGGGAAATGAATCAAACTTACATATGGCTATCTCCTTCCAGACAAGACGTTCTGTTTGAGGTCAGTGTTTTACACGCCCGAGTACCCCAGCCACGGCCCCCCTCCCACACAGCAATGCTCTGGGCACACGTGTTGATCCCAAAGTGCAGGCTTCACCTGCAGCCTGGGTTGAAGGCCTTGACGTTTTTTAAAAATATGCAAGAAACATAGAACTTTCAAAAGGGCAAAGGCGATTTATTGTATTTTAATATTTCTATTTCACTAAAACTAGTGAAACATGTTTGAAGCTTCTTAAAGGTCACATCTGTCCATTTATTAGAGAAGATTCCCCCGTATTAGATTCAATAGACAGGGTGAAATAGAAGGTGTTCTGATTTTATAGAAACGGATTGCAAGATAGTCATAGCAGTCGCTTTTGCCGAGGAATTTGCTTAGATTTCAAACTTGGGAATATCAGAATTAAATGGGAGAGCATCTGGGAAAGTGCTGAGCCGAGGCCTGGCCAGGGCAGTGCTTGGTGCTTCCCGAAAGATGGCGCAGTGCAGGAAGGAGAGGGGCTTGCCTGGCTGGCGGTACAGGACAGGCGCCCAAGGGGCAGGCCTGTGCGTGTGGCAGGGGAGGGAGAGATGCTCCTGTGGGTTTTTTTTTAAGTTTCTTGGGGTGGGCTGAGGAGGAAGGATGTCCAGGCAGGGGCAGAGTGGGACAGAGGCAGGGAGGGCAGGGTGGTGAGCCCAGGACGGTCTCCGTGGCTTCCTATCGTGCCCAGGTTGCCAGGGATGCAGTGAGATGCGTCTGAGAGAGAACTCAGAATACGAATGTGGAATGCCAGAGTGCATCTGGTTTAATCGACATAACCTTTCAAAAACATGAGTTTCCTAGGATGTTTTGTTTAAAGCCAGAAAACATTACAGAGCCCCTGGCTGAAACTCAGTGTGTGGGGGAGGCAGGAAAAGGGTGAAGTGGGGACAGGCTCTCTGCTCTCCCCACCCGGCCCTGCTGCTTGCTCAAGGCGCAGGAAACCACAGGAATGGGCGTCTGAAGAGCCTGCAGCCTGCCAGTGGGGTTTGGAAAACCCTGGAGCCACCTTTTCCCAGAGCCCCAAGCTAATGAGAGCAGACGTCATTCCCAGGATGGCCAGGAGGCACTCCATTCGTCTCCTCCTGGGTGGATGCAGCATCGCCCTCCTGCCCACGCTTGGAGAGGAGGGTGGCTGGGGCAGGCGTCCAGGTGTCCCAGTGCAGAGCCCTGGTGTGCACCGGCTCAGGGGGCCAGCTCAGTACCAAAGGGAAATTGCACTCCAGGACTGTTGGGCTCTGGGAAGCCCACTCTCCTCTCACTGCACCACACCCTGCTGTTCAGCAGCCCCATCTCTCTCGGGGGACCCCCAAAGCAGTCGTTTAGGCTCCTGGTGGAGCCAGGGAAGGGGGCTGCAGCCACGCCCTCAAAGGGTGGGGAATCATGCTCGGGCATGGCAGGTGGGCTTATCCACGAGGCCCCTCTCCTCCAGCCTCACAGGACCCAGCGTGGTCTCCGCCACCCGCCTGGCCATGCACGCGTTCCACTGCTGTCCTGGTGAGGGAGACTCGCTTCTCCTCAGATGTTCCCCGAGACAGAGAGCTCACTCCTTCCTGGAGGGGAGCCCTTTGCTTGGGAATTCATTTTCCTCCTAAATCATTGTGGGAGCCTCTAACGAGCCCCTGCCCCTCTTGTCCGTCTCTCCCAGCATCCGAGGAATCTTCTGAAAGGGAATGTGCTCTTGTGACTCCCCAATCAAGCCTTAGGTGTCACACCGGCCTCCAAGCTGCTCATCTGTCCCGGGGCCTCTCCGTGTGCCCCCAGGGCTCCCGCCCCAGCCACGTGCTTCCTGCTCCCTGGACACAGCTGCCCTCCTGCCCTCCAGGCCTTTGCCCCTCTGTCTCCAGCCTGTGATGCCCTTGTGCCTCCGAAGGTTTCCCCAAGTTCCACTTGCCCTGTGAACCCCTCCCTGGGCTGCCCGCTGACTCAAATCTGGACTTTCCCTAAAACAAAATGTCATTTGTCCACAAAACATTGGCTGAGCCCCTCGTCCTGTGGCAGGGCCTGAAACTGGGCTCGAGGGTAAAGATGACAGGGCCCCCTCTCTTTGCTGGTACCCAGTGGGCAAGTCACTGTCACTGTGCAGGGATGATCTGCCTCCTTGGGGGTCTCTCCCTAGGCTATGAATCTGTAGGGGCCAGGCCTGCATCTATGCTGGCATCCCCAACAGAGAGGACCCAGACCAATGGGTCTGTCGGATGGGTAGATCAATGGGGAGGAGAACTGTGGAACGTTCTTCTTCATAGTCCCCTAAAATCTGTGCCTGTGACACCCTAAAGCCTACAGGCCATCAGCTCCCTTGTCCAGGAAACAATTTCTATGAATGTAGCCATAGGCATTGTGCTTCTCCAAGCACTTTCCTGAGCTAGCATTAGGACAGAGGATCCCGGCATGACAACTCCCCTGCCCCCGCTCCACCCCCGGGGGCAGACAGGGCCGTGAACCTCGGAGGGAGCACAGAGCATTGGGGGACATCTGGGGAGCCCCCAGGTTAACTCTGAATCCCCACTCCAGCCTGCGACCCCACCACCCACAAGAGTGTGTCTCCACCTGTGTGGGGGCAAGATGTCCACAGACAGAGTCCCCGTGGAAGGGGCAGGGGTTGGTGTCTGGCAGTCACCAGCTGTGTGGCTTCAGGCAAGTCACTGTGTCTCTGAGCCTCAGTGTCTCTGGAAAGTGGGGAAATAACCTGTGAGCCTGGCTGCTCTTCAGTGAGATCCTGTGTGCAGCACGCCTCACGGCACAAGGTGCCTGCCTGGATCCTGCAAGTCCCTGATGGGCAGCAGCACCCCCACCAGGGAGGGGCTTAATCCTTCTTGGCCCTGGTGGCACCACCCCTCTGTGTCATTTGGCATCACCTGACAGACCCCCACTCTAAACAGGAAGGAGAAAGGAGGAAGGGAGGGAGAGGGGAAGAGGGAGAGAAGGGGGAAGGGAGGGAGAGAGAGAAAAAAGGAGAGAGGAGGGAGGGAAGAAGAGGGAGGGAGGGAGACGGGAAGAGGGAGGGAAGGTTTTGGGACATAGCTGCTCACCCTCCATCATTTTTCATAAGGATCCTCTCTTCTTTATCCAAGGTAAAAGTGCTTCCTGGAGAATTCCTAAGAGCAGTGGGAAATGGCAGCCGACTGTGATAACCAGGAGGAAACGCCTGGGGAAGGGCTTTGCAGGGAGGGCAACGGCACATGCAGAGAGCCTGGGTGTATTCAGGGAAAGGAAGCAAGGTCAAGGTGGGCAGGGGCCCCTCCTTCGGGGCCCTGAGGCCGTGGTAGGATTTGGGCTTGACTGTAAGTGTCACGGAAGCATTGGAAAGTTCTGGTGGGGTTGAGGAGCATGGGGGTCAGGGTACCTGCTGGACACCAGGGCCAAGGGTGTGGCCTGCCGGCCCCCACCCAGGTCTGCTGGGGTTCATGTTCTTGCAGTGTGGATTCTCAGTCCATGTCCTCCCCAGGGCCTTCTGCTGGCTCCTGGAAAACCCAGCATTCAGACTCTGAGGGAGACTCCATATGGAGGGGCAGAGGGAAGACGGGCGCAGATGCTTCTCTTTCCAGCGTCCCCATGATTGTTCCCCAGCTGCCCTTGAATGTCCCCCTGGAGCCTGGGGTACCCCCAGCCCAGCCCCCTGGGCACAGTGCACATGAGGCCCCGTTAGGCTCTGCACCTGCTAGGAAGGGGTCAGCCGAGCCTCCTTCCTTATCCCGCCCCACATGGCACGAAGTTGCTGCATGCTTGTTCCTGGAAGCTCTGCACAGCTGTGCCTTCCCGGGAGGCCCAGGAGCCCAGCTCATGTGGACTTGTCCACGGTCCCCAAGGGCTCGCTGAGTCTCTGAGCACACTGAGACGGATGAGCGTGCTGGCCCTAGTGGGGTCTGCCTGGGGTGGCTGTCCTCTGTCCCCTCCTGGGCTTTCCTGTGTCCTGCTGTGGGCCACAGGCCTGGGAGACAGATGGGCAAGGGTGGGAGGGCAAAGGGGGCCACTTTCGAGGAGGGGCGGTATGGGGCGAGGGCGATGTGTTGGAGATGGCTGTGCCCTTACTGGGCATGTTGAGACATGCGCTGGCCGCCCACACATGCATGTTCACTGGAGATTTGGGGCAGGCCCCTTGTGTCCTGGTGTGACTTTGGAGCCACCACCGGCTCTGCCACCTTCCAGCTGTGAGGCCTTAGCATACCCTCCACCCCTCAGAGCCTCAGCCTCCTCATGTGTACAATGGGACCCCATCCTGGGGCTGTTTGCCAAGCGAGGCCACCCTCAGTGTCCCCTCCCGGGTGAGCCCTGTCCAGGCCACCCTCAGTATCCACTCCTGGGTAAGCCCTGTCCAGGCTACTCAGCCTTTTGTCCCTTGGGGATCTGGTGGTCGGCCATTCATTCACTTGTTCACTGATTCATTCCACACATACTCCCTGGCACCAAGGTCTGAGCTGAGCTCTGTGGGGCACAGAAGGCTCACAAGTGGCCCTGTCTTTGAGGAGCTTTGGACTGAAGAGACAATGACAGATGAGCATAGTAAGTGTTGGGCCAGGGGCTTGGAGCCCAGAGGCCACTCCCCACTCAGTCTGGCATCAGGGAGGGCTTCCTGGAGGAAATGGCACTTGAGCTGAGTCTTCATGTCAAATTGGGGTTTGCTTTGACTGAGGCTGTGTATCGTAAATATTTTTCTGTTTCTTTCTCATCTTCATGTTGCTGGCACTCTTTGTGCCTGGGTTTTCACATAGAGAGGGCTGCGTGCTGTGCTCATTTGCAGTTTCCTTGTTCAGGTCGATAGGGTAGAAGTTGCTGTCCGCCATTCAGTCATCCAGGGTGCGCTGAGTCCGCGTGGGCTGGGAAAGCTCGGGGATGGCCCGGGACATGCAGGGAACCCTCAGACCGGCCTTGGCCTCTGCCAACAACCCCCGGCTGCACATTGACAACCCTCCTCCCAGGAGCCGCTCAGCCTGGAACAACCTCCGACCTTCTCAGGCCCTGCCCTCAGCCACACCACTCTCCTCTGCAGGTGTTTGAGGAAGAGCATCACATCCTGTACCTGGACCACGGCGGCGTGATCGTGGCCATCAAAGACACCTCCATCCCTTTGAAGATCCTCAAGTAATGGCGTCTGCTAGCCCCGGGGCAGGGAGGGCAGGCTGGGGCTCTTTCTTTCCACCTGGGAACCCTCTCAGACTAGTCCCCAGAATGTCCTCCCCTCGGGGACACATGATCACAGAGCAACTGCACTAAATCCTAAAGACCGGGGCTGGGACACACCTCACAAACCTTTCCTGAGGGGTCGTGGAGATGGACTTCGTCTTGCCATCGGGAGACAGGCACAGAGGGAGGCCCCACCCCAGCCTGGGGAGCAGGGAGGGCCTTCCCCGAGGAGGTGAGGAATTAGTAAAGTGCAGGGATTGGGACCAGGTGACCCAGACAAGGAAGCCAGCAGCATATGCCCAGGTGAGAGGGTTGGCAGCTGAAGGCCGTCGTGGGGAAGGGAGGGCAGGCGTGAACTCGGGACCCAGAAGGCACAGCCGGAGCAGCTGCCAGGAAGCCAGTATCACTGTAGTCTGAAAAAGAGATTACTCAACTGCCAGATGGTGGCACTACAATACCGGCCCTACCACGGGCCTGGCAACGCCTAGGCCAAGCTCAGGCCATGGGTGTGGCCATTCAGGGGAGGCAAAGTGTCTGTGTGGTTCCCAGAAAACACCCCCAGGGCAGTACAATGCAGATAAGCAGATGTAACATAAGCAGATGTGATATGAGCAGATGTGACATAAGCAGATGTGGTATCACCTGCACTGGCAAGGTTGGCTAGTGCAGCCTCCGCCCCTCCAGCTGGACCCGCCGGGCAGAGTCCCAGACACAGGGAGCTTTCCAGCCCACCCCAGAGATGCTGACGATCTTCTCCTGGCAGGTTCAGTGTGGACGAGGGCCTCACCTGGAGCACGCACAACTTCACCAGCACCTCGGTGTTTGTGGACGGGCTGCTGAGTGAGCCAGGGGACGAGACGCTGGTCATGACGTGAGTGCGGGGACCGGGGAGTGGGCACTGGTGGCAGGGCAGAGCCATGCTGGGCCTCCCTGGGCCTACTGTGTCCTTCACCCCCCAGCCACCTGGGAATCAGGGACATCTGCCACCTGCCCCAGGTCCCCTTGCTGGTGAGGACAGGACCGAGGCTCCAGGCCGGCTCCACCATGGCCACGGCACCTCTTGAGCCGGTGATTATATCATGAGTATTGCTATCTACTGGCACCTTTCTCAGCCATATGGCATGAAGGTCATATGGCTTAGGGCCTGACACCCAGACAGATCATCATAGGGCAGAGCTGGCTGTGACCCTCTCGTCACCCATCCCGGGGTCTGAGGCTGCAGCACTGGCCCTGCCCGGCTTCCTTCTGCTCAGCCCCAGCTTGGGCCAAAAAAGGCACCATGAGGGGCAAAGGGGCCTCAGGAGCCTCTGTCGTTCAGAGCCTCTCTGGCCCAGGAGCAGAGACGCTTAGGACAGTGGGGACATGCGGCGTTCGACTGCACCGCTGCGGCCGCAATGGGAGACAGCCGTGCCCAGAAACCAGTGAAGTGAAGGTTCCTCTGGGTGCCCTCGAACATGGGCCCCTGTGAGCCCAGCTGATTCACAGGCTGGGCGAGGCCTGTGTGTCTAACGGCTCCTGCGACCCCGCGCTGTGGCACGGTGAGGCCACCGTGTCCTCTTCCTGCCTTTCACGGTGATGCCTGAGATATCTGAATAGTGTGTCCCAAATTCCTGTTTCCCGGAACCATGAATGGGACCTTATTTGGAAATGGGGTTATTGTCAATGTAATTAAGCCAAGATGAGGCCATGGAGTAGGGCGGACCCTGATCCAATGACTGTGTCCTTACAAGAGGACACAGAGACACAGGCCTTGGGGGAGGAGGCCGGGGAGGGAGGAGGCATGGAGTGGAGCTGTGCAGCTGCAAGCCCAGGAACACCCAGGGCCCCCAGGAGCTGGAAGGGGCAGGAAGCCTCCGCCTCTAGAGCCTCTAGAGGGAGCTCAGCCCTGCCGACCCCTGGATTTCAGCCTTCTGGCCTCCAGAGCGCTGAGAGAGCATGTGAGCAATGCTTCAGGGTGGGAGAGCATGTGTGTGATGACTGAAGCCAGCAGAGTTCATGGTAATTTGCCACAGTAGCCCCACGAGGCTGCCGCGACAGCCCACAGCTCTTCCACCTCAAGGCCTAGGCACAGGGAGATTGGACACCTGGACTTTGAACACCTTGTCCTCTGCTCTGTCCCTTCTAGAGCAGGCAGGACCTGCCCTACCCATTTCCCACAGAAGAGCTGGGCACTGTGCCCCTCACCCTCGCCCACTCGGCTGGAGTGGCCATGTGCTCTGTGGCAGGTGTGGATCTATGGACTGGGACTACACTCTGGCTGGGTTCAGCAGGAAGTGCTGGCCTGGCTCATTCACCAGTTCACACCCTGAGTTTTCCCTTCCAGCTGGCAATGGGCCTTCACACCCTCGACCCTGAGTGGCTCTTCCACTGGCCCCTGAATGCCCCAGAGGGGCCCACGTGGATAAGCCGCCCAAGAGTGCCTGACCCCAGCCTCTATCTCCCTCCATGTGCCCCACCCTCCCCAGCAGGCGCACAGCTCCCAGGAGGCCACGGGAGGACAGCTCCAGGCTGTGGGGAGCAGGCCTGGTTTTGGAAAGAAACTGCCCAGCTGGGACAATGCTGCCCATCCTGCCCAGGCTGGCCTCTGCCTGGACAGGGATGAGGCTGGGCTCTGTCTGGGCAGGGATGAGGCTGGGCTCCGCCTGGGCAGGGATGAGGCTGGGCTCTGCCTGGACAGAGATGAGGCTGGGCTCTGTCTGGGCAGGGATGAGGCTGGGCTCCGCCTGGACAGAGAAGAGGCTGGGCTCCGTCTGGGCAGGGATGAGGCTGGGCTCCGTCTGGGCAGGGATGAGGCTGGGCTCCGTCTGGGCAGGGATGAGGCTGCGCTCCGCCTGGGCAGGGATGAGGCTGGGCTCCGCCTGGGCAGGGATGAGGCTGGGCTCCGTCTGGGCAGGGATGAGGCTGGGCTCCGTCTGGGCAGGGATGAGGCTGGGCTCCGTCTGGGCAGGGATGAGGCTGGGCTCTGTCTGGGCAGGGATGAGGCTGGGCTCTGCCTGGACAGAGATGAGGCTGGGCTCTGTCTGGGCAGGGATGAGGCTGGGCAGGGATGAGGCTGGGCTCTGCCTGGACAGAGATGAGGCTGGGCTCCGCCTGGGCAGGGATGAGGCTGGGCTCTGTCTGGGCAGGGATGAGGCTGGGCTCTGCCTGGACAGACATGAGGCTGGGCTCTGTCTGGGCAGGGATGAGGCTGGGCAGGGATGAGGCTGGCCTCTGCCTGGACAGGGATGAGGCTGGGCTCTGCCTGGGCAGGGATGAGGCTGGGCTCCTCCTGGGCAGGGATGAGGCTGGGCTCTGCCTGGACAGAGATGAGGCTGGGCTCTGCCTGGGCAGGGATGAGGCTGGGCTCTGCCTGGACAGAGATGAGGCTGGGCTCTGTCTGGGCAGGGATGAGGCTGGGCTCTGTCTGGGCAGGGATGAGGCTGGACTCTGCAGGGCTAGAGTATGTCCCCTCGTTTGTTGGGGAGGTTGGGCAGACGCAACCCCTGAGCTCCCCTGGCTGCTGTGGCTGGGAGACACCACCACTGACCCCTGCTGCTTTCCTGCTCACCACCCGTCACCCCCACCCACCCTCAACCAGCTCTGCTGCTTGACAATTAAAGAAACTGAGGCTCTGAGAGGGGAGGTACCTTGAGCAAAACCTGTGGCCAAGTCCAGCCCATGTGGGCACTCCAGGGCAGCTCTGTGGGCAGCAGCCTGTCCTCTCCGGGCCGAGCAGAGGTGGGACCCCCTATGAGGATGCTCTTCTGCTCTGCCATCATCCAATGCACGTTTATTGAGCACCTATTATGTGCCAGGTGCTGTTTGAGGTGCCAGGAGTGTTGGCAACACAGCACACTCAGCCCTGGCTTTAGGGACCTCTGATCATGGAGAACGGGAACTTGTCCTCACACTCAGAGGACACCTAGTCTGCCTCCCAGCTCCTGGCCAAGGAGGATGGAAGCTGGACGTCGGATTTAGCAACAAGAAGCCATCAGTTCCAGCTGAGCCAGGGTGGGAAACCAGGTTTCGGGAAACTGAGATTGCGTGGGGCACAAGGACAGGGAAGAAGTGGTGAGTGTGGACCCCTCTCAGGGTATTTAAGATGAGCGGGTCAGCAACAGCGCGAATTCCTGCCGCCTTCAATTCAGTCCCAGCCCAGAAGGGCCTTCCCTGCCACCAGGCCTGGGCTGCCTGGCCCTCACCCCTTCGAGGATCTGATCCCATCTGCAGGGTTGCCCTTGCTGGTGGCTGTGCCCTGCCCCAGGCTCCAGGAGGGACTGGTTCTGCTGGCTTCACTGGTGCGTCCCCAGGCCACGCACAGCACCAGGCATGGAAGAGGCGCTTGATGCTCAGTGAATGTGGCTTGAATAAATGGGTGGTGATGCACCTGTGAGGATGACACAGGGGTGGAGACAGACGCTCATGGGGATGAGCTTGTGCAAGCACCGCCTGCAGGGGCCTGGCTGGGGAGAGGTGAGCTGGGCCCATCACCCCCAGGACCAGGGCCCAGCCAGCACAGCTCACACAGCTCCGCCCCCGTCTCCAAATCAGGATGCTTCTCGCCAGGCTGGTGTCCCTGGACAGTGGACTGCACACGCTGCACCTTGGTTTCCACAGCCCCGAAACTGGGAAATGAGTCGGCTTGAGGAGCTGTCAGGAGGATTCCGGGAAGCAGAACGTCTGTGCCCAGGAAATGACATTTCCCTTCCAGAGACCTGGGCTTCCTTGTCTGTAGCATGGGGACTTAAACTCCACGAGGTCGCCGCAAATGAGCCCTCAACTGATGCTCACCTGTGATGCTTGGGGCCTTCTTGCTTCCTGGGTGATGAGCAAGAAATCACCTGCTTAGACTCTGATTCTAGTATAGAGGCCTGGCTTCCGCCCACTCCACAGCAGACAGACAGGTCCCGGCTGGCCTTCCCAGGCCATGCATTGTGGTGGGATTGAGGGGATGCTTGGGACAGCTCTGCTTCCCAGCTGGGGTCCCGGGTGGGTGGGAGCGTTATTCCCAAGAAGGCGAGGGCCCCCTTCACTGGTCTCACTGAACATCCAGTACCCGCCACGGGTGGGTCCCGCTGGCCGGCCGACCTTTGATCCTGTATCCGTGTGTTCTCGATGGCATGCGATGGTGCTTCTGGGTGGTCTTGTCCTTCAGCGCCCCGGGAGAACAGTGAGCCCCTTCCCCTCCCACAGTCTGGGGGGCGTCTTCCCCTTCCTGGACCCTCTGCCCCAAGTCCTCCCTCCGTCTTTACCAATATGGCCTCCTGCGACAGGGGCTGCAACGCAGCTTTAGTGAGCGCCCCACTGCATACTACGGGCTGTTTTCATACGTGACTTCAGGCCATTCTCATAAGAAATGTAGACAGATTGATTTATTCCTCCGTTTTTAGAGGTGCCAACACGTCTCAAAGAATTCATCCCTGAGGGAGTGGTGGGAGGATGGGGACCCTGGGAGCCTGTCCTGTAAAAATTGGGTGGGGATAATCACCCTTCCTGTTCTTTAAGGGTCCTGATGTTTGCCGTTTTCCCTGAACAGTTAATTCCTGCTCTGGCCAGGCCCTGGATGCATAAAATCCTTCATGACTTTTGCCCAGTCTCGTGCCCCCGGAGGCCGTGGTCTGGGACAGAATGGGATGGTCCTGCCTTTTCCTGCAGCTGCAGGACCTCCTGTGGCCTTTACGGGGATGGGGAGTGAGGGAGGAAGGGAGTCCCGCCACCAGGCACTCTGCCTGCACTCTGTTTGTGTTGTGGGCCTTTCATGTGGTCAAGCCGTTCCTGAGGCCAGAACCCGCAGAGCCGCGGGGGGCCAGCAGTGCAGGGGTGAGGGCGGCCCTTACTCCTCACACAGAGGTTGACAGCCTTCTCCGGGCCTCAGCTTACCTGGCCAAGAGATGGGAGTGCTGTCCATCCGGGAGCCGTGAATGAGCCTGTCTCTGCAGGGTGCCAAGCCCTTCGCCCCGGCTGTCATGAGGTCTGAGCCTTGGTTAGGCCCCAGAGATGACCCAGCCTTCATCCCCCACCCACAGGTGAGGCATTTTATCCCAGAAGGATAATGGCCGAATTCACAGCCAGGTGCTATAACCTTTTAAGTTATTTTTCAAGCAACAGAACAGTTCCTCCAGACCCCCTGGTTCACAGTGCTGCATCTTCAGACAGCTTCCCAGTCCCAGTGACATACAAATAACTCAAACTGCAGGAGAGGGAACACGCTGGCAGGTCAGACTCAAAGTCCCTCTGCAGGGGTCTGTACGGGAGCTGCCCTGCCGGAGAGTTCCCACAGCCACAGGCTCAGCTTTCGGCCACTCTGTCCTTCCCGGATAACTGTTTGGTACAAATCTGCCCAAAGGCCACCTCTAACCTGGCCAGAGGCAACTTTTGGGACACTTTCCTGGCACCAGTCACTTTCACCTGCCTCTCTTTCCCCACAGTGCAGCCTCAGAGCAGGGAGGGGTCCCCAGGCCCTGGGCTTGGGCGAGAGGTGGAGTGGAGGCTCCCAGAGCCTTCCCTGGCTACATGGTTCACCCCTCGCAGCGTGGCCCATTTTTTCCTCGTTACCTGCAAAGTAATATCTAGACCCCTTCGGCACCTCTTTCCTAAGACCCAGAATTAACTAGATGGCAGCTCTTTCTCATGGTATCAGCTGAGGGTTGAGGTTTCATAAAAGGCAGGGCTTCAGGGACATGCAGGGGGTTAATTAGTCAACCAAACCAGCCTCTCTGCTCTGCCCCAGCTCAGAACAGCGGTGAGACTGAGGCCTCCTGGGGGTCTCTGCGACCAATGGAGCCCCAGTGTCATGTTTCTGTACCCGCCATGTTTCTGCGCAAAGCCTCACAGCTCCAGAGCCACCAGCCCGGGTTCCAACGCCGCCCCTCCAGGAGGTGGCCTGAAGCTGTGCTGCCCTGGCCGGGTCCCTTGCCTCAGCCTCAGTTTCCTTGTCTGTAAAAGGGGGCTTGGCAAGGAGGAAATGGGGGAATACAAGGTCACGCCTGGGCCCGGCCTGCAGTGGGTGCTCCGTATGCACCAGTGGCTGTTGCTGCTGCTATACCTTCCATAATGCCACAGGCCACAGGAGAGTGTGAGGATGCTCTCAGGGATCCAGAAGTTTCCCCTAAAAAATCATTTCTTAAGTGAGAGAAGACCCTCAGATGCTGTTTAAGAGACCAATGCCCCAGGCATTGTTTGGACAGCGATGTTGAAGGAAGATCCCAGTGTGTTGAGTTGGGGCTCTCCAATGTTGAGGCCGTCCAAGTGGGGTCCATCTGGAGACAGATGGCACCCTCATCCCAATCACGGGTGCCCTGGAGCCAAGACCACTCACAGCCGGGGCCACCGTGCAGGCCCACAAGATTCCTCTGTTGGAAACAGTGTCTGCAGAAGCGGACGGACGCGGCAGAGTCACAGCCGTACCTGGGGGCCTTCCCCTGTCCTTGGTGGGTGTTGCCACTAGCAGCTAGGAGGGCTCCCAGGCCGAGGGCTCAAGCCCCATTTCCCCACTCCTCTGAGAAAGAATGGTCTGGGGCTCCTGAACCCCACGCACAGAGAAGAAAGCAGATGGGACTGTGAGCCCAGAACCAGGGGCCTGGCTGGAATGAGGCCTGGCAGCGACGTGGCAGGAATGCGGGATGGAACCAGCCTGGCTGCTCCCTCGACGAGCTGGCCTTAGGGAGCACAGGGAGGCAGGGTCCCTGGGGGGAAGGTCCAGCTAAGACAGAGGGAGGCCCCATGCTCAGCTTGCAGAGGCTTAGGGTTTCATCAAACAAAGACAATAGTGTCTGCCTCTTGGGACTGTTCTGGAGAGTGGAGGCAAATGCGAGGTCACAGATGTAATTCAAGCATGGACCGCCGCAGGCTTGCCTGGCTGAGAGGTGCCCCGTGGAGCCAAATCTTCAAATATCAGCCTCAGATGCTCAGACCCAGCTGTCATGTCTCAGAAATACCCTACAAAACCTCTTTCAACACCTCCCTAGAATGGGGTTGTCCTTTCAGCTCATCATGGGCCACCCCAAGTATCCATCCCCAGTTGGGGGTGCTCAGACAGGGACCAGACTGGAGCAGCGTGCATCACCTCCCCGACCCAGATGCTTGGCCTCTGGTAATATGGCCGGAGCACCACAAGCTGGACTGGAGAAGGCCCAGGGAAGAGCAGGCTGGGCCCACCTTCTGGGTGGTCTTTGGAGCCTAAGTGTGTGGTACTGAGGGATGGAGTGGAAGGCACTCAGGCAGCAGCCCTCCCAGAGAGGGAGAAAGCGAGGCACCTGAGTGCCATTCTGAGTGATGGGCACACAGCAATGACTGCTGACTGCAAGGAGGGAGAAGGAACAGCACAAACAAGCTGTGTGACCTTGGGCAAGTTACTCAACCTCTCTGTGCCTCGGCTTTCCATTCTGTAAAACGGGCGGACCCGGCCTACCAGGCTGTGCATGCATAGCTTCCAGCACCCATGGATGCCGCAGGGTGCCTCCCCACCTCCAAGAAGTCTTCAGGGAATCCCCAGCACCTTTAGATGTCCAGGCCTCCTGTGGGCTTTTCTAGACCCTTCTCGGTCATGGAGCTACCTGGGCTGAGGGTCCTCAGCCACACTCAGGGAGTGTGGGGCCACAGGCTCTACCCCAGCCCATGGAGTCCAGTGTGCTTGGGGTTCAGGATGTTCAGATCTTAGGAAGGTAACACAGGCCTGTACCATACATGACACCCTAAGTGGCCAGCCTCCCTATTCTGTCTTCCGCCTCTTCCCCCACCCACCTAGGCTGCGACGGGCCAACCTTGCTCATCCTGTGGGCTCTGCGCTGAGCCTGCTGACTTGTTATTTCTCTTTGAATCGCCACCTCTACTAGGGAGCAAATGCCCTGTGGCCCAGCGATAGAAAGCTGGGTTTCTGCAGCACGGAACCCTCACACGGTCAGGCTGGGAGAAAGCCAGGGAGAAGCCAGACAGCTGCAGATGCAGCCACCTGACCACAGATCATTCCGCAAAACAATGCAAGGACCACTGTGGGGGCCGTGGAAGGGCTCCCAACTCTGCTGTGGATCTGGGCCTCCTTCCCTGTCCATCAAGCGGGGCCACTGGGGGCCAACCAGAGCGACTCACGCAGTGCAATTGACAAGTCATAGATCACAGGTGGTAGTTGTGGGAATATTCACGCCGAAGCCTACAGAGCACGTGTGCAGGGCCAGGCTCGGTGACCGGGGCAGCCTCGCTCTGATCTCCAGCAAGGGCAGGAGAAGGATATCTGTGCCCATGGTACAGGTAGGAACAGAGTCCAGAGGGGACATGATTTGCACAGTAGGACAAGGCCTAATGAAGGTGGTTTTCTCTCCCTTCCCTCCTCTTCCCACCCCAGGGTCTTTGGCCACATCAGCTTCCGCTCCGATTGGGAGCTGGTCAAGGTGGACTTCCGGCCCTCATTCTCCAGGCAGTGCGGCGAGGAGGACTACAGCTCCTGGGAGCTCTCCAACCTGCAGGTGGGCCGGCATGAGGCTGGGATCGGGCAGGTGGGGTACAGACTGCAAACACAGGCCCACTCTGCCTGCCAAAGTCCTCCCCTGCAAGGCCGCAGGGCACCTCCCCGCCTCCAAGAAGTCTTCAGGGAATCCCCAGCGCCTTGAGATGTCCAGGCCTCCTGTGGGCTTTTCCAGACCCTTCTCGGTCATGGAGCTACCTGGGCTGAGGGTCCTCAGCCACACTCGGGGAGTGTGGGGCTACAGGGGCTACAGTCTCTACTCCAGCCCATGGAGTCCAGTATGCTTGGGGTTCAGGATGTTCAGATCTTAGGAAGGTAACACAGGCCTGTACCATACATGACATTGGGGTCTGGGTGTGGAGTGGGGTCTGGGGCAAGCCCACACTGTAATTGAGACACATAACTGTTTCTACAGCAAATGTGTAATATGGACACTAAGAGGAGTATAAAGACCATCAGTGGCCCATCTGTAGTTCCAATCAGGCTGTGCTGCTGGCAGTGTGGTGGGGAAGCCTGGGATTTCAGAGTGTGGGGGCCTGGAACTGCTCGGGGGTGGGTGGCCCTGTTGAAGAAATGATTTAATGGTACTTGTTAAAGCGCGGGGTGGAAGACTTTACTCAAGACCATCACGGTGGGTACAGGGACCCTCTCAAAGGAGAGATTGGGCTCAACTTGAATTCAGCATGGGCAAATGGGAGTTCAAAGCCAAGGTCAGTGGGTGGAAACTGACTAAGAGGAAACACCAGGCATCAGAGAATTTGACATCACCTGGGGGGCAGTGGGGGATGAGGAAGCCTATCGGATAGGGAGGGCGATCGGATATCAAGGGTGGGCGGTGCCTGCCAAACTGCCTTAGCAGGGTGCATTGCTTAAGCTGGATTTCACAAGGAAGTGCTCAGATGGGCCTAGGAGGAGGTTTAGGAGCTTGAATACAGGCCACCGGGCATCCTCACTGGCCCCACCCCTGTCACTGCCACAGCAGCTGTTGCAGGGAGATGGGGGTAGGCCTGTCTTGTCCTGATTGTCCCCTGAGGACCCACTGTGTGCCTGTGAGCCCTCGAGGGCGTGGCTCAGCCCAGCTCCCACACAGCAGCTGAGGGGACGAGGGGAACCTCAAAAGGGCTGCACTTCCAGCAGCTCTGCGACCCCTCGGGCCCAGCCAGGGCTGCACACAGGAGGGGCTCAGTGAATGCCCATGGGTTGGGATGAGAGGGAGGCTTCCCCAACTTGACTGCAGACATGTCACGCCCCATTATGGGCCTCAGTTTCCCCATCTGTAACCTGAGCCATCAGCCATCTTCAGGCTCTGGCAGCCTCAGCGGCACAAGGCCTTGTAGAGCAGTTGCCCTGTCTCAGGCAGCTCCTTACCCTGATGTTCCTGCTGCAGGGCGACCGCTGTATCATGGGCCAGCAGAGAAGTTTCCGGAAAAGAAAGTCCACGTCCTGGTGCATCAAGGGGAGGAGCTTCACGTCGGCGCTCACGTCCCGCGTGTGCGAGTGCCGGGACTCGGACTTCCTGTGGTGAGCGACGGGCTCCTGGCCACGAGGCCTCAGGCGCTGCTTGAGCATCCTCACAGCATGGCGGCCACTTCCCTCAGAGTGAGGGAGGAAGCCTCAGCGCCTTTTATAACCTGGTGTCACAGTCGCACACTGCCACTTCTGCCTCATTCCATCTGTTAGAACCAAGTCACCAAGACCAGCCCACACTCCAGGAAGGAGCTTTAAGGAATTTGTGGGTGCATTTTTAAACCTTCTCAGTGGCTGCTCACAGGCAGGAGGAGAAAGTGAGGAACAGGTCAGGGCATCTTGGGGACGTGCTGCACCCACCCCAGCCCTTCTCCATCCAGGGACTCTGCTGAAAGCCACCCGACCTGTCCCCTGCTATTCTCAAAAGCTGCCTGTGACTGCCCAGTGCCCACAGGACAATTTGGCTAACAGCTCACCCACCTGCCACCTCACCCCTCCTCATCATGCCCCCTGGCATTGCAGCCTCCTCCACCTGTACTGGTGCTGCTCAGGCTGGGCCCTGCCAGCAGTGCCTCTCCCTCTCTTTCCCTACCTGTCTCTGTCCATCCTTTGAGATTTGCTCACCTCCTCCAGGCAGCCCTCCAGGTTTCTCTGAGTTCACAGCATCCCTTTGCCTCCCTTGTTACCCTGTGTGCCCATCTGGGATGGGGCTGTGGGTGTTCCTTGATGTCCTCACAGATGGGTGCATAGCAGGCCCTTGACATGAGGTTCCCTTCTCAGCTCCCCCAGATTTCACCCCAACCCTGGGTGACTCCGGTTCCCACCTGTGCCCGTCACTTACCACTACTCTTCCCTCCTCCCAGCGACTACGGATTTGAGCGCTCCTCCTCCTCAGAGTCCAGCACCAACAAGTGCTCTGCCAACTTCTGGTTTAACCCATTGTCCCCGCCTGACGACTGTGCCCTGGGCCAGACCTACACCAGCAGCCTTGGGTGAGTGTGGGTGCGGGCCTCTCCCTGCCTAAATCCGGGGGCAGAGCTGTGGTGCAGCCCCGAAACCACGCCTTCCTGGCTGGTGCCTGCAGCTCCCAACTCCCAAGTGGAGTCGGGGAAAGAGAGGTCAAAGTTGAGGATGCCCCACGCTCACAGCACAGAGCCTGGCTGCGGTGCTCATATGAGTCACCAGACATCATGAGTGAATGACCTTAGCTCCCAGGCCAAAGGAACCCACAGGGTTCTCCCATCTGAGCCCACATGGGCCAGTGCCAGGAGAAAGCTGCCTTGAGTTGGCTCTGGACAGAGAACAATAGACAGAAAAGGTCCAAGGTGCCCATGGCTCACACCTGCTGCAGCACGTCTTCCCCTGGTCTTTCTGAGCCTCTGCAGTGCTAGGACCCTTCTCCATTTACCGGTGCCCAGTAAGCCAGGCTCTCCCCATTCACCAAGGCTTGGGTGCTGGAGGTGCTCCTGCTGCCTGCAGGTCTCAGCTTAAATGGCACTTCCTCCAGGAAGCCTTCCCTGACCACCCACTCCTGACCCCGAGCCTGCCTCTGTCACAGCACAAATCCCAGTTATTGTCATCACTCACCTAATTGTCCTCCTTGCTGAACTGTAAGCTCCACAACACACAGTAGGTGTTCCTTCAGTCTGTGGTTTGCTGAATACAAGCTGTGCATGAGGGGAAGGCATCACCAAGTGCAAGCAGTTACGATGCTTTTCCTCCACCAGAGGCTGGACATACTGCTATGAAGGATTCAATTCATGTAAAATGTTAGGTACATAAAAGCTGTGAGCCTTCAGCTTTAGGAGGTCCCAAACGTGCTCCGTCAGAAAGTCCCAATTTCCTCATTTCTCTTTGAGGACATTTTTCAGAGAGGAAGAGAAAAGCCCTTGGGCTTGTTAGAAAATCCCCATTACTTCCCCTGAGGGAACTTGAGGAAACAGGAGGCAGGACCAGAAATTGCAGGCTTTGGCCTCACCAGCATGTCTCCTGCCATCCACCCACCCATCCATGCAATCACTCGTTCATCTCCCATCTACCCATTTATCCACCCATCATCCAGTTAGCCATCATCTGTTCATTTCTCCATCCATTCATTCATCCATACGTCTTTCCATTCATCCTTCCATTCTCCCAGGCATTCAACTACTATCCATGCATCCATCTATCCATTCAGTTACCCATCCATCCATTCATCTATCCATCCACCATCCATCTATTCATTCACCATCCATCAATCTATCCATCCATTCACCTATCCATCTATCTACCCATCAATTCATCCACTATCCACCCACCCATCTGTCCATCCATCCATCTACCCATCCATCTATCCATCCACCATCTATCTATTCATTCATTCACCGTCCATCCATCCATCCATCCATCTACTTATCTACCCATCTGTCTACCCATGCACCTATGTATCATGAAGCTGCAGTGGTTGCACATCCACCTGGGCTTGACAACAGGGACTCTTGTCTGAAGTGTCAGAGCCAGGATCTTGATCAAGACAAAGGATTTCATCTCATACCATCTGCACGCTGTAGGTGCCATGGGTGGGTGGCCCTTAGAGAAGGGTATTTTCTTTCAAAGCACTAATGAAATGGGCCTGTGCATGATCAACTTCTGAATGCTTATTCAGTGGCAGAGCCATCTGGGAGAATTTGGCCCTGAGGGCAAGAGGGGGGATCAGCCTTGGGGAGACAGGTACCCCCAGCACCTTGGCAGCAATGCCACTTTCACAGACGCATAGTGTAGCCTGAGGGAGCTTCACAAGTAGCAAGCTGGATGAGGCCACCCCTTTTAGGGATCTCCTAAAAGGTTGCCCAGGGCCTCTCTCCAGCCTCGTGCCACACCCGCTCCTCCTCCAGGCTCAGACCCACCCTAGGGCCTTTGCACATGTTGTTCCCATGGCCTGGGATGCTCTTTCTTCTCCTGCTCATCCTCCCATTCTCGCTGAAAGCCCCTTTGTCAGGGTCCAGGTCCCCAGGGATGCCCCAGCCAGCGCCATCACAGCTGTGGTTTCACTCTGACGTGATCTGCTCAGGTCCGCCTCTGCCTCTCCACTAGAGGGTCTGCTCTGCACAGCATCTAGGGGCTGCATGCGATCACCCCCATTCCCACTACCTGGCCCATAATAGATGCTCAGTAAATAGGTTTCTCATGAACGCAGTGATTAGTCACGAATCGCCCAATCCAGTTCTCTCAAGGGAACAGGGAGACGGAGCCCAGGAGGAGGGGTGTGTGTGCCCATGGTTACGGCCACACTGTGAGCCAGTGGCGAGGTGGAGGCAGGACCCCAGGCCCTCTTGGGCACTCTGTCCTCCACCTTTCTCAGCAAGACCGTGAAATTGAAACTGGCTGCTTAAACAGCCCCTCTGCAGCACTAACGGTGGCTGTTACTGTTACTGTGAGTAATATGATCAGACCACGGAGATGCCAGCGCCTCCGAAGCACATCCTGCCACCATCAGTCCTTCTTCCTCTGAGCCTCAGTGTTCTCATCTCTAAAATGGGGCTGTAACAGCAATCAGGTGGAGTCAGGAGGTGACTGGGAGTTAGCAAGTAGAGTCCTAGGGGTGGGAAGCCAAGTGCCACCTCTGGGTGGCAAGCACGTCCCTCCCCAGACTATGGGGCCCCATCCCTTGCCACCTGTCTGAAGCGGACCCTGACCCTCTCTTGTCAATCCAGGTACCGGAAAGTGGTGTCCAACGTGTGTGAGGGTGGGGTGGACATGCAGCAGAGTCAGGTGCAGCTGCAGTGCCCCCTCACGCCGCCCCGGGGCCTGCAGGTCAGCATTCAAGGCGAGGCGGTGGCCGTGCGGCCTGGAGAGGACGTCCTGTTTGTGGTGCGGCAGGAGCAGGTGAGTGAGCACCTCCCAGCAGGCTCCTGGGACTGTCGGGCAGGGGCGGCTCCAACTGGGCACGCAGAAGGCACGGTGAGGGTGTCTCCTCCACCTAGAAGTGGCTCAGGGCATCGTCATCAGCCAGCCTGTCCAGACTGAAGGAGGCAGCAGGGGGCTGGAAATCCGCTTCCCGAGTCGAGACCAGCATTTAACAATGAAAGAGACATGAAGGAGAATAGAGTAGGACGTAGGGGGTATTAGGGTCCCCGCAGAGCAGAAGGAGACGTGGTTTCACACATCGGGTGGGGGAGGGTGTAGTTACTGGCCTTGGTATAAAATGTATTCATTCCCGTGGGTGGTAATACATTTTTAAAGCCTGTAATTATATTGATTTAGTTAATTTGGGATCTTATGAAAAACAGAAAGTTAAAAACGCTATTACTTATAATTACACAACCAAAAATAAATCCTGTGTGTGCATGGACAGATACAGATATAAATACTCACACAAACACAGATAGAAATTTCCTCCCAGCCTCCCAGGCTTGCTTTTTTTGCTTTAGAACAAGTGTTATATTTTCTTCTGACGTTAAAAATAATGAATGTTCATTGTAGAACATTTGGAAAACACACACAAAATATCAAGAGTATAAATATGTCTCAAAAAGCCCCCCAGTCCTCCGTGGTAACAACTGTTAGTTTTTTGTATTTCCTTCTAGTCCTTTTAAATTAATTTGTAACATGCTTATTTTTCTGATTGTTGAATAAACTAATGCTCATTGTAGCAAATTCAAAAACAAAACCTAGAAAAACTTACAAGCATTGCAGAAAATTCGAGATGACAGAAAAGGGCAAAAGAGGGTTCGATGCATCCGTGTCGCACCCGGAGGGTGAGCGCCTAGGACCCTGGGCTCTCTCCCGGCACGCAGCTTTCCTGGACACTTGGCTCTCCGGTGAACAGTACGGGAGATGCAGCTAGTGCGGCTTCACAGTGATGTGTGTCCTGTTTAAATGTCCTTCAAAATACGGTGCCAAGGTGGGGTGGGATGTTGGTGACAAAGGTCTTTGGAGTTGGAAAGCAGGGAGCCTGGTCTAAGGCAAACATGGAAACTGAGGCCCAAGACGACGCAGAGCAGTGCTTGCCCAGCGCCTCCGTGGCGGGCGCTGTGCACGAGCCACTGCCTGTACTCCTGGCCCCACCTCAAGTGGCGTCCTCTTGCCAACCTGCTTTATAGCTGGGGAAACTGAGGCTCGGACAGAGAAGTCACTCTCCCAAGGCCACACGGGAATGAGTGGCAGGGCTGGCGTTGGGGTCCCTGGCCCCTAGACTCTACGTGGACAGAGACTGAGTCTGGGGCCCCTAGACCTGAGCCGTTCCCTGGTGCAGGCTGCTGACGGAGATGGGGCCTAGGACCCACACTCCTCGGAGCCAGGGGCAGCCCTGGGGCGCCTCTGTTCGCAGCAGCATCTTGGGGCGGCAGGAGGACAGAGCCGCTGCCCCGCCTGTCCCGCTTGGACCCTCAGAGTAGACCCCGCTGCGGCTGCCCGTCCGGGGCCGACTTCCAGGAAAAAAATGGCCCTCTGCTGCCCCCTAGAGCCTGGCGTCTCGGCAGTGCAGTCGCATCTGCGGAGTGTCTCTATGGGAGCCAGTCTACCACCGCCCAGGGGGCCGGGACCCTTGCTGGGCCTGCTCTGCTGGCAGGAGCTGGAGTTGGCGGAAGTGAAGAGAGTGATCAAAAGATGCTCTTGGTGGGGAGAGTCAACCCCCACCCCACTGTGCACCTACTGTCGGGAAGAGGCCACCCGCTACGCTAGGGAAGCTGGTGGGAGTGTAGGATCCAGGTCCGAGGCACACACTCACTGGTACACACGCTCACACATACACACAAACACACAGACACACACATGCTTACACGCTCATGTATTCACTCTCAAACTCGCAGATTTGTACACACTCACACACTGTCTCACACACACAGGCCAACCTATCTTGCAAACAGCACTGGGTTTAGGGGAGTCTAAGTTTTGTAAATATCTTAAGAATTAAAAATAAGGTCTGATAGAGGCCCCAGGAATAAACCCATATAAATATGGCCGAGGGATGTTTGACGTCGGTGCCAAAACAACTCACTGAGGGGAGGGCTTATTCATGCAATAAAAATGAACCTCAACCTAAACCTCACACCCGATAGAAAAATGAGCTCAAAATTGCCTAGATTTAAATGTCGCATGTAAAAATCATAAACCTTTTAGAAAAACCACAGGAGAGAATATCTAGGGCTAGGAGAGGAGTCCTCAGACTTCACACTGAAAGCCAGTCAAAAGGAAAGTTGATAAATTGGGCTTCATCAGGATCAGCCACTTTCGCTCTGTGAAACACCCATGTTAAGAAGATGAAAGGCAAGCTACAGAGTGAGAGAAAGTATTTGCAAACCACATATCCAACAAGGACCAGTACCTAGACTAGAGGAAGAACACTCAACAGCAAGGAAACAAACCGTCCAGTTAGGAAATGAGCAGAACTGAAAAGACGTTTCACCAGGAGAATGGACAAATGACAGGTAAGCACACGAAAAGATGACAAACGCCATCAGCCGCCAGGGAAGCCCACAGCCAGACATCACTGCGCACCTATCAGAATGGCTGACATTAAAAATAGCGCCAGCATGAAGTACCGGTGAGGATGCAGGGAAGGACACTGGATCACTTACGCATGGCTGGGGAGACTGGAGAATGCCACAGGTGTTCTGGAAAACACTTCAGCAGTTTCTTAACGAACTCAACATGCAACGACCAGAGGACTGAGCACTTGCACTCATGGCGGTCATATCAGAGTAATGAAGACTTCTGTTCACACAAAAACCTGTATGTGTCTGTTCATAGCAGTGTTATTCACAAAGGCCAGAAACTCAAACCGCCCAGGTGCCCTGCAGTGGGTGAATGCACAGGCTGGGGTGCCCCCATGCTGAGATACCATGCTGCAGTGAGAAGGAATCCATTATTAATACCTGCAGCAGGGCCCAGCACGGTGTCTCACGCCTGTGATCCCAGCAGTTTGGGAGGCCGAGGTGGGTGGATCAGCTGAGGTCGGGAGTTCGAGACCAGCCTGGCCAACATGACGAAACCCTGTCTCTGCTAAAAAAAACAAAACTTAGCCAGGTGTGGTGATGCATGCCTGTAATCCCAGCTACTTGGGAGGCTGAGGCTCAAGAATCACTTGAACCTGGGAGTCGGAGGTTGCAGTGAGCCAAGATCCCACCACTGTACTCCAGCCTGGGCAACAGAGTGAGATCCCGTCTTAAAAAAAAAATAATAGTAATACCTGCTTCAACCTGGATGAGCCTCAAGTGGATTATGCCGAGTGAAAAAAGCCACTCCCACATGATCCCCTGCTGTGCCACTCATTCATATAACACTCCTGAAATACAGAAATGGAGAAAGAGAATAGAAATTATCAAAGTTATAGAAATGGAGAAAGACTAATGGTTACCATGGAGTTGGGCTAATGTGCGGAAGTGGGTGTGTCTGCAAAGGGCACCCGGTGGGGTCCTAGTGCTGGCTGAATTGTCCTGTCTCTTTCCTGTATCAGTGTTAACCTCCTAGTCGTGATACTATCATTTGGCAAGATGTTAGCCTTGGGGAGAGCCGGGTACGGGGCACACAGGGTGGATCTGTATCATTCCGTACAACTACATAGGAGCCTACCATTATCTCAGAAGACAATGTTTAATTTTTCTTTAAGCACCAGTAATAATAATGGATATAAATGAAATATACCAGGATGTGAATGGAGGGTATTATGGTGAGATTTAGTTTTGTTCTTTTTCTTTGCTTTACTATTTGTATTTTATATTATTTTCTACCTTGAGAATATACTACTTTTGTGGTCAGGAGAAAAAGACAAGTTATTTTAACCAACTGAAATGTTTAAGAAGTTAAATGTGCATCAGCGCAGCCCTTGAAGGCAGGAACACAAGGCCCCGAGAGGTGGCGCCTCACCCAGGTTGAGCGGATCACGAGTCCTGACTCTGGGTCACACATGCCTTCTCCTTCCCAGGATTAGCACAGGAAACACTTCCCTCCGTGGAAGCAGCTCAGACTTGAGCGCTTCCCCTCATTCCCCGCCCCTCCCTGAGAGGCTGCCTTTAAACAGAAAGAACCACAACCAGCGAGCAGCCTCCTGGGTCCTGGGCTTTGGAGAGCCTCAGTCTTCTAACCTGTCAAATGGGGAGAACGGAGCACCCTGCAGCCTCCTTCCTAGGGACCCCATAACAAATTATCTCATGCCGGGTGGCCTGAACCCACACAAGTCTCCGAAGGAGAATCCATTTGCACCTCCTCCAGCTTCCAGGGCTCCCGGCACTCCTTGGCCCCTGACAGAGTCACTCCTGCCTTTGCCTTCACCTCCACGCAGCCTCTGTCCGTGCCCAAATCTCCCTCTCCTTTCTCTTACACAGATGCCTGTCACTGGATTTAGGGCCCACCCTAATCCAGTATGACCTCATCTTAGCTAATGACACCTGTAAAGACCCTATTTCCAAATGAGGTCACATTCTGAGGTTCCCGGTAGACGTGAATTTTGGGGAGACACTGACCAGCTCAATTTACCACATCTGTGGAGAAAGTTAAGTGAACAGAATTTACGTAAAAGTTTTCTATCAACTTACAACGTTTGGCTGGTATAAACTGAGAAGATGGCTAAGTGGTTAGTAATCACGCTGTTTCCTCCATCATCACTAGGAAACGGTTTCCTCGTGCCCCTGGTGCCGGCGAGGGAGGAAGAGGGAAGGGGAGGAGAGGAGGAAGGGAGGGAGGGAGAATGTGATCATGAGCCATAAATCGAAGAAGTTCCTGTTTCCTTCACTCAATCCCCCACCTCTGCGAGGGAAATGCGGTTATTGGAAGGTGGAAGGAGATGGTGGAGCGGCCTCTCTGGGTGACTCGGTGCCACGCGGGGATGGCAGTTGGTGGGAGCTCCTCTCTGCACTCACCCTGCCCCATCTCAGCGTCACTCCTGGTACCGCATGGTCTGAGAAAGAGAAAATTAAGAACCGCAGCTTCCCAGAAAGGAAAATCCTGCTTGGTTTCCAGGCAGGCGGCTTAGGCACTTCCAGATGTGTTCCTCTCCCCTGCCGAAACCCTCCTCGCAGTGGGAGGCCCCTCACCTTCCTGGCTCCATCCCTAGCACGGGCCTCTGTGGGTCTCCCCCGGGCCCTGACTGCCCCCCAGCTGCTCTCTGATGACACCCTTGGGCCTCTCCCTCTCCCTCTCTGCCGCTGGGTGATTGTTCTGAAATATCCCTTGGCCACAGCCCCTAGTTAAACCAGCTGCCTTGGTCAGCCCCATACTCCAGGAAGAATCTCCAGGGCAGAACCAGGCCCGGTCTCCTGTGGGTCCCCAGAGCCCACTCATGTCAAGGAAGGGAGGGCGGCAATGAATGAATGAGTGAGTGAGTGAGTGAGTGAATGAACCACTCTGGCCCCTCAGCTTCAAGGCCCACTCCTGAGTGGCCACATGGTGTTTCTCTGCAGGGTGATGTCCTGACTACCAAGTACCAGGTAGACCTTGGGGACGGCTTCAAGGCCATGTACGTGAACCTTACACTGACCGGGGAGCCCATCCGGCACCGCTACGAGAGCCCCGGCATCTACCGCGTGTCCGTCAGGGCAGAGAACACGGCAGGCCACGATGAGGCGGTGCTCTTTGTCCAGGTCAACTGTAAGTTTATTGCCCCTTTGAGGCCAAAGGTCACTCCCTTTGAGAGAGAGAACCTGGCTTTGGGGGAAACACAGGGAAGCCCCCGGGATTGCTCTAGGCCCCTGGTACTCAGGACGGTGAACCCGAGGGCAGGGAGGCAGGGAGGCTGGGCTCAAACCCGCACCCCTGATGACCCATACAATAGTAGGGCAGAGCTGGTAGCTGGTGGTGATATTGATGATAGTGGTGGTGATGGTGGTGGTGGTGGTGGTGGTGGTGATGGTCGTGGTGGTGGTGGTGATGGTGGTGATGGTGATAGCAGTACTGGTGGTGGTGGTGATGGTACTAATGATGATTATAGTGGAGGTGGTAGTGATGATGGTGACGTTGGTGTTGGTGATGGTGATGATGGTGGTGGTGGTGGTGGTGATAATGGTGACAATGGTGGTGGTGGTGGTGGTGATAGGGTGATGGTGATGATGGTAACAGTAGTGGTAGTAATGGTGATGATGGTGGTGATAGGGTGTTGGTGATGGTGATAGTAGTGGTGGGAATGGATGGTGGTGGTGATAATGGTGACAATGGTGGTGGTGATGGTGGTGGTGATGGTGATGGTGGTGATGGTGGTGGTGGTGACAATGGTGGTGGTGATGGTGGTGATAGGGTGGTGGTGATGGTGATAGTAGTGGTGGGAATGGATGGTGGTGGTGATGGTGATGGTGGTGGTGTTGGTGATGGTGGTGATAGTGCTGGTGAGGATGGTGATGGTGGTGATGGTGGAGGTGATGGTGGTAGTTATGGTGATAATGGTGGTAGTGGTGATGGTGGTGGTGTTGGTGATGGTGGTGATAGTATTGGTGGGAATGGATGGTGGTAGTAGTGGTGATGGTGGTGGTGTTGGTGATGATGGTGGTGATGGTGCTGGTGAGGATGGTGATGGTGGTGATGGTGGTGGTGATGGCAGTGATGATGGTGGAGGTGATGGTGGTAGTGGTGATGGTGGTGGTAGTGGTGATGGTGGTGGTGTTGGTGATGGTGGTGATAGTATTGGTGGGAATGGATGGTGGTAGTAGTGGTGATGGTGGTGGTGTTGGTGATGGTGGTGATAGTGTTGGTGGGAATGGATGGTGGTAGTAGTGGTGATGGTGGTGGTGGTGGTGGTGGTGATGATAGTGGTAGTGGTGGTGGTGATGATAGCAATGAAGTTGCTGGTGACAGTGATCACTAAGCAGCCTCTGAAATGCCCCATGCCCTGATATCATCTAACCCTGGCCTTTTTGGGTCCCCACAGCCCCCCTGCAGGCCCTCTACCTGGAGGTGGTTCCTGTCATTGGCCTCAACCAGGAGGTGAACCTCACAGCTGTGCTGCTTCCCTTGAACCCTAACCTCACCGTCTTCTACTGGTGGATCGGCCACAGCCTGCAGGTGCGCTGGCTTTGCCCCAACTCAGCCCTTCTTCCCGCAGGCTCCCCACAAGCTGCACAGTGGGGCAGAGCATGGCCCCAGGTTTTCAGCAGAAGGAACCAGTGTAGGGTGCACTCCTCACCCTTGGGCCCCTCCTGGGGCAGTTGAGAGGGGCACACCCTCCGTGGGTGCCTTTTCAGGGCCCATCTGCTCAATGGTGCCAGATGAGTCAGACTAGACCCTGCCTTTTCCCGGGAAAGAGATGGGAACGCAGTGGATTACCTGAGTTGGGGGTGGTAGAAGTCACAGAGGCAGGTAGGTGGGCTGCATGAGAGCTCCCGGAAAGGAGAGAGCATTTGCAGTGAGAGGCTCAGGGAAGGCTTTACAGAAGAAGAGGTCAAGGGGGCTCAGAAGCCTCCCTCAGAGGCCTGGGTTGTACCCTGTCTGCAGTGGGGAGCCACAGATAGTTCTTGAGCAGGAGAGAGCCCAAATTAGCAGAATGCCTGGACTGGGGGCAAGACCCAGTGAAGGGCATCCTCCACTCATTCAGCAAACAGCCCAGCACCACCAGGCAGGAAGCCCCCTACCAGCAGCTGACGGCCCTGACACAGAGCCCCAGCAAGGGGAGGGCCTGTGGGCTCTGGATTGTGTTTCTCTAGAATGGGGAGGGTCTGAGAAGGAGCTCAGGGTCTGGGTTCAGGCCTCGGCTCCGCCACTTCCAGCTGAATGCTCCACACATGTCCCTTCACCTGGCAGAGCCTCTGCCTCCACATCCACACCCATGGGGGTGGCCTCTCCTGTCTCTGCGGCAACATGGCGCCCACCCGGCTGAGTGTGCACCATCCCCATGGCTGGGTCCTGAGCTGGGCACTGGCTTGGTGCCATGGATGACAGAGCCATGGCTCATCCACAGCTGCGGTGGCCATGTGTGGAGATGGGAGATCACATGGGCAGGGAGTGAAGGCCCAGCCCGGCAGCCACATCAGGCCTCCTAAATGCCCGTGGGGGGCAGGCCTGGGGAGCTGTTGAGAAGGAAGGGGGTGCTGGGACCTCAAGTTCGTGCTGTGTTGGCTTACAACCAGGTGCCCATGAGATCAGGAGTTTGAGACCAACCTGGCTAACATGGTGAAACCCCGTCTCTACTAAAAATACAAAAATTAGCTGGGCATGGGGGTGCATACATGTGTAGGCCCAGCTACATGGGAGGCTGAGGTGGGAGAATACTTGAACCCAGGAGGCAGAGGTTGCAGTGAGCCAAGATTGCGCCACTGCACTCCAGCCTGGGCAACAGAACAAGACTCTGTCTCAAAATAAAATAAAATAAAATAAAGAACCGGCTGCCCGCCCCATGCCTCCCTGGGTGCTGCCACCACAGGATGTCCATAATGGGCCCATTTGCTGATGGGAACAAGGGGACAGCAATGCTCTCAGTGAGGCAGCGACCATAGGCCAGCGTCCCCCACGGCCGCTGCCTCACTCGGCCAGGCCCCTAAGCCCTGCTGTGCCCCTGCAGCCCCTCCTTTCCCTGGATAATTCTGTGACAACGCGGTTTTCGGACACGGGCGACGTGCGTGTGACGGTGCAGGCCGCCTGTGGGAACTCGGTGCTGCAGGACTCCAGGGTCCTCCGTGTGCTGGGTAAGTACTTCCTGGGGTCTGGCAGCACGGCCTCTGCATCTCTGCTGCAGTCCAGGAAGCCAGGCCACATGGGTCGCGTAAGCCATGGATGTCCTGGTCACCCTGAGTGGCCCTGGGGTGGGGAGGGAGGGGCTGGATAAACAGAGCCCTGCCCTGGCTGTGTGGCCTGGGCAAAGTCTCCCGGTCTCTCTGGCCTCAGTTTCCCCATCTGTAAAATAAATACTGACAAATCCTGTGTCCCAAGACACTCATGGGACAGAACACACCAGGGACAAGGTCACCCAGCAGCAAGACAGCCAGGTTTGGGCACTGGCTGTGCCTGCCTCCAGGGCCCCTGTCCTCTTGGCACCTCTGGCCAAGCCTGAGCATTGTCTCATGATGGCAGCTTAAAGAGGACTCCTGTCTAGAGAAACGCTGAGCCTCCTTTTCTGAATCTGCATCCTCATTTATCTGTGCTCACTGGGGGCTCTTAGTCCCTCGTGGGAGATATATACAATACCAACTGGTCCTAAGACTGAAGGAGACCCCCCCCCCCCTTGTCAAGGAGGCAGAGCTCATTGCCACCAACATCACAGCAATAAACCCTCATTTTGCTTTAAGAACAGCCTCTACTGTGGACAGCAGCCATCAGTTAAATATTTAGTTGGACAAGTGTGCGGAGGGTTGGGCTGCCCACACAGGCCCTTCACACCCTGGAGGAGGCTGCCCTTGGCTATTCTTCATTCATTGTTGGGCTGGGAGCTTTGCAAATGCCATCACCACCCTCATTGTAAGATGTTGGGTTTGCAGTCCTCAAAGCACTTGTCCCTTGAGCCCGTCAGCCCTGCACAGCCTCCTCCCACTTTACATGTGAGAAAACTGAGGCCTGAGAAGTGGAGAGGTTAAAGTTTATCTCTGGAGCCCCTGGTGACTTTAGAATTGGGCTTTGAGCCATGGACTATGGGAAATGTGGGAGAAAGAGAAGAAGACAGGGCCTCTGCTCTCAAGGGACTCTTAATCTGGTGGGAGGACCAGCAAGTTGAAGTCCATGGATCCCTGATGGATGAGAGGCTGACCTCATAGGGTGTGTTCATGCTTGTGAGTCAAGGAGGCAAATCTCACAGAGCAGGCTTGGTGCACACTAGGCCTCCCTCCTGGGTCAGCGCATCTTTATCATCATCACTGGCATCTTTGTCACTGCTGTTATGAGATGGCAGCCAGTGACATGGGTCCTGCCTGGGACAGACCACCACTGCTGGCATCCAGGGAAGGAGCTGGTTTCCAAACACTAAATCAGGACTGCTGTCGGCCTGCTTGAGAAGACGATGGGGCTGCTGGGCCCTGGGATCTGAATCAAAGGCCTCCCGGGACCATCCAGGGCATGTGGCTGCCCCCGACCCCCACCCTGGAGCCGTCAGAGCCAGGCTGTCCAGAACTGACCAGTCTCCCTTCTCTGCGTCTTTCCAGATCAATTTCAAGTCATGCCTCTGCAGTTTTCCAAGGAGCTGGATGCCTACAACCCCAACACCCCTGAGTGGAGGGAAGACGTGGGCCTGGTGGTCACCCGGCTGCTCTCCAAGGTGTCCACCCAGAGCCTAGAGCCTCCCCAGCCCCACGGTGCTTCCGGCATCCAGAGAAGCCCAAGGGCCCCGGGGTGCTCAGGGAAAGGAGAGGCGGGTGGCACTGCCCCCGCACACGATGCTCTGGTCTTCGGGCCAGCTGGGGATGTTGAAAGCTATGGATGGGGGGCAGGCACACTGCCCTTATTTAGGAGGACCTGCAGCTGGAGCACCACCTCACAGGGGAGGGACCACAGGCACCCTCCATGCACACAGTCCAGGGACCACCTGCTGTTTGCAGGAGACCCCACTGTCGTCCTCCAGTGCTCCAGAGTCTCTTTAAAGCAATTTTCCTTCATTCACTGAACTTCTCTTCTGGGCTGGACACAAGACAGAGAGAAGAACCCAGTGTGCTCACTGGCCTCAGGAGCTCCCGGGTGGCAGACATCAGGGCGGGCTGTAGCACACCCAAGGCCCTTGGCCCCCAAGTGAGAGAGGACCAGTCCTCTGGAGCCACCTGAGGCTATCACAGGCTGAGGCCTACTCTGACCAGGCTTCCCCTCCCGTGAATAATGCTGGTAAAAGGGTCCTGGGCACTGAAGGTTGAATCAGGGTTTGCCAGATGGAAGTGCATGGAACGGGACTTCCAGGAGGCAGAGGCACCTACATGAGCAGTGCCTATGGGCTGAGAGCATATTCTCTGTGGGTGTATGGCCCTGGCTGGGCCTGGGGTGTTAGGGAGTGGGAAGGGGGAGGCAGCTGGAGTCAGTGGGGCCCGGTCACAGACCTGGAATGGTGTGGTAAGGAGCCTTGTGATGGAGGACATTAGCCAGGGAGGAAGGTGCTGGTGCTCACTCTAGTCATGGTCTGAAGAATGGACTGAGGGCCAGGCCTGGCCAAGGGGAGGCCAGTGTGACGGCACAGGTCCTGAATAGCAGGGCTGAGGGCCCTGGGTAGCTGGGTGCAGGGGGTAGCTCAGGGTACCCTGGGACCCTGGAAGGATCCCCACGCCATGCAGGGGTCAGGAACGGCCTGTGAGACAGGTGTACAGGCCAAGAAGGGAGAGAGGGTGTTCCTGGGGGCCCCAGTATGAGGCAGGGAATGAGGAAGACAGGCGGACCAAAGTGGCTTAACTCTCCCCGCAGGAGACCAGCGTCCCTCAGGAGCTTCTGGTGACTGTGGTGAAGCCGGGGCTGCCCACTTTGGCCGATCTGTACGTGCTCCTGCCCCCTCCCAGGCCCACAAGGAAGAGGAGCCTCTCGAGTGATAAGGTATGTCCTGTGGCCGCTGCACTCCCAGGTCCTCCCTGCACATCCCAGGGCTCGGGTCATTTACAACAAGCAGGGACGTCTCAGTGGCTCATGGCATAAAGGCGTCTTTCTCGCTGCATCTCAGTCTGACTCAGGGTGGCTTGACCTCGTCCACCTGTGGCTACGCCCTCTGGAAGTCACACAGCCTCTAAGGTCACTGCGGCAGAGGTAGTCGGGGGGAGGGCACAGGCTGGACCACCTCCCAGGGGGCTCGCTCATTTCTTCTCCCGTGTCATTGGCTGGAGATGGTCACATGGCCCCAACCTGACTGCCAGGAGCACTGGGAAATGAGGCTAAGCACTGTCAGGGAGACACCCAAGGGTGTGGGTTTCGGGGCCGAGCAGAAGTCAGCCCCCATGCAGTTAGCAAATGTCTTTATTGCACAGGACAACTTCTAAGTAATAGCCCTCATGGAGGGGATAAAAGACCTGCCATGTGACAGGTGTGGGAAGGGGACTCAAAGATGAACCAGAATCCCTTCACACCCACTAGGGTGGCTAACATTAAAAATCAGACAATTCCAAGTGTTGCCAAGGAAGCAGAGAACTTGGAACCTCTCACACTGCTGGTGGAAAGGGTTCAGCTGCTGTGCAAAACGGGCTGGAAATTCCTCAGTAAGTTATACCTAAGTTACCGCATGACCCAGCAAGTCCACTTATGGGTATATACCCAAGAGAAACAAAAACATACATCCACAGTACATGGATTCACAGCAGCATTACTCATCGTAGCCAAAAAGTGCTCATCGGCTGCTGAAGAAACAAATTGTGGTCCAACCTTACAATGGAATATTCTTTGACCACCAAAAGGAACGAAGCCCTTGACACCTCTGACAGCATGGACGAACCTTGAAAACATGATGCTAAGTGAAAGAGGCCAGTTGCAAAAGACCACGTAGCGTACAATTCCATTCACATGAAATGCCCAGAACAGGCAAATCCATGGAGACAGAAATAGATGAGTTGTTGCCAGGGGCTGGGGGAGGGCGCATGGCGAGTGACTGCTAAGGCTAGGGGATTCTTTGGGAGAGGATGAAAACGTGCAGGAATTAGATAGTGGTAATGCTTGCACAACTTAGGGAATATACTACAATGCATTAAATTGTACACTTTAAAAGAGTAAATGTTATTATCAGTTTCTAAAAATGAACCAGAAGCTCACATAGCCTGCACTGGTCAGGGAGACTGATGCTCACTCAGGTGATCTGGAAGGCGTGGCCCGTGCAGGGGAAGGACAGTGCACACTCCAGCATGCCCACGTGGTGCCACGTCCCATTTTACAGACATGAGAAGTGAGGCTTGGCGAGGGCCACCGTCAGAAAGGACCGGAGGCAATCAAACAGCAGAAGCGCTTCTACACACTAACAGCAAGCTACCTGGAAAAGAAATCAAGAAAACAATCCCACTAACAATAGCATCAAAAATTAAAAGCAGAATAAACTACTTAGGAAAAAAATTGAACCAAGGAGGTGAAAAACTTGTGAAAAACTTAGGAACAAATTAAACCAAGGTGGTGAAAAGCTTGTGCACTAAAAACCATAAAACACCAGTACAAGAATTTGAAGAAGACACAAATCGACGGAAAGATACCCTGTGTTCCTGGATTAGAAGAATTTATATTATTAAGATGTCCATACTACCTAAAGTGATCTACAGATTTAATGCAAGGTCTATCAAAATTTCAATGATGTTTTTCACAGAAATAGAAAAAAAAATCCTAAAATTTGTATGGAACTACAAAAGGCCTGAAATAGCCAAAGCCATTTTGAGCAAAAAGAAAAAAGCTGGAAGCGTCACACTCCCTGACTTCACAATGCGTTACAAAGTTACAGTAATCCAAATAGCACAGTACTGGCATAAAAACAGACACAGACCCATGGAACAGAATAGAGCCCAGAAATAAATCCATACATGTACGGTCAATTGATTTTCAATAAAGCTGTCAAGAAGACACAATGGAGAAAAGAGAATATCTCCCATAAATATTGTTGGGAAACTGAATATCCACATGCAGAAGAATGCAATTAGATTCTTACACCCTCTACAAAATCCAGCTCAGAGTGGATTAAAGACAAACGTAAGACCTGAATCTGTAAAAACACCAAAAGAAAACATAGTGAAAAACTATGCATCAGTTTGAGCAATGCTGTTTTGCAGATGATCCCAAAAGTACATGCAACAAACGCAAAAATAGACAAACAGGATGTCAAACCAAGAGACCCTTGCACAGCCAGAGAAACAATCAGTGGAGTGAAGAGATGGCCCACAGAATAGGAGAAAAGATTCATGAAGCATACCTCTGACAAGGGTTCACATCCAGAATACGTAAGAAACCCAGCTCCATAGCCAGAAAACAGGTGACTCGATTAAAAAACGGGCAAAGGAGCCAAGTAGACATTTCTCAAAGGGAGACACACAAATGGCCAACAGGTATGTGGAAAACATGCTCACCATCTCGAATCATCAGGGAAATGCTCATTGAAGCCACAGTGAGACATGGCCTCACACCTGTTAGAATGGCTATTGTCAAAATAACAGAGCTGACCAGTGCTGTGAAAGGTGGCTGGTCTCTGAGCCCACCCAGCCCTGGGTGATGACTGATGCTTGGACCTGGGAAGTAGTGAGAGGGGCCGGGAGGGAGTGAGAGGGGTGAGGAGGAAGCCCTCCTCTGCGCCGGGCACCTCACGCATTTGTCACGTCACGCAGACCCTGGAGGAGGATGCCCGTGGCCCACAAGGCTGGCTGCCTTTTGGCCCCTGCCCTCTCCAGCTATAGGTGCCCCCGACCCTGCATCCCTCACCCTACAACCCAGCACCACCTCCTGGGATATCCCTCCCTCAGGTAGGGGGTCTGATTCTCCTGTCCTGCCCTGTCTCATTCTCTTCTTGGTCTTCCGCCTCCAGGAGGCCTTCCCTGACCACCACTGGGGGATGGAGCCTCCTGGAGCACCCCTGCATTTCCCCAACTTGGCACACTCCGTAGCCTGTGTCTTTTACATTCCCGACTAAAACAAGAGCTCATGAAGGCCAGAGCCATGTCTCGGTCGCCTTTGTGTCCCTTCCATGGTTCTTGGTGAAAGTTCCCTTGTGGGTGATTATTCCCGTGGTACAAAGGAGGACACCGAGGCTCAGCGAGGCCAGGTGGCCTGCCCAGCCCCATGGCTCCAGAGGGTCCAAGCAGGACTCACACTGGTCCACCCAGCTCTCCCATCCCCCTCTGGTGGATCCCAGAGCCACCCCCCAACTCTCCCCTACTTCCGGTAGATCCCACCAGATCCCCCTCCCTCTCCCCACCCCTCTGGTGGATCCCAGCAGACCTTGCTCCCCTCCCCCCTAGTGGAGGACACCCCCTCACTCTCTCCACCAGAGGAGGGCCCTTCCTCCCCTTTCACCTGTAGCAGACCCTCTCCCCCACCCCCCATGGAGGACCCCTTCACTCTCCTCCTGGTAGAAGACCCCCCCAACACGTGGAGACCCCTCACTCCCCTCCTGGAGGAGGACCCCATCCCCCTTCCCTTTTGGCAGAGGAGCCTCCATGGAGGCCTCACTCACTGTCCCCTCTGTGCTTGCAGAGGCTCGCCGCCATCCAGCAGGTGCTGAACGCACAGAAGATCAGCTTCCTCCTGCGAGGCGGAGTCCGGGTCCTGGTGGCCCTGCGGGACACAGGCACAGGTGAGCCACTGGGAGCTCCCCTGCGGAATGGGTGGAGGAGGCATCCGGGCCCTGGAGAAGCCATGTCCCTGCAGGGCCCTCGGGCAGATGGCCCGTATCCCCCTCCTGGTGGGTGTTCGCCTCTGATGGAACTGAGAACCCACCCAGGTCAGACGCAGGACCGCGCTCTCCCTCTGCGGATGCCCCATGGAGCACTGCTCTTACCTGATACCCACGCTTCGGGTCTCGGATAATCTCTGCCCCTTCCCCAACCCACAGAGCTGTCTCCTCGGCTGTCAGTCATCCTTTCCCCTTTGGGGCAAAAGCCTTTGCAGAAGCCGATGAGTTTTGCTCTGCTCTGTAAAGACACCGTGCCCTTGAAACTCGGCAGGTTCGCCCCACACCAGCATCAACATAGCCGGGGAGCTCTGCCCACAGCCTCCATCCCCAGTGGGAGCCAGGTCAAGGGGCGGGGACCTCTCCAAGGCCACACAGGACGCACTCCTGGTCATTTATGGCCTCTGGCCCCTCTCAGCCACATCAGGAGCGCCGGCCACGGGCATGGAACAGCCTCCACACCAAGGAGGCTGTGGCAGGGACAGGCAGGGGATAGGCAGGGACAGGCAGGGGACGGGCAGGAACAGGTGGGGGACAGGAAGAGGTCAAGCCGGGAATGGGCTGGGGAAGGGCTGGGGAGGGAATGGGAATGGGCTGAAGACAGGCAGGAAATGGGCCAGGGACAGGCAGGGGACAAGCTGGGGATGGGCGGGGGACAGGCTGGGGACGGGTGGGGGACAGACGGGATGGGCTGGGGATGGGACAGGGATGGGCGGTGCCCGAGGTCCTCCACTGACAACCGCTTTGCTTGCAGGTGCTGAGCAGCTGGGCGGCGGTGGCGGCTACTGGGCGGTAGTGGTGCTGTTTGTCATCGGGCTCTTCGCAGCGGGAGCCTTCATCCTCTACAAGTTCAAAAGGCAAGGCCCTTGGCTGCCCTCCTCTGCGGGGCTCTGACCATGGGGCCGTAGGAAGCCAGGCCCAACTCACTCAGGCAGATCTAGAAAGGGCCCCAGCAGGGCCTCAGAAGGGAGTGGTGAGAGTTTGTGCCTGTGATGGGCTGCAGGGGGAGGTGCTTGCCTGGCTCTGTACCACCTGTGGGGTCCCTGGAAGAGACGGCCGCCACTCGCAACCCAGAGAGCATCACCCTCCCACTCCTCCACTCTCCCCAGGACATCCCAGCCATCATGCTGTTCAGCCCCACCCACCTCACAGGGAGGACACTGCCCATCTCACAGATGAGGAAACCAGGCTCAGAGAGGTTAAGCAGTGTGCCCAAGGTAACACAGACGGCCAGCCTCAGAACTGGGACCTGACCCAGGCCCGCCCACATCCCAGGGTTCCTCGGCCGCCCGCCCATCCCTTCCCTCCCCTCGAGAGCACTTGAGAGCTGCTGAGCTTCCTGCCAGGCGCTCCCGTGGGGAGGGCTCTGGGTGTCCCCGTGAGGGAGCTGCTTGTGCCGAGGCTGGGGTGAGGTGGCAAGAACAGTGTTTGTCTATTGGGAGGGGCTTTCATACCTCTCTTTCCTTCTGAGCCTGTTCCCTGGCTGTGAAATGGGTGTGATCCCCCGACGCTGGGACGCGTCATGGCCACCCTGCAGGGGCTGGACAACTTGAAGTTCCCTGGACGCTAGACCTGGAATGAGCAAAGTGACCCGGCCCCGGCAGCATCACCAGACTCCTTCCCTGCAAACGCAGCTCCCAGATTTGGCCCTATTGTTTCTCCCCTGCCTGCTGGTTCAGCTCCGGGGGCCCCAGTCTCCCCATCGGGGTCACCCTTGAGGATCATCAAATGCCACAGCTCACCCCTTCCTTTCGGCTTATTTGGAGCCTCGGGCCCTTCCCCGATGCCAAGCCCCAGCCTTTCATGGGCCCTGGACTCCCCCAACCCCTCCTCCTGCTCCCGGTCCCACTGTTTTATGCACTGCGGGTCTTTTGAGTAGTAGTTTCATGTGTGCCCCCGTTCCACAGGCTGGCCCAGGCTCTGGGACACAGCATTAATTGTCTGGGAGCGCGTCCAGGAGCTCCTTACCCACCTTGTTACTCAATTCCACCCAAAGGGTTGGCCTGAGGCACTCAGAGCTGAACTGGAGAATCTGGGAGGACTTCCCTGAGGAAGTGACTTCTGGTGGGGATCCTGAAGGATGAATAGGAGTCTGTGGGGCAAAGAAGTAAAATAGGGTCTGTCCTGTGGTCTTTCCCAAGTTCCAAACTCAGAGAGGCACTGGCTTCCGAACAGGTCTATCCAGGGGTTCCGTAGGCACTGCAAATTTAAATCAAACTCAGCATCTTCTTCCCCCAAAGCTGGTGCTGAGCAAATGACACTGTCCTCTACCAGGTGCCCAGGTCAGGAATCCCACCTCCTTCCTGTGTGCTCCCCCTCCAGCCTATATCCCATGGCCACTGCAACTGGGGTTTGTCACAGCTAGGAGGTGGCAGGGGCGGCCTTCGAGCCCAGGCTTTCAGGTCCTGAAACCAGGCACCCGACTGCCCTGGAAACAAAAGCAGCTTAAAGTTGGTGCTGACAAACCCCAGGGCTGTGACTCCAGTCTCTGGGAGCTTGAATGTATTGGGCATAGGCAGAAGTGCCCAATATACTTCAAGGCTCCATCTCACAGCAGAGCAACGCCCGTTTGTCCCCAGTGGCCTGAGGCTTTAGGCTCTGGTGCGGCCTGTGCCCTCGGGAGCTCCCGGCTTGCTCAAGGGCTGGGCTGGGCAGCACTGACAACCCAGTCAAAGCCCTCAGCCACATGCCCCTGGGGCCCGGCAGGGGCTTGGCCCTCGTCTCTCAAGGCTCTAGACTGAGGCAGCAGCGCTGCTTTGAGCATATAAATCCAGTGGTGAAGTGTTGCAGCTTATAGGTGATACTGGCCACCCTCTGTCACCCTCAGAGCTAGTCACAGGTCCCGCCCCACCCCATCCTGCCGTTAAAATGTTTCCAGAGGGCTGGCGATGTTCATCAGCTGCATCTGAGAAAGCCCCCCTCTCCCACTGAGTCTCAGTCCCCTCATCTGTGAAATGGGACCCTGACCCTGGGTTTTGATTGGACTAAGTGGGGTGTCGTGCATGAAGGAGCCTGGCCCAGGGCGGGTCCTGAGCCGGGTCCCAGTGGAGGCAGCGGGGCTGTGCCCACCCTCTCCCTTTCCTCGCTGGGAAATCGAGGACAGTACTCCCCCAGGACGCCTGGATGGGGCTCAGCAAGTGCCTCTCAGAGCTGGGCCGGCTCGTGCCTCCTGCGGGAATGTGTGCCCAGCCCAGTGGCAGGGTGGCCAGGCATGGGGGGTCGGGGGAAAGAGGATATCATGCCCTCTCCCCACCACATGCCCACGCTTCGATTCTCAGGGGAGATGACAGATACACAGTGATCACCCAATGTGTCAGGGCAGAGGGAATCCCAGGGCCAAGGGAGCATGCAGGAGGGAGGGCTTCCTGGAGGAAGTGGCTTTGAGCAGAGATGGGGCAGGAGGCAAAACTTGGGGCTGGGGTAGGCACCTCTGGAGTGCTGTGGGCACCGTGCACCACACTCGGTGTGGTCAGGCGGCCAGCGGAAGGCTCCAGGGACAGGCGGCCTGGGAAGCCCCTCCAAGCTGAGCCGCCCTTGCCTCTGTCCAGCAGGAAACGGCCAGGCAGGACCGTGTACGCCCAAATGCACAACGAGAAGGAGCAGGAGATGACCAGCCCTGTGAGTCACAGTGAGGACGTCCAGGGCGCTGTCCAGGGTGAGGAGTTTATAGATGATGATCTCGACTCGCAGACTCTAGGTAACGTCCGCCCCAAACCCACCCCGCCCTCCCACAGGCCACCCCGCTGGGCCGCTGGGGCCAGCAAAACGCTGGCCCAGCAGCCCTTGCCAGCGGGTCGGTCGGGCCCACTGTGTCCCCTCCATCTGATGAGGGGATGACGGGACCTGACAGGGCTGCCGGCAGAGATGAAATCTGAGACATGTGGACGCTGAGGGCCCCATCCCTGGCAATGACCAAAAGCCCCCGACAGCCCCATCAAGGCAGGGAAAGGACGGGAAACAGGGCTGGCTTTGAAAGGAAGCCTGACTCGGGCCTCAGGACGTGGGAGGCCTTTCCCCCACAGCCGCTCCCTCAACACTCCCAGTCCTCCACTTCACTGCAGTGGTGATCTAGGGAGCACGCCACACATGGACCTGCGGCACTGCACTTTACAGTTTATGAAGCATTTCCACTGATGGGATCCCCTTCGCTCCTGGTCATGCCCAGCAAGGAGAAGATCAGTCATCTACAGCTGCATGACAAACCGCCCACCTCAGCGGCGTAGCATCGTTTATGGCCGTTTTCTCTTCTGGTGTCTGGGAGCTGACTGGGCTCAGCCGGGCTGCTCGCTGTCAGGGTCTCTCATGAGGCTGCAGTCAATGGCTGGTGCAGCAGTCATCTCAAAGCTTGCCTCACTCAGATGGCCAGCAATTAATGCAGGCAGTCAGCTAACCCCTCACCTGGACCATCGACCGGGACACCTGCACATGGTCTCGCTGTGTGGCTTGGGCTTCCTCCCAGCATGGCGGCTGACTTCCAAGAGCATGTGGAGGGAGGTGGCCAGGCAGGAGCCACACCCCTTTCAGGGCCTGGCCTTGAAGTCATACGCTGTCACTTGTGTCTTGCCCTGTCCATGTTTGAGGGGAGGGGACACGGACTGCATCCCTCAGCCGCAGTCAGAGCATGATGCCATCCAGCGCAACAGGCACTATAGTTCTTTCTCTGGATGAGGGGGGAAACTGAGGCCCAGGAGGCTCTGAGACTTGCCAGAGGGCTGGGAGCCTGTGCTGCCAGGGCCGTGGCACCAGCCCTGCATGCCGTGTCGGGCAAGTGCCGCCGGCAGCCAGGCGGTGTGGGCACTTTCCATGCCTGTCTCAGCTCAGCAGCCGAGGAGGCAGGCTCTTCCCTAGAGCTGAGGACATGGAAGTGCAAAGACATGGACTGTCCTTGCCCAAGGTCACAGCTGGTGGTGAACGGAGCTGGAAGTCACATCTTGGCAGACCCCAGGGACCCGGCGTCTCCCCTACAGTTCCTGTTCTCTCTTAATCCCCATCTGGGCCTGATTTTATGGTGACGTCGGCACACACCTCTCACCGTTGCTGCGGGGTTCTGCGGTAGCTTCTGGAGCAGAGAACGGCACACAGGAAGCCACGGAGGTCTTGGCACCACCAGCTGCTGCCACTGCCGTTCTGATGATCCGGCTTCGAGCGTCACTCACACTCTGCATCCGGGACATCCTCAGAACGTGAGCGGCGGAAACCACTGTCCCCACTGTGCAAATTATTGAAAGTGAGGCTCAAAAAGGAGAAGTCGCTCACCCCGGCCAGCCAGACCCCAAAGCCTGTGACCTTCACACTGTCTTGAGAGGGGTCAGGGCAGCTGAATGGACTGGCCACGGTCCCTCTCTGCCTCCCCTGCGCGCTCTCCAGCCCCTCACCAGGCCTGTCTGCCCCACCCCCGGTGGGGGTCCCTTGTCTCCAGCATCGCCAGCCCAGGTGTGTTCCTCATGGCGTGATGCGTCTGTAGACTTGGAAACATCACAGGACCCAGGTACTTCACGGAGCGCTCGCTCTGTGTCAGCCCCAGCTCAGCGCCTCCCAGACACCGTCTGACTTCCCGGAGGCAGTCATCGACATTGCGCCCACTGCACAGATGAGAAAGCTGAGGGTCAGAGCTGTTACTCAACCTCCCCAGGTCACTTAGTGAAAAGAGGTGGAGCCGGGCTCAAGCCTGACTCAGTGGCTATACAGCTGTGTGCCCCCCGAAGGCCCCGGGCCGCGGGTGAGCGTCCTACAACTCTAAAGACCCCTCCACTGGTCTTGCTCCTGCTGGGGCAGGAGGTGGTTTTGGGGCTCCCTCTCCTGCAGGCGGCATCACCCCCATGCTCACCCCCAGGCCTTCTCGAGTGGACAGAGGTCACAGGGTCTCAGGAAGACAGGGCTCGGCTCCCCAGCCCCCGATGGCTTTTTGCTTCCAAGCCCCTAAAGAGTAATCCTAGTGGGGTAGTAAGATTCATGCAGCCAAGCCCTTGGTCCACGCCAGCCTTGCCAATGCAGCAGCCGCACTTCCCCGTCTGACCCACGCCAGTCCTTTGAGGGGTGCGGTTGACCCTCACGTTAGAGATGAAGAAGCCAAGGCCCAGCCAGGTGAAGGATGGGCGAGGACTCAGGCAAGGACTCAGGTGTGTCTGGGCTGTGCCGCGGGTGCTCCCAGCCGTGTCTCCCGGTGCCCTTGAGGCGGGGCAGCTCTGGGTCCTGGGTCCTCGACCTGTCTCCTTGACTCCTAACCAGCCCCCACCCGGGACACCCGGCTCACCCCTTGGCACTGACATCCCTATGCCCCCCTCTCTCCCACTCTCGCCTCCCGGGGCCTCGCCACTCTACGCCCTGCAGCGCCCACTGCCAGGAGGGGGCGGAGCCTCAGCCCCTCTCGCACCCCCTTGCTGCCGATGCCGGGGGCGATCCCCACGCAGGTCAGTGGCTGTGGCGGGTTGGGGCCGGCCTGGGCCTCACCTCTCAGGCCCTCTGGGGCCCACTGCTTGTGATGGCACCGGGAGAGCCCACTCCTCAGGCACCCACCTAGGAACCGCGGAGACCCCCTGCACCTGCACGGGCTGAAGGAAGCCAGGGAGGCCCACTGCACGTTGGCTCGAGGCACTGCCTGAGGCCACGACCGTGTCCCCTGTGGCCCTGTCTCCAGTCCCGGGCTTGTGCTCACGGGACCTGCGTCTCTTCTGTTTCCTAGGCAACCACTCAGGCGTGGTCCTGAGCATCAACTCCCGAGAGATGCACAGCTACCTGGTGAGCTGATGCCACCCCAGCATCTGTCTTTTCACCCACGGAGGGCACAGAACCACCAGCAAAGCCGGCGGCTGGACTGGCGCCCCTCAGAGACCTGCGGAAAGCCCCCTCCCTGAGTCGTCGCCACACCAGGCGACAGGCACCACCCCCTCTGATAAATCCAAGCCCGCCCAGGCCCACGGGGGGCCCACGGGACCCCCCGGGACTCCCCGGACATGGCCCTGCCCCTATGGGACACCAGGCCTGACTCAGGCAGGTTCTGCCCCCCAGACCCCACACACGGCCGCCCCACGTGCTGTCGCTCAGCCCGAGGCCTGACTTCTCTGGGCTGAGGCTGGTCGTCCTGGAGCCCTCCCAGTACCTCGGGCTGCAAGAGCTGCAGACCCGTTCAGACACTGCGTTGCGGGCTCCTTCCCCGCAGAGGCCGGGGCCTCCCTGACTTTGCTTCTTCACTCCCACCTGTGCGGCCACCCAGTCCCTCTGTGGGAGCCCGGGTGCCAGGCCCTCCCAACACCACACCACCCTCCAGGCCCCCCTGCCCTCCGGCTGGAAACTGCAGCTCTGTAAATGCCTCTCTAGGTAGCTGCTGGCGGTGGTGGGGGTGTCTCACTCTCTGTCTTTATAGCCGGCGGTAGCCACCGGGGTGGCTCTGTCAGAGTTCCGTACTCGGGAGCCCCTTTCCCTGAGTGCCCAGGGTGTCTCCTCTGCCCAGAGGGGCAGCAGCTCTCCCTGGTTCTCCCCAGGGCAGACGGGGTAGGGCGGGCTCAGGACCCAGTGCCCATGGTTCCTCACTCCTACCAGCAAGCAGCACCATCCCGCAGGCTTCTCCCACCTGATGGCTGTTCTCCCACCGGGTCTGGGCTCTGGAAGGAGCCAGATGCCCCCAGAAAGGTGGGTGGTGGAGACGGCACCAGATGTACCAGTTTTCTGCAGTTCCTTATAGGCGAAGGGAACCGGGTGGAAACCAAGCTGGGAGAGGCTGAGGATGGCAGGGCTGGAAGGGCCATCAGCGTGACCCTCATTTTCAAGAAGGGGAAACTGAGGCCCAGGGAGGAGAGTAACTGAAGGTCACAGCACGGTCACAGCAGAGGTGGCCGAACCCAGCCCTCTGCGCGCCAGTGCTGTGCGGTCTCCACACCCTTACGGTTTCCTAGAATCAGGGATGTTAGTGTAAGTCTATAGGAATATAGGGGGGTGGGGGGGTCACCTTTTGCCTTGAAATGGGAAGTCAGTAGCCCCTTCCTCCTCCTCCCTCCTCCCCCTCCTCTCTGGCAGGGATCTCAGATGACCGTGGCCTCCCTCTCAGAGGGGGAGAACGCCAGAGCCCTGGCTGGTGATGTGCTGGCTGGGGGTGAATCCCAATGAGGGTCCCTCTCAGAGCGGGAGAACGCCAGAGCCCTGGATGGTGATGCGCTGGCTGGGGGTGAATCCCAATGAGGGTCCCTCTCAGAAAGGGAGAACGCCAGAGCCCTGGCTGGTGACATGCTGGCTGGGGGTGAATCCGAATGACAGTGCAGACGTTCTCCCATCCACCATGTCTGAGCTTGGGGGAATTGCCTCATTTCCCCTGGAAAAGAAACATGGTCCATTAGAGGGGAAAGCCCAGGGGTGAATCTTCACGCCCCAAACAGTGCCCGGTGGGGAGGAGGCACCCGCTCCTTGTTGAGTAAAACCACCCATGGAGACTGGAACCTCATCTCCCTGGGTCGGGGGGTGTTCAAGGCCACAGGACAAGGGGAGCACCCTGGGCCACACAGGCGTGGAGGTGTCCCCACCCCTTCCACCTGTCCCCCAGACCCAAAGCTCTCTCCCCACCCTACCTGCCCACCTGGGGCTCCTGTGCCCCCTCCCCACTCCAGAGGCCACCCTACAAGTTGTCCTCAAGGTCATCCTGGAGATGGGATCCAGGACGTGGGGCCATGACTCTCTGGGACCTTGCCACAGCCCCCATTCCCCTGCTTGCAGTCTGCAAGGACACCTTTGCAGGGATTCTTGTCCTGCTGGCCACCCCACCCACACCTGTCCCTGGCCAGCAGGCCGCCTGCAAGCGTCAGGCACACAGGGACAGACATGGCGAGCACAGTGCAGGCCCGGGGCCCACGGGCAACATGGAACCCTGGGAACTGCCCTCCCCCTTAGCTCACAGTGCCTGCGGTAGCCACTCTAGGTCGTTGGCCTTCCTTGACCACTCCATTTAATTCTCTCTGCTGTTTGGGTTGGGTTTTTCCCCTTAGTTATCTGTGGGTTTCCTGTATTTTATGTTAATATTTCTATTAAGAACATGTTGGGCATGTGGACCCAAGCACCTGGGAAGGAGGTGGCATCTGAGACAGCCTGATACGTTCCCGTCTGTGCACCCATGGAGATCCAGGCGTGGGCCCGTGTCTGTCCCTGGTTGTAAATTCGAGGGTCTGCATATCTGATGTTCAGGTAGACCTGGGCGCCTGGGAACGAGGCCATCAGCTGCCATGCACATAACAAAGAGACAATGCATTCCTTCTTATTTTTCCTTTTTAAAAATCGATGAATCATTTGTGATGCTTTTAACAAAGATTAAATGAATTTGATCAGCTTTTGCCTTATTGTGAAGATACTTTCCTCCTTTCCTGAAATGCATGTGGGTGCACACACAGGCCCCTAGGATCGTGGTCCCAGAGGTGAGGTGGCTGAGGACCTCGTGCGAGGGACAAGGACCAGGCCCTACACGTTGGGACGTTGAGGAAGGCTGCACATGGCAGTGGCCTTCAAAGTAATGATCTCCCCGGTCGGCTCTCAAGCACTTTCACACATGTGGGCTCGTTCTGTCACTCAAGGCCAGCAGAAGGGGAACCAGAAGTGTCAGCCAATTTTCCAGAAGAGAAACAGAGACTCCCAGAGGCTGAGGGCCTGGAGGTGGTGCAGCACAGTCCCACATCTGATGGGGCTCCTTTATTTCTGAAAGGCCATTTGCTTTAGTCTTTGAGTTGACAGAAAGAGGCATGGACTTGTCTATCCCAATTGATGCTCCAGCCTCAAAAGCTGTGCATTCACTATAGCTAGCCACTGAGTGTCCACACCTTCTCTGAAACTTCAACTCTAATAGCTGGAAAAGAACACTCTTTCTTCTCACTCTCACATGGTTAGAGAGAGAGAGAGAGAGAGAGAGGTGGATGAACATACTTTACAGATGTGTTCACATTTGCTAAGTGGTCCCCAAGCCATTTCTGGAAAGAATGAGGTTGCAATTGCCTAGTGGCTGCTCAGGGGGAGAGAGCTGGCAAGGGGCTGACAGCAGACACCCTGGCATCCCAGTGAGCGTCTGCTGTGCCTGGAACTGTTGTCCCCAAATATGGTCAACTTGCGCGTGAAAGTATTTTAAGAGCTGTAATAAAACAAGGCATTCTTTTCACAGCATGGAGTGATGGCGATTCTGTTTTTGACTTGCACACAAGTCAGTGCAGGGTGGGGAGCAGGGAATTGCCCCCAGGTGTGACCGCTGAACCATGTCCAGTTGGCAGGGATAAAATAGACCCACTAAGGTTGGGTAGAGCGGCACCCCTCACGCGCGCGCGCACACACACACACACACACACACACACACACACACACACACACACCTCCTTCTCTGGGCCATGACATGTTCTTGTGGAGTAAAAACTGGATTTCAACATCAACTTCCTGCCAGATCTGATGCCTCTTTGAACTTGTGCCAGGCCCTGGGCTGGGCTCTGGGCCTGGGGCAGCGAATGAATGCGACCAGGCTCCGGCCCCTGGACCTTGAAGGAGACTCAGCCTGGGTGAGGTGGATGATGACTGCACAGCTCAACCAGGGAGCACCTGGCCCAGCTAAAAATCCCTAGTCCGAAGCCATGGTTGAGCTGGGTGCAGGCCGAGTGCAGGTGCTCATGAGAAGACGCAAAGGAGACGGATGTCCAGGGTTGGTGCAGTGCAGAGGCCAGCAAGGGGGGTGTGTTTGTGCTTGTGTGTGACCAGTGACAGAGAGAGATAGTGTGAACACAGCAGTGTACTTCAGAGCCCTTTGCATGTGACCATTTTATTCCCTTTTGCTGACTGCCAGGACTCAGGGAGGAAGTGAGAATCCCTCAGCCACCCTGTTTGACAGTTTCCATTCTCACTTCAGTGCACCAGGCTCTGTGAGTGTCTTCTCCCTGGGAAAAGCTAGTGAGTGTGGTGAAGGCTTCACGCTCCCACAGCATTCATCTGGAACCTTTTGCTGGAATGATCTCCCCAGCTGGCAGCAGGAGGCCATGTCTAGACAACGGGAAGGCCCACGATGGAGCTAACGGAGGCTTCACGTGTTCAGATGATGGAGCTAATGGAGGCATCACCTGTTCAGATGACGGAGCTAACGGAGACGTCACCTGTTCAGCTGACGGAGCTAATGGAGGAGTTACCTGTTCGGATGACGGAGCTAACGGAGGCGTCACCTGTTCAGGTGACAGCAGCAAAGCATGCCCATTGGCTCTGCGTTTGTAACCTGCCACAAGATGCTATTTGGCCTCTTCTCCAACCTGAGCTTCATGTAGACAGGGCAGGTACAAGCAGCCAGATCACAGATAAGGAGACCAAGACATCCCAGGCGGCTGGGAAGGGGGAAACAACTTTTAACTGAAATATGGGGCACTGTTTGAAAGCTCCAGCTAAACCCCAAATTCGAGGTAGCCTTGAATTTAGTGTCCAGAGTCATTTGGGAAACAACAAATCTCAAAGGAACAGAGAGAAACATGCAATGTCATGGACATGTTGCATTACAAGGACAAAACCCCTCACCTCAAAGATCCGACATGTTCATTCCTTTGGTTCAATGGGGGAAACAGAAATGGCCGATGATGGAATGCTCCAGTAGTCAATCACAGTGGCTGCTCCCGAGGCCTCCTTGCAGCAGGGGAATTGGCCACCAGGGCCGTGGGGTGGCTCTCAGAGAAGGGGCTGGGAAAGGAGCACTCTGTGTGCCCATTAGGCCCAGAGAAGGGCAGCCACCTCATTTCTCAGTCACACGTCCCCAGAGGCCCCTTCTGTGGCACACCCGTGATCTCTCCAGAGGACTCCCCAGCAGTTCCAGCCCCAGCATGCAGGGATATGCCCCCAGAAGGCACTGTGGGGACGCTGCTTCTGAGGCTGCTGTCAAGAATGTCACCTATTTCCATGGGGATTTGTGCAAAATCAGGGTTGGTGGCCAAGAGGAAGTGGCCCTTGGCATCCAGAGTCACTGGGCACTCCCAGCGGTGCCTGGGCTTTTCCCCCGTCCAACACACCCAATGTCATCGAGCACCAACATAAGACAAGGCCGCTCCAGGATCAAGATGAGTCAAGACAAAAGTGAGACCACTGTGCAATCAGACCACACAGGAACATTGTCCAACCTCCCAGAAATGTGTAGACACCTCTCCCTGCCGAGACGGGTGAGGGCCGCGGTGTCACTGGCCGGGCTCCTGCCTCCCCTGAGTCACCCCTCCCTCTAGAGAAGATTGATTGAGATGCCAGATCCTAGCACGACCCCGCCTCCTCACAGCCCCCAATCCAGAGCCAAGCCCAGCTTCCTTGAGTCCCCTGCCAAATCACCTCTCACTGCCCACACCTGACAATCATCAGGCCCTTCTAACCCCGCTGAGACGCCCAGGTTCTCCTCGCTGCACTGAGTGGTAACCCAGCTTGCTCAGCTACAGGTGAGCTCCGGGGGGGTCCCAGGCTGGGGGGCACTAACAGAGTCCTCTTTTAGTGGGGTGGGGTGGCACTGGGGAGGAACCAGTGTCTGCAGGTGGGCAGCACAGACCCTCTCAGCAGGAGTAGCCACATGGAAACCCACGCCAGCCCAAGCTCAGTTCTAACAAAAGCTGGGGAAAAGCTGGGGAGACGCAGCCATCCCTGCACACATGGGGCGGGTGGCGGTCTTTGACTTCCCCACCTGTCCCAGCCACACCCAGAGTCTTTAGGCAGGGAAACGTGGCATGAGTCTGGGACTGCTGGAATGATTGCCAAGCACTGCCATTTCCAACGGGGCTCGGTGGCAGTGGCCCTTCACAGCGGTCCCCAGCCTCTGCTGGGCCTGGCATCATGTTCCAATCCACAGGGACGTCTCCTGCAGACTGCACAGCCTGGGGTCTTTTTGCAGTTGAGTGAGTTCAGACTTGCCAGTTCCAGGCTCTCAGTGGCACCAGCCCAGGCATTTAATAATGTGTGCCCAGAACCCACAGCCAATTCCATATCATTACAATTCGATTGTTAATCACAGGCAGCACCAGGCCCAGCGGACGGCCTGCTGTGCTCCTTCTAGGGTTCTAGAATTCTTCCTGGCTCAGCGCTGGAAGAACAGTGCCAGTCGCGTCTTCTGCAGCTTGCATTGGCCCAAGTGTTCAGCGCTGTGTGTGATCCAACAAGCGCTCAGGCTTTGGAGGCACAGAGAGGCTGTGCCAGGCAGCAGAGTGTGGAGCCCAGTGGGATGGCAGTCCTTGTGACCCCCTCAATTAGTCTCTGTGGTGCACCCAGCCTAATGTCGGGCACTTTTCATGCCCCTCCTGCAACACGCTGGTGGCAACTCCCTGGAATAGATGCCTCCATCCCTGTCTCATAGTCCAGGGAAGCAGGGCCCACAGAAACCAACAGCCAGGACCAAAGTGAGCACCGCAGAATACCCGGGCCCTCCCGTCACCACCGCGCCTCTGTGGGGGAGCTCAATGTGAGTCTCAGCAGGAAGATTGGCAAGGAACCACGGAAGGGGGCGAGGACCCACGGAAGGGGGCAGGGACCCACGGAAGGGGCAAAGTGGGCAGCCCGTCACAGACAAGGTCAGGCAATAGAGGGGCAGGACCTCACTGATCTTTTATAAAGTGTCACTTGTGCATCAAGAGAGGAAGCTGGGTGACCGGCAGGAGGCCAGTCTGAGCTGGTGTCCCGAGCGCTGTGGTCAGGGTGAGCGGGTGAGACGTGGAGCTGCCAGAACCCATGGGTAGATGGAAAGAGGGAAGTTGAGGACACTGCCTGGACCAGGGCCTGAGAAACCAGGCGGTCAGAGGCCCCATGAACTGACACAGGCAAGAGCAGGGAAGGAAGGAGCAGGCCTGGGTGAGAAATTGAAACTTCTCTTTTGGAGTTGTTATGATGGGGGTGCCTGCCTGTCAGATGCCTACGTGGAGAAGCCTCCGGAGCCACTGGCTGTGTGAGTAGCCCTCAGTAAGGAGAGGTCTGAGCTGAGAAGGAGCGGCCACCCTGCAGAGAGGGCGCCCAGGGGAGAATGTGGCGTCCAGGGGGCAGTGAAGCCACACTGCCGAGTGAGGGGTGCTCCAGGCTGCAGAGAAGCTGAGTGGATGATCCAGCCAGACGAGGCCTTCAGGGGGCGTGAGGACAGAGACGGCTCAGGGCGGGTGGAGGGAATCATGGAAGGCGAGGAAGAAGACAGCCAGCATGCATGCTAACACTATCTAGAAGTTTCTTATAACTCAGGAGCAGAGAATCGGGGCAGCAGCTGGGAGTCTGTGGCTGTGGATGGTTTTGGGAAGAGAGTGGTGTGTGGAGGGGACTGACCCAGCAGACATGGAGAGACAGGTGGTGCAGGAGGGTGTGGTCCTATCCCAGCGCGGGTCCTGGAGGGGCGAGTGGGACAGAGCCCGCAAACAAGCAGAGGGGCTGGCCAAGACAGAAGCAGGGGCTACATCCCTCGGAACAGGCCCAGGAAGGCAGAAGCAGGGGGCTGCAGCCCTGGGAACCCACCCAGGAAGGTGGAAGCAGGGGCTGCATCCCTCGGAACAGGGGCCCAGGAAGCACTGGGTCAGTGGCTTCTCTTCAGATGGCTCTGTGTTCTCAGGAAAGTGAGAAGCACCAGCGTTGCTGAAAGTGAGGCGGGAGAGGGCCGAGGAAACAGGAGGAGGTGTGAAATTGTCATTAGGAAAAGTGAGAAAATGGATAGACCAAGGGAGGCAATAAAATTGCCGGCAGGGTGAAGCCCCCACTGGAGATTTGGGTCACAGGGTTTAATTCAAAGCCTTCAGTGTGGCTCTGTTTCTCCCAGCCACAGTCCACCTCTCGGGTACAGGGGCAAGTAGGTGTCCTCAGGTCCCAAAACTGCTGCAGCAGCTCCAGACTCAACATCTTCCTCTCGTAAAGTCTACAGACACTGATCAGGTCACATGGCCATCCCAAAAAGAATCCCTGTGGCTCACTGTCTTACTCTAAAATCACATGCTCCCCCAACCCCCTAAGCCACAGGTAGGGTCTCACCCTGGCAGCTGAGAAACAGGAAGACTGCTTCCACACATAGACTAGGAAGGCAAGACAGCCAGGGCACCAAGAGACAGACAGCTACCACGTGGCTCTGCACTTGGGACAAGGAACAACTACAAAATGCAGCCAGAAATAAATGCTCAGGTGGCATGGGTTTAAAATCAGACGGTGGGATTTTAAAATCAGTCGTCCCCAGACGACTCTGTCTCAATCCCGGAGGTCTCGGGTGGCATGGGTTTAAAATCAGACGGTGGGATCGGGGACGACCCCTTCTCAATCCCGGAGGTCTCGGGTGGCATGGGTTTAAAATCAGACGGTGGGATCGGGGACGACCCCTTCTTAATCCCAGAGGTAGATGCAGGGCAATGGCCTGCTGGATACAGAGGTTTGTCGGGGGGCCTTGCACGCCAGGCTGCCTCCAAGATGAATGCAGGAAAGAAGGGCTTGATCAGCTCTAAGAATGCAGCAGGCAGGAGACAGGACACAGCTCATGAACTGGAAAACACCTGGTCTGAAGGGAGCCCTCCTCATTCGGGGATAAGTAACTCAAACGAGAAACAACCACAGTACCGAGGGGCCGGAAAAACAACCCCACAGTCTAAGGCAGCTGGAAGTCTGCCCCGTGGATTCGGAGAAAAGGTATGCTGTATGGAAGAGTTTATTAAAGGCAGCCGGAGAGAATTTTGGAAATGATATGCATTTTGCCTTGATGTAAAATGTAAGAAAATATGCCCTCTTTGAAACAAGATTGTACAAATCTGCAGGCTGAGTAGAAAGGAAAGTCTTTGAAGTAAGAGGAGCAAGGAAAGTGCTGATGTATGAGCAGAATTAAAATGTGCATGAAAAGGCTAGGCGCAGTGGCTCACACCTGTAATCCCAGCACTTTGGGAGGCCAAGGCGGGCGGATCACGAGGTCAGGAGATCGAGACCATCCTGGCTAACAAGGTGAAACCCCGTCTCTACTAAAAATACAAAAAGAAATTAGCCAGGCATGGTGGCGGGCGCCTGTAGTCCCAGCTACTCGGGAGGCTGAGGCAGGAGAATGGCGTGAACCCGGGAGGCGGAGCTTGCAGTCAGCCAAGATTGCGCCACTGCACTCCACCCTGGTGACAGAGCGAGACTCCATCTCAAAAAAAAAAAAAAAATTGTGCATGAAAGAGACCACAGAGGATGAGGCAAAACTGTGTCACCATCAAATAAGACTGATGAAATGTCTCTAAGAAGAGCAGAGGAGTGAGGAACAGAGAAAGTAAAAGATACATAAAAGACTGCATAAGCTCAGCAGTGAAAACCAGGCATTCCTGGGGAATAAGTCAACACAAACTGAGCTGAAAATTACCTGCTTGCAGATCAAAGAGGCTTACACGGTAATAGGCGAAAGTCCATCCTATAAACATTCTGGCATTTGAAAGATAAAGATTAAAAAATCTACAGGCTTCTCAGCAGAATAAACAGAATGCTTACGAGGGAATAGAAGGTAGGGCTGAGGGTCCTCCACGGTTCTGAATTGCCAGAAGACAACTGTAGAGGGATATGGAGAGGAAAAGTCTGTGGCTCAGTTTCAGTCTCTGTTACTCACTTGTAAAGCAAACAGAAGGATTTGTAGGTATTTGAAAATGTGTGATTCATGCACCTTTCAAGAAAGAAAAAAAATCCTCAAAGATATCCCCTTATCCATCAAGCGGCGATTCAAACGCAAGCACTTCAGTAATGGGGCATTTGGAGGGTATGAAAGGATTGTAGTAGCATCAACACTGCTAAACAGTGTTCACCTAAATAAATGTGGAAGTAAAATAGAGTAAAAGTTAAAAATCCCTGTGCACGGCTCTGAAAACCAAAGAGAGGTTTGGTATTTGTTTTGAGACAACTGCAAGATGAGATTTGGGTAATTACATCGATTCCACATGGCTTCTGACCAGAAATCCCCAAAGGATGACTGCAGGGTTGCTGGTCATTTATTTATTTCTCACCGCACAAGCTGTGGTGTCTGTTGTCAACTCAGCATTACTTATGTCTCCTCTGAAGTTCTCTTAATGGAAAGGAGACCCCGAAAATTTTATTTCCCAGAACCGACTTCCCCGTGTTTCAGGAGTAAAATCAACCAAATAAGAGGCACCGATGTGGATGCCAACAGCAGACAGGAAGGAGAGGCCGCTGTTCACAGAGGCAGTTCAGTTAGGCATGTGGGCAGGAGCAAGGGTGGACGCAGCTCCCAGGAGAGCCCTTGTGAGCCATTTACTTTGCAGTTACAAACTGAACTGGCTCCTGGAAATTTCCAAGCAGTTCCTGAGATTTGCAGCCCCTTCTGGCAAAGTTGTTGGGAGCCACCCCCATGAGTGAACAGGATTTTCATGGCAGCTCTCCAGCCCTTCACTTCACCGGCCCTTGCAATGGTGCATAAGCCTTGAATTCCCTTTATTAAGTCTTTCCTAGTTGGAATAACCACAGCAGCTTCTAGATTCCTGACCAAAGCTGACTGACCTAGTATTTGGGATTTAGCACATTTGTCTCTTACCAAGGCTTCTAGAGAATCTGCAATTTTCTCCTCACCAGGCCCAATTGATGTCATATCATGGAGGTAGTGGGTCAGCATCATGTTCTGTGTAACAGTGAGACAAGCATCCCTGGAGACTGAAAGAGCTGGAGCAATGACATTGACCTGAGGAGGAGCTGTAAAGGTGCACTGCTATTCCTGCCAGGTGAAAGCAACTTGCTTATGGTGTCCTTACTAATAGGTAGAGAATCATACTTCATTACCACCAAACACCTTAAAAGGTGTTCACCAGATGATCTGCACACCAGGCACTAGGAACTGTGTTTATTTCAGTGAAATTGAATCTGAAACTGAAGCTGCCATTGTAATCACCACCTTCAAAATTCACAAGCTCAATCTTTTACCTAGGGAAAACAGAAGTGTTTATGGAGATGCAATAGAAACCACCACCTGTATTAGGCCGTTCTCACATTACTATAAAGAAATACCTGAGACTGTGTAACTTATAAGAAAGAGGTTTAATGGGCTCACGGTTCTGCAGGCTATACAGAAAGCATGGTGGCCTCTGCTTCTGGGGAGGGCTCAGGAAGCTTCTAATCATGGCAGAAGCTAACGGGGAGCAGGCACGTCACATGGAGAAAAAAAAGAGCAAGAGAGAGGGGGTGGGGAGGTGCTGCACACTTTTAATCAGATTTCACAAGAACTCACTCATTATCACAAGGACGTACCAAATGATCCAGTCACCTCCCACCAGGCCCCACTTCCAACATGGGAGATTACAACTGAACATGAGATTTGGGTGGGGCCACAGATCCAAACCAGATCACCACCCCTGCATCCTTCAGGCCTTGCTTGGATCATGGCACTAATCTCTGCAGTTCTCCTGATCATGCCATATTGCTTTTGTTTACTGTTTTAGTAGGTAGAAGACTTTGCAGGGGCCTTCCGCTTGGCCCTTTCTACCATGATGAGCCGTTGGGTCTGGAAATCATGCAGGGATTCTGCCTGTTACCATGTGTGTGTCCCACCTACACATTCAGGCAGGAGGGAATGATCACAAGGTGGTTCAGTAACATGCCAGGCCCACTGTAACTCGAACAGGGGCCAAAACCCCATCAATATCCTGACCACCACAAACCCTTGCTATGATTGGTGAGCCACATGGTCTGGTTGCCCAAGGAATTTGCTCGAGGTCAGAGACAGCGTCCATTCACTCCCCCAAAACTGTGAGGAGTCTTCCTTGGTGCACATCACTCCAGTAAGTGTCTTTGGGGAAGGTTAGGAGGAAATCTTTGTTATAAATTCATGCCAGGACCATGCCTAAGGGGCTATAACATCCCCCCGTATTCAAGGGCCTTCGGGTCTGCCACCTGGCTCAGGTCTGGGGATGGATTGATAAGGGCCCTAAGTTTCTCGGTGACTCAAGCAGGGTCTCTAATTCCCAGAGCCAGATAGGGCATCTTTGTTTCTCTGTTTGCTTTGTGCAGATCAAGGGAAGACCTTAGTGGCCTGTGTGGGGACCTCAATCCCAGAGACACCCTGATCCCTTCATCACCACTGACACTCTGTGGGTTCAACCATGATGATTATGGCTGAGCTCTTGTTTCCCATCCCAATACACAAGCCCACTTTGTCTCTGGAAATTAAGAGCTGCCATTATACCTATGGAATGCGAGAACCCAGTTTCAGTGGGGATGGCTCCTGTTCTCAGCTCTGAGTTGAAAAAGCAGTCATCATAGAGCTTTTCAAGAAAGATCTTGGAACCAGTGGACGCCTCCCAACACCTTAGCCAATGGAGTGTCCTCTGGGCCCTGCAAGTGCATGATGACACAGAGGGTGAGGCTGCAGCACATGACCACCAGACCCACGTGACACGCCCATCCCCCCCATGCCTGACGGTTTCCTCCCCATGTGCCCATGGGAGGCCTGCTTCACTTTGCAATCCGCCACAGCCAGAAGCCCAAGTCCTCTATATCCTCTCCATGACTTATAATTGAATGATTAGTCAAAGAAAATGGGACAGTCTCTAAAGCTGAAAAGATAACCCACAGAGAAAGGATTTCTGCTCGATTAAAGTCTTACGGGTGTCGTGGGATAAGTCACGGATCAGTACGTGCCCAATACTTGACGAGTGTAAAACAGACCTTGGGCCGGGTGCAGTGGCTCACGCCTGTAATCCCAGCACTTTGGGAGGCTGAGGCAGGCGGATCACCTGAGGTCCGGAGTTCGAGACCAGCCTGGCCAACATGGAGAAACCTGTCTCTACTACAAATACAAAATTAGCCGGGCGTGGTGGCAGGTGCCTGTAATCCAGCTACTCCAGAGGCTGAGGCAGGAGAATGGCTTGAAGCCGGGAGGCGGAGGTTGGTGTGAGCCGAGATCACGCCATTGCACTCCAGCCTGGGCAACAAGAGCGAAACTCCGTCTAAAAAAAGAAAAACAGACCTTGAATGCTCGGCCGGTGAGCTGACTCATGGAAAGCACCTGGAACAAAGCCTGGCACAGAGCGGACGCCGTGAGAGGATCCGCCGCTGCTGCTGCGGTTAAATGAGTGTTTCTGAAAAGCTTCCTGGGCCAAGCCAGTGCTAGACAGCAACAAGGCAGCAACAGGCAGCCAGCGCCTGCCCCCAAAGAGTTCCCAGTCTCTGGGAATGTGAAACAGGCTTAAAACCAGGGGTAATATCATAGGAAAAGTGCAAGGAAAGGATTCTCCTGATGGATTCATCCAGAGCGATGGGACCTGAAAGCATTGTGCATATTGATTGCAGAAGAAGCAGACCTGTGCAGGGAGAGAAGCATCAGAACACGCACCTGTGCAGGGAGATAAGCATCAGAACACGCACCTGTGCAGGAAGAGAGAGGCATTGGGACACACACCTGTGCAGGGAGAGAGGCATTAGAGAGGCAGGGAAGGAGGTGATATGGTTTGGCTGTATCCCCATCCAAATCTCAGCTTGAATTATATTTCCCAGAATTCCCATGCATTGTGGGAGGGACCCAGGGGAAGGTAATTGAATCATGGGGGCTGGTCTTCCCCGTTATTCTCGTGATAGTGAGTAAGTCTCACGATACCTGGAGGGTTTATCAAGGGTTCCTGCTTTTGCTGCTTCCTCGTTTTCTTTTGCTGCTGCCACGTAAGAAGTGTCTTTCGCCTCCCGCCATGATTCTGAGGCCTCCCCAGCCATGTGCAACTGTAAGTCCAGTTAAGCCTTTATTTTCTTCCCAGTCTGGGGTATGTCTTTATCAGCAGCGTGAAAACAAACTAATACAGGAGGAATTGGGCCAAGCAGCTGTGCGGCACACTTGGGAAGCAGGGCTGTCCCGGCTGATTCTTGGTAAAAGCAAAAAAGGAAGGGGACACACAGTGAATCCTGGCAATGCATCCCCCGAGGGTAATACCAACCAGGAGCATTACCCCCATTTCACGGGCAGTGTCCGGAGAGCTCCGAGACAGTGCAGGAGGGGGGCTGCTGTGCGCAGGGCCCTGGGCAGGAAAACTGTCAGGCCCAAGAGGAAGGTGAGGAGGTTGGGAGGGGAAGTGTCACTCTTTCCACTGTTTCTTTAACATGGAGGACCACCTGGTCTGGTCCTCCCCAAGGTGCCTCATTACAGGTGGGATGCAAAGGCCCACGGGCGCCATGGGAGTAGTGGTCTGCACAGCACAGTGAGTCCCACCCACTGTAAAGGCCCAGACGCCTCTCCCAGGAGGCACAGGGCTGGTAGGGTCAGAACCGTCCCCAAGGCGTCTAGATCTGCTGACAGACATAAGGCAGGAGGAGGGGCAGGTGTGGAGGGTGGAAGGAGAGAGGTAAAGCCGGGCTGGTGAACGTGGCTGCAGACGTGGCCCTCATCCCCCACGGAATGGGGAGCACGCCAGGAACATGGTCAGATTTGGGTTTCAGAAACTGCCAAGGGCTTCCCTGCGAGGCTGGGTCACCCTGGAGAGACTGGGGCAGTGAAGTGGGTAGGGGACCAGGAGCCTGAACCTGGGAATGGCGGTGGGGATGGGAGAGTGGACAGAGGCTGGAGATGAGGAGGAGGCGAGCTGAGCGGGACTCGGCCGACCGCGGTGAGGGAGAGGATGTTGAAGGCTGACTCCCAGGTGGCCAGGGCCTGGCTGGGGGTGGCAAGGAGGCCAGCAGGGGCGGCAGGGTGGGGGCTGGAGGGGGAGGTAGATGGGGAGTTCTGCATTGGGCAGTGGCAAGGGGAGGGGATTCCTGATGAGCTCTGCGGAGGGCACCTGCAGATGCCCGGCTTGGGGTGAAGGAAGAGAGAGGTCTGGGTGGACATGGGCTGGAGCCTGGCCTCACTGGACTTCTTGGGTTGTGCCTAGGAATAGGGTTTTACTGTGAGGTTACACCTGGGAGTTGGGGAAACCCACCAAAGCCAACAGCCCAGGCCCCACAGCAGCTCCCATCCCAGGCCGGCTTATGCCCACCCTGCAGGCCTCACCCCTGCTTCCCCGGCTCCTGCTCTCTCTGCCCTCTGCCAACAGCGTTGGCTTCCTGCCTTCAACAGCCACCCCAGTTCCCAAATGCCTTCCCTCCTGTTGGGCAGCACCCTGATGGAAGCTCAGGCTTGCACAGCCCAGGGCCGCTTCCCAGCTCAGCATCAGGGCTTAAAGAAGGAGCTGTGCCCTGCAGTCACCTTCCTGGGAAGGGGCAATTGGTGCGTGGCTCCGGATGGGCTCTGTCCCCTGCATGGCTCAGCAGGAGCCACACAGTGAAGCCCTGGGAATGGATGAGACCGTCCTGGCAGGGGGGTGCCAGGAGTGGGGGTTGGAGGAGCCATGCTCGGGGCGTCAGAGGGTAGGGGCTGGGAGAGCGGGGACTCTGCCTGGGGGGGATGCCCGGGTCCCGCTGACTTCCCGGCGCCTCCTCTGGGGAGTCGCCAGAGCGCTGTTTTACACGTGTGAAGGTCACACAGAACGTTCTCAGCACAGAGAAGGTGCTCCGTCAATGTTTGCTGAGTGAATAAATGTGCTCTCTTGCTCTAAATGGTCATTGCTTGGCTGTGAACTCGAGGGCAGAGCAGGTGGAATTCATTTTTGTGCTCCGGGGCCTGACAGCTAGAAGGGGCTTGGGAATCATTTGTGTAGTGATTTTCAGAATAATGTCAGGGCCTAAAACTGTAACAGCAAAATGCAGCACCTGCTCCCCCAGCTCCTCCTTCTGGGGTTGGCGGGTCAGGACCCGTGGAGGGAGGGAGCCCAGTGACCCCAGGGGCCACGGCACCCACGGCAGCCACGGCACCCGTGCTTTCCACAGCAGGCCCCAGCAGCTTTCGGCCTGCGCTTTGCTGTCAAACTTGTCTGTCGCAGTTGTCCCGGGCAGTAGGTCCTGCACAAAGCTGCCCCAGGAGGAGTGGAGCAGCAGGAAGAGGCAATTGTGCTTGCTCTTGGTCTTGCTCTGAGGCACTTACTTCCCCTGGGGGCAGTCGGCTGCGTGCTGCCCTCCTGCTGCGACTTAGGATCTCACCCGAGGGCCAGGAGATTGGCTTGGTCTGTGCACCATCGACCCGAGGGCCAGAAGGTTGGCTTGGTCTGTGCACAATTGACCCGAGGGCCAGAAGGTGGGCTTGGTCTGTGCACCATCGACCCGAGGGCCAGAAGGTGGGCTTGGTCTGTGCACCATCGACCCGAGGGCCAGAAGGTGGGCTTGGTCTGTGCACAATCGACCTGAGGGCGAGAAGGTTGGCTTGGTCTGTGCACAATCAGGACGGCCCTGAGAGCAGAGTGGCGGCAGGGCTGTCATCCCAGTGCCTTCGGGGACTGCGCCGAGGAGCCGGGCCGCATCCCACGTGGGGTGACTCGCACCTGCCCGTCGGGGCCAGGCTCATGTTGGGTATTTCATGCGGCTCCCTGAATTCTCAGAACAGCCTGCGAGTTGTCATTATCTGTCCTATGGGAGAGCAGGCAGGATGTAGGCCTGAGACAGGCTGGTGCCAAGGTCCGTGTCCTTTCCACAGGACTGGGGCGTTTGGAAACATCCGTTCAATTAACCTTCAGGTATGGCGAGGCCCTACTGTCGCTGACAAGCTAGTTTGTTAAGGTTCTCAGTAGGACTGGTCACGCCACGCCACGCCACACCACACTAGGCCATGCCAGGCCACACAGGGAAGTGCAGGCCAGCTGAGAGGCCGGGGGAGCAAGGGGAAAGTACGGGCAAATCCAGGAACCTTTGCTGTGGTTTCTGCGGGAAGGAACAGCTGAGGCCAGGGAAGAGGGCTTGGGGCTGGGTGGCCTGAATCACTTCTGTGGGCTCCTGACATTGGCTGTGTCTTGTGGTCTGCTGCCTGGCCCTGGGGTGATTAGGGCCGGGGTGTAGTGGGCTGGAGTGTGAGATCCCCAAGCCCCCGATAGTGAGGGCGGGTGTGGCTCTAGACTGCTTGGTTTTTCTGTAAGGTGTGCGCCAGGCTAGGGGTTACTATCTCTAGGAACTGGCCAGCCCTGGGAGGGGCCGTCCCTCCAGGGTCAGCAAGGTGTCCTAAGTTAAAGCATCAGGAAAAAAAGATGTTATGGGCAGCCCTCCGAGGCAGGTTGGTGCCCCAAAGAAGGAGGCAGTGGCTCAGCTGTGAGGAGCCCCTGACCTCAGAGAGGGTTCTAGATGCACCAGACCCTCTGAGTGCAGGGGACGGTCTGAACGTGCCTGCGGCCCCACCCCCGCCCCCTGTGCAGGAGGTGGGTACGCCTGACTCCTTCCTTCGTCCTGCCAGGTCTCCTGCCCTACTTTCCAATCGGTCCCTTTGTATGAAAGGATAGCCACTTTTAACAGCCTCATAAAACAGATGAAGTTTCCATCATAAAATTTCTGGATCACAGACATCAGCTCATGTTTTCCCTGCTTCCCATTAAGGAGCTGGGCTCCTGATTTATGTTCTTGAGGCTTCGTGTCGCCTGTTCCCAAAATTATAACTCACATGATGAATATCGCTGAGCACTCTCCATGGTGTTAAAAAGCAAAGCCAGGAGTCCCGGTGTCCTCTCCCTAAGTTCAAAAGGAAATTAGAGGCCCTTCCTTTCCATTTGGCAGCCTACCAGGGCATGACCTCTGTTCAAAAGCCAACAAGGAGCGTTACTTTAAAAATGGCCTATTAAAAGCTTTAACCAGACTTTCCCAGCAAGACTAACCGCCCACCAGGGAACAATTAACGGTGCAGCAGGGGACGCTCAGCCTTCTCAGACGCTGCCTGGGAGGACACGCTGCTCACAGTGTCAAAGGGCAGGCCGAGGGCGCTTGGAAAATGACTTCTCTCCTTGCAGAACTCCTATTTAAACATGAGAGCCTAGTTCAAATAACCCCCACTCCTCTGCAAAAACCCCACCCAACAGCCTCAAACTTAGGAGCTCTGTGATTCCAGAAATCTGCGTACAGTCCTCTACACAAAAGGCGCATCCAGGATCTCTTTCCATGTCGTCTTGCCTGGAGCAAGCTCCCTGAGGGCAGGAGTTGTAGCTGACCCATTTCTATTTCTAGCACCTGGCACAGAGTTGGCCTCACAGCAGGTGCGCAAAACGTCTCTTGAACTGGATGTTCAGGTCTGTGGACTCGAAGCTACTTTTTAATATAAACCACGGCTCCTTCATCTGCCTACGTCCTCCCTTCATGTGTCACTCCTCACCCCTCTCTCCCCGGTAGGTGGCCAAATGTCAGCGAGAGACCCCCACCCACCTGACAGCAAGGACTTCAGGAAAAGCAGCCACTTCTCAGTGTGCAGCACACACCAAGGGCAGTGAAGACACCGGGGCTGGGGGAGAGAAGTTTATTCATACACAAAGGGGCACGCCAAGGGCGCCAGTCTAGGGTTACACCACGTGAAACAGTAGAAAATTCAACCAGGAAAGCAGGAAATTCAGTGAAGCTACTACAAAGTGGGGCGAGTGGACTGAAAACTAGGATTTTCCTTGCAAGTTTCTTTTCATAAAATTTTTACTTTATGAATTAAATACATTGAGAAACAGTGAAAATATATTTACAGTCATTTGAAGTGGGCACTACTAACATATTTAATTTAAAAAAATCTTTGCTGTTTCTTTGCCTGTTTCTTTCAAAGAGAATTTTAAATATGACTTTAGCTTTTAAAAAATACAATAAGGAAATAATTACATTCTTAATATGAAAACATTTTACAACGTATCACCATGGTCAATTAATTCTGAATATCACTTAAAAGTTGATGTTAAAATGTAAAGTGAATATTTCCTTTCTTGTTAGAAAATCAAAAAGATTATCTCATTAAAAACACCTTTGGTCCTAAGACTTATGATCTGAAGATGTCCTTTTGAAAGTATCTTCCATGGCTACACTAAAAAGACCCGGTAACACTTGTGCACGGTGAAGTTGAGATTTTCTGGAAGACCAAAGCCGGAACTATTTCATGAACTACGGGCGAAAGGATGCGTCTGACGCCCACCACTTCCTGGGTGCAGTTTCCCTTCTTTTACAGACGCCCTGCTATGGCTTGGGGACTCACGAATAGAGGTGACTGCTTTTTCTGCAGTGCTGTGCCACGTATTTACGGCAGGAACGTTTTGGTTTCATTTTAGTTTATTTCACAGTATGAACCCAGCCCACCAAGGGGATAAGAAGACAGTGACAACCAGGAAAAAATGAATTATCCTCCTTCAAACTATGTCATGAACTTGAAGTGACTGTTCCCATTAGAAAATCATTTTAGGAAAAGTAAGAGGAAGGCAATAGTTTAGTTTAACATTGAAACATTGCCACGACCTTTATGTAAGCTGCAGGGCACCCTGCCGGCCAACCCTGATGCCTGGAGACCTCCAGTGCTGTGTTCCCAGAAGAGGCTGTTTCAAGGATGGACATCCACCTGAATGCAGGGGCCACCTGTGAGCTCAGGGTGTCGGCCCCGCCCTGTGGCACAAGGTGCCTTTTCTCTGGATGGCAGTCGCCGGCCACACTGCAGGCTGCCCATCCTTGGATGGTGTCTAATGACATCAGTTCCGTGCATGAACACAGCACCTCACCTGGGTGGCAAAGTCTGTGGGCAAAATTTACATCCCCCCAAATAGTGGGTGAGTAGAATTAATAGCCTTTTTGGAAAGGGAAGGTGTGGCCACAAACAGGGGAGCTTTGCTCACAACCCTACACCTAACCCCAGCTTCGACGCTGCCCTTTGAGTCCCGTGCACAAGCACCAAACTGTGGCCATAATGACAATGAACCTCAAACTCCTTCCTGGGGGTGGCCTCCAGAGCTGAGGCCACACTTTTTGAAACAGACTTTTCAAAAGGAGTAAATCTCCACATTTTAGGGTAGTTTTTGTCTATTTAGAAATGGCCAGTAATAATTCTGGGATGAGTAAGATACAGGGGAAGGTTAAGCCTGGCAACGCCAGGGCATAGGCACAGAGGGGCGAGATGGGACTGACCCAGCTGGTAAGCCGCCGCCCGCCAGCCCCAAGGGAAGGTCTCAAGGAAGGCCCCATGGACAGTGGCCCATGCTCCTGGGGTAAGTCTGGTGCCTGGGGTGACTCAGCAGATCCACACTGGTTACCTTGCAACTGCCGTGGACTCTGGAAGCCGAGGGAGAGAGCTACCAGCCTTGCAGACAGATGGGCCTTGCCCCAGTTCCCCGCAGATTCTGGGAAGAGGGAGCCATCGCCCATGCCTGTGCCCAGGTCAGGGGGACAAAGGGAGCCCTCGAATCTGATAGTTGTTTCTATGAAAAAGTTGGTCAGTGGCTTAACATTATAAAAATATATAAATGGAGGTTGAAGGCTGATGACACCTTAACAAAATAGAGCCAGGAGCAGAGCCCTGAAGAGTGACACTGTGGCTCAAGGTTAGAATGGAAGGAGCCCTGAGCCCCGCAGGGGTCGGCCCCCTCACCTGACCTGTCCTCCGGCCAGCTCCATCGCGTGGCCACCACATTCCTCGCATTGCGGTCGGCACCGTAGTACAGGTGGCTAGCCCCTGTGAACACGACCATCTGCTAAGTACCAGTGACATTGCGAAGAAATCCGGCTTCTCCGGGGACCCTGGCCTGCCTGTCGGGCCTCTTGCCCTCAGCCTGGCTTCGTTATGAAATCAGACACACTCGCAGCTGCCACAGAGGCAAGGGGTGCTTGTTCCTGGGGCATGTTTTGGGAGGGGAATAAAATGACATCACTGTCAGAATTCTGGCAAGATGGCTCGCGTGTGTCTAATATGTACAGATATAAATTAAAAACTATATTTATTGAACATATACACATAAATAACTTATTCTGAAGTAAATGCTTTAAACTTTGATGGAATGTGAAATTTCAAGGGAGTATCCGCCATGGAAGGAACCCACTGTCAGGCCCCTCCAGGGCACCCATTTTGAAAGGCTCCATGGACCACGATGGGGTTTGTTAACGTTTGCCTCCGCTTTAAAAGGCTTAGGGTTGTGGATGTGAATTACAAACCTGGGTTTTTACAACAAAATATGCATGCTGGGAGTCGAGCACCAATCAGCTGTGCCGTTGGGCAAGTCCCTGCTAAGGCTCCGGGGCCTCCTTGCCTGGTGAGGAAGCTGGTGGGTGACGGCTAAGGCCCACGTGACACTTTGCGTGCTGCTCACACTTCACCTGCCAGCTCGCTGCTGCCCACCTGTGCTGGGCCAGGACCGTGACTTCAGGCTGGCCATCTCCCCCTTCTCTTACTAACCACCAAAACCTCACACAGTTCTCTTTGGCAAAGCAGGCTGCCAATCAGAGTGGCCCAAGAGTGTCAACCAGGGAAACTATTTGACCCGAAGGCAGCAAAAATCTATGGAGGAGCAAACTTTTTTCCCTTTATAGAAAATTCATTTTGTGTGATATGAAGTGGGCCCAGCTGCCTGCAATGGTGGGAAGTCTGCCTGCAATGGTGGGAAGTGACCACTGGAGGGAGGGCTCCTCTATGGCAATGCAGCGGACGGCCCTGAGGTGTGTGGCGTCCCCGCCCGACCTGCCTGGATGTCCTAGTGGGAAGCTGGCGTCACGGATGCTGGTGTGATGGGCCTCCACGGACTAGGCCGGGAGGAACGTGCATCAGAGGGGAAAGAAAGGCTGGCTGATGGCTCAGGAACCCAAAACCGTTCCCAGCAGATGGCTTTGCAATCAATTCAAGTTCAGGTGGACTCAAGCAGCTTCCAATTCGTGTTGTAAAACTTTTTCTTATACATGGGAGACCGCTTTCCGCTTCAGTAATCCAACGTGGCCCTTGCAGGCCTCAAGCGCCACCACCTTAAACATGAATCCTAACTGTAAAGTCCCGTGCACCACACAGCTAGCGCTCTGAAAGTATGTCTGGGGGAAACCCAAGGAGTCAGTCAGTGTTTTCCCGCCATCTCTTCCTCTGTGTGAAAAAGGACATTCTGGACAGTGGACAGAAGGAAGGCTTACACCAAGTATGGCACCTCTGTATTCTATGCTTGGGGAAGGGGCGGTTGCTACTGGGACTGGTCTCCATGAATCTGCCTGCGGAGGCGTTCAGGGGTGACTTATTTCGTCATAAGTGACTGCATCTTCCCGTACTGGAGAATTCCTGACAGCAGCCTCCGGGAGACCAAGAAGTTAATCTGATTTTTAAACCCAGGGGGTAAATACCAGCTCAAACTATGAACTCTGTTTTTTTCCTTTATGCCTTAGGCATCCAAATTCTCCAAGAAATATTGCACAGAAGGCAAGCAAGAAAGCTGGGAAAGAGGCCCTACTTGCACCCACCCTACTCAGGAGAGGCAGCACGGCCAGGCCCACCAACACATTAGTGGTTTAACTTGACAAGCTGGAGGAAGGGGAGGGGCAGGAGGCCCTGGAATTCCTGCCTCTTGCTCTAAGGTGTTATAGTTCCATGAGCGAACAAATTCCGGAACTTGCTTCCCTTTCAAAGGACTGCCCTGGCCCCAAGCAGCAGTAAACGTCCTGTACAGCGGCGAGGAGCCAGCCCCTGCCCCCAGAGGCTCCTGGTGTGAGAAGCACCTGCCGGCTCCGACGTGGATTAAGGGCTGGGGATGCTAGCCCAAGGGGGAGGAGGGTGTACTGTTAGTGAAGTATTAAAACCCTCTGCTACCTGTCAAAAGCAGCACAAATAATTAATTAATAAAATAAGGAACCTCTGAAAACTCCTTGATCTAAGTGTGACACACAGTAAAAAGACATTCCTAAAAAACAGGTTAAGAAGAATGGCAGCTTTTCATGTCTTGGTGACAAAAGCATCTGTCCAAAAAATAATAATAAAAGGTAAAAAACGTTTCACAGCGCGATTTTCTCATGCCTTTACCTCTGATGACGAGGGGGACGGGCACGTGGAGAGGGTACGCCAAGACACAAAGTCCACGTCAGGACTGCGTATGCCCCTGGCCCTCCTGGTGGGCGTGCAAGGCGAGCCCAGTGCCCATGGCCAGCCACACTCATGCCCGGGGCAGCCGGGGATCCAAGCTCTTCCCTGTCGAATCCAGGTTTTCATCTGGGGGCTCATGGAACCATCCATCCTCAGTCCAGGGCTGGGTTGGAATCGGTGAAAGCAATGGCCTATCTGGTTAGAAAGATGTCACTTCGCCTGATAGCATCCTTTCAAACACCTTTCCATCACTTTTTTTGTTTTTTAACAAAGTTGGGAACCAAAGTCTTACATCTTTTTTAAAGGCGCCATTTTACAGTAGAAAGAATACAAGTGGGCCTGGGGGACAGGCACTGGCCTCAGAGCTCAGTCGTGGAGCCTCTGGAGTCGTGCAGCTGAGGCCACTCTGGGCAGAGCTTCCTGCCGTCACACAGATGAGGATACAGGCAAGGGGGTGTGCAGTCTCTGAGGCTGGAGTGGTGCTGCTGTCCCCTAGGTCCCGTTCTTCAATTCCCATTCCTAGAGGAAAGGAGAGTCTTGTAAGTGGACAGGGCAAGAGGATCAGGCTGGGACAAGCCACGCCACCATCCACATTCAACTCAGAGGGGGTGGGTGCTCGGCTACTGCAGAAAACTCAACAGAATCAATGACCAATGACCCGGCAATTCCACTGCTAGGTATTCACCTATCAGAATGGAGAGCATGGTCTCCAGCAGATACCACACACCCCGTTCACAGCAGCATGACTCACACCAGCCAGGAGGCAGAGGAAACCCAGTGTCCACCGATGGATAGACATGTAAAACATGGCGAGTACAGACAACACCACGTATTCGGCCTGAAAAAGGAAGGGCCTTCTGACACACGCTGCAACCTGGATGAACCTTGAGGACATGATCAGAAACAGGCCGATGACAAAAGGATAAATCCTGTAACGATTTCACTTATGTGAGGGACCTGGAGAAGTCTAACAAGGACAGAAAGTGGGCTGGGTGCAGTGGCTCACGCCTGGAATCCCAGCACTGTGGGACACACAGACAGGAGGATGGCGTGAGGCTAGGAGTTTGAGACCAGCCTAGGCAACGTAGCGAGACCGCATCATGTCTATTTCAAAAAATATAAAAAAAAAAGGAAGTAGAATAGTGGGTATCAAGGGCTGGGGTGGGAAGTTTGGGAAGATGAGAAAGTTCTGGAGAAGGATGGCGGCGATGGCTGTGCAACAATGGGAATGTGCTTAATGCCACTGAACTGTAGACTTAAAAATGCTTAAAATGGTCAATTTTACATCGTGTTTATTTTACTCTAATAGAAAAAAATTTTTTTAAATATGTAGATGCTTAAATCCAGTCAGCAGAGCAGCTGGACTGGTTCCATCCACAGGCCCTGAGTGCTGGCTGCAGATGGCTGTGGTCTACGCAGTGCCAGCACTGTGAAAGCAGGGACAGTGGGCACTGGGCAGGCACTGTGCCATGCACTGGGTGCGGCTATGTCTGGTCTGACAACAGCCCTGCAAGGTGGACAGTACCCCCACTTCATAAGTGAAGAGACAGGTAGGTGCAGGGCTCATGCCTGGAATCCCAGCACTTGGAGAGGCTGAGTGAGGTGGGAGGATTGTGTGATGCCAGGAGTTTAAGACCAGCCTGAGCAACTTAGGGAGACCCCAACTCTACAAAAAATACAAAAATTAGCTGGGTGTGGTGGCGCACACCCATAGTCCCAGCTACTCGGTAGGCTGAGGCGAGAGGATTGCTTGAGCCCAGGAGTTTGAGGCTGCAGTAAGCCATGATCGCCACTGCACTCGAGCGTGGTCAACAGAGCAAGACCCTGTCTCAATCAATCAATCAATCGCTAAGGAGACAGAGGCTTAATGACTTGCCTTAGGTCCAAAGTGATGAAGCTGGGCCCCAAAACCACTGGGTCCACAGCAAAGGCCTCCCATCTCCACTCTGCCCTGCTGCCTCCCAACAGGCCACACTCTGGCTTTTGTATCTGCTTCTCTCTACACACACCCATGCCTGTTCTCCACCTGATGTCACCTGGCCAGCCTCATGCATCCTGAGGACCAGGCTTCAGTGATTCCCCACCACCCTGTGCCCCTCGTCCTGACTCAGGGAGGCAATGCTCCCATCTTCTGTGCAGTTTTTGTGCTTTTCAACAAGCCATGTCACAGCAATAGATGTACCTGCCCCTCCCTACTGGACAGCGCCCTCCGTGCTCTTCCTCACCTCTTCCTTTCCATCCATTCATCTCTGGGTCCTCAGCACCCAGTGCAGCTGCACAGAGGCAGAAGCCTGGGCTACTCATGGTCTCTGGAGCTACGTGGATTTGAAATGGGGTTTGGCCATGGGATTGAGTTCCAGAAAGAGGAGGCAAAAGAGCAGACCCAGGTCAGAGCAGCGGCAGACACCATGCAGGACAGAGGCCCTTGGTTCCCTGGCATGGATGGCTCTGGAGGACAGCAGAAGGCACAGACGCCAGGGCCAGACCTTCTGTGCCTCAGCCACTGAGGGGCCTTGGAGAGGTTGCTTCATCTCTCTGAGCCATGGTACAACGTGAGTCCCACCAAGGACTTCAAAGAGCAATTGGGAAGATCAAAGGAGACAGGGTCTGTGAAAGCCCCGACCACAGCGCCCGGCCACCAAAGAGGGACTTTCTTCTCTGCGCCCGCCCAGTGACCCTGCGCCAGGATGCAGACGCCTGACTCCCACTATTTCCAGGGGCTCATTAACTGGGTCATGAGTACACTGCACGTCTCCGCATGCTGCATACAATGAACAATTTCTCACTTTGTCTAAATCAAAAGCTCGAGTTCAACTCATGGTTAAATTCACAGCACTAGCAAATCTGGCAGAAACAAACACCAAGCCACAATGCCGACAACACTATGCTGAGGCCCTCTCAGACTCGGCGGAAGTGTTCTGCAAAGGGGAGGATGGGTAGCTGGGTACGCTTCGTGCCTTCTTGCCCCTTCAGCCTCCCTGGGACAGCTATGTGGGCCGTTGTAAGCAGAGAAGGTGCCCAGGGGACAGCATCACAAGGTCGGCGCTCAAGGGCAGTCCTCTGTTGTACAGGTCCCCCATTTCCTCCCAGGCAGTGGGGTTTTCAGAGAGGGAGGACCCCATGTTACCTCCGCGTGGTGCCACATATGTTTAGCAAACAAGCCGAGGAAATGGTAACATTCCAAGCCTAGGTCACACTGGCCACAGAATAAGCGACAGGATGAGAACCTGTATCCTCCACTCAACTCGGAGCAGGGCAGGAAACAGAATCTCCAGGTGACTGTGTCACGGGAGGGAAACAGAATCTCCAGGTGACTGTGTCACGGGAGGGAAACAGAATCTCCAGGTGACTGTGTCACGAGAGGGTAACAGAATCTCCAGGTGAATGTGTCACGAGAGGCAGGGGCACGAAACCTGGAGCAGCCCAGCGCCTGCCCCTCGGGCACCTCCCAGAGCAGAGCCACAGTTTCCATGCCTGGATGGCCCTTGGCACACGGCCTGCCCAGATGAAGGGAAGGGAAATCTGACCTGGAGCTGTGCCTGGTGGGTGGTTATGAGCCAGGAAGCCCTGGGGCACGGGATTGGAAGCCGTCTGACTTTCCAGAACCCTCTCTTGCGCTCAATGCTCCTCACCGAGAGTTGGAAGGTATTTCAGGAATACCGCAGCGGGCATAGCGCTTCCCACATCCGGAATACGTCAGACCCCTTGGTCCCCAGAAAAAGGCGGGAGGCAGATGAGACCAAGTTTACGATACACAAGTGCATTCATGTTCTCAGGGTCTACAGGCCCCACCACCTCCAGCCAGGGGTCCCCTGTCACTGTTCTCAGAAATCCTGGGGAACCCTGCTCAGTCCGTCCCCTTCTGATTTCTGCACAAGATTCTCAGCTGGAGGGACGAGAGCAGCTTCCGCTGTTTTCTGGACCTATCAGTGGGGACCCATCTGGACAGCTGGCTGTGCATCTGAGGTGGCCCAGGATCACTCGCTTCCCATTCACCAAGAGGGAGCAAAAGGGAGCGGGGGGCCTGAACCTCTGTATGACGGAAGCACACACGGTGATGGGAGCCCTTTTGAGGGTCGGGACCACAGAATTTTCAGTCCAATTTCTTTGATGATAAAGAAACTAAATAGATGAAGTACATTTACAGCATCTCTCATCTGCGAGTCCTAAGTGGGATGTCATTGGGCAGCTCAATTCTAAACATCCCCCAGGCAAAACATATTCCTCCATCAGTGAGCTCAGTGGTCACCAGCTGAGAACACTTGGTAAACACTAAGAAAAGCAATGGAGATGACAGCCAGCCATTCCTCCCTTCCCCAGACTCACCGACACACACGGTCTTCAGTACACGGATCTGCTATGGAGGACCACTGTTCTGGGAGGCTGGGGACAACCATGTTTCTCAGGGGCCCTCCTGTGAGCACCCCAGAGAGCACAGCAGGGGGGCGGCACTCATTCCCATCTCGCAGGAAACACCTATCCCCAGTCAACTCGGAGGGGGCTCCAAAAGCTGCAAAGAATGCCAAGCTGGGCGCAGTGGCTCACGACTGTAATCCCAGCACTTTGGGAGGTAGGAGGATCACTTGAGCCCAGGAGTTTGATACCAGCCTGGGCGATACTGGCCAAACCTCATCTCTATAAAGAATACAGTAAGTTAGCTGGGCATAATGGTGTACACCTGCAGTCCCAGCTACTTGGGAGGCTGAGGTGGGAGGATCACCTGAGCCCAGGAGATCAAGGCTGTGGTGAGCTGTGATGGCACCACTATACTCAGCCTGGGCCAGGGAGCGAGGCCCTGCCTCAAAAAAAGAAAAGTTAATTCCGGCAATGAGAGGAACCCACAGAGCCGGTACAGGAGGACTCCCGTGTTCCAGCCCCTCGGGGCGGGGCCGGCCACACTCCTGTGGCTCCCCAGCTCACACCATCGCACTCCGTGCACTTCCACACACAGCACTTTCCGCTGCTGCCGCCAGGACCCGTTTGCTTTGATCAACTACTGTGTTTTAAAGATTTCTGAGGTTTCAAAGGTTAGCATCAAAACTTGCTAGTGGCTAATCCCATGAGAAGACCGGAAGCTGCCCCAGGAGGGAGTAAACAGGTTCCTCCGAGGCCCTCAGAGCCCGATTCATGCAGCTGGCGGTGCTAGGGAAGGGGCTGGGGGAAAGCTTATTCCTGGACCCTTTCCTTTGTTTTTCTAAAGAATCACACATCTGAGTGCTGAAGAGGACTTCAGCGGTCTCCTGGTCTAATCTCCACCGCACCACTGAGAAAACGAGTCCAGAGGAGCCCAGGGCTTGCCTGCATCTGAGATGACTCTGGAGCCAATTGTTGGCACTGGGGCTAAACGGTCAGCACCTTCCAGTCACTGTTCACCTTTGAGAACCCGGTTCCTAACAGGATCTGCGGGGTGGTGAGAACTCGATAAGCACCCATTCCCAGATGTCTACTGAAGGCTGAGTGCCAAGTGGATGCAGTAGGAAGAAGAATGGGCTCCCTACTCACACCCGAGAATGCTGGGAGCTTAAAGTGCCTGCCCAGGACACCCAGACACCCCCGGACATCAGGGCTTACCTTGGCCTTCCGCAGCACATGCCCTCGGCAGGGGGAGCTGCCCGGGGCAGCCTGGCTCTTCTTCAAGACGGCCGCGCTGTTCACCGGCACGGGGCCCTCGGTGTCACTGGTGTCACAGCTGGAGATGGGCGAGTTTTCCAGGGTCCGGTGCCGGAACACTGGAGACTTAACGGAGAGAGAGAACCCCATGTGATGAGCGGTTTCTGGGCCACTGGTATTCTCCAGCAGGAAAATGATTTATTTCAAGGAAGAAATAAGTTTTGGAAATGGGCAAAAATAACAGCAGTAGCAGCAAGGACTGCCACGTGGTCAGTGCCTCACCCCCAGAGCGTCTCCTGGCATTCACGGCCGGGGGGCAGAGGCTCCGACGGGCAGGTGGAGGCTCCAAGGGGTGCTCTGACTCCCGGCTGTGCCTGGGAAGCAGTGAGGGTGGGATTCCTGCCCTAGTCTTTTGCATTCAAAGCTGGGCTCTTGCATGCAGCTGCTGCCGCCTCTAGCTGGTCCCTTTGTGCAGTGCTTTAAGGTTTTGAGCTTTTCTGGGGTCAGCGCCCTAGAGATGCTCAGGTAGCAGAAAGTGGCGGCACTCACGGCAGCACTGGCTAACGGGATGCAGCCCCACTGCGCGGGGCTCGCTGGAGAAAAGCAGGCTCCATGAGCACAGAGGCCTTCCTAGTGTTTACGGCAGCTTCCATATGCCAAAGGAGGAGGTGTTCAGGAAGGCTGAAAATAGAACAACATGTGTCCTGAGCTGCCGAGGCCCCCATTGCTGGCTCTTCCATATGGGATCCCAAACTGCTCTCTGGGGGGAAAAAAACGCCACAGTCTGCTGAGCCTTCTCTCAAATGAAGTCTCCAAGGAAGAGACGCTTCCTAGGATTCCTGCCAAAATGTGTTTGTTATGTAAAAAATATTGCTCAGGGTATATGGAATATTGTTTTAGAACAGTGTTTCAATTACCATGAAAATGGGCAGCTCGGGGTCCCCTGTGGGCTTTACTGGCCACAATCCCCAGGCAGCCAACTTGACCTATGCAGTGGCAGCCCCTGGCTGCCGGGAGGGAGCTTAGGGTAGTAGTGAGTGAATACAATGGAATGATGATCAGGACATCTGTGTCTGGCAGAGGCCAGGCTAGGCTGTGAGTAAAGGGGCAGGTGACCCAAAGACCTGCATCTCAAGAGGGGTCCACCGAATAAGCCACTCTCCCGAGGACGGCCTGGGCTGCAGCGGTGCAGAGTGCTTCCCCAGATGCGGGGACAGAGGATGGCACCAAGGACATCCTCCCTCAAAACAGAGGGGAAGTCGCAAAGCACAGTGGACTGGGAGCGGGGAAGCAGAGGCAGCAAGCCAGGCGTGGGCCCCCAAAGGATACTTGGGACAAAGGAGAAGCGAGGCGGGGGGTGGCAAGGCAGGAGCTGGAGAAGGGGCCAGAGGGAAGCTCGAGCCATGGGGGTGGAAGAATGTGGAGCCACCATAGAAGAGAGTGGGCAGCTGTGCCGAAGGGCACCGGAACCGGGGAGTGAGGACTAACATGTCCACTGGATGGGAATGCCGGGGGTCACCATGATGAAAGCAGGTGCAATGGGAAGCCACATCCAGAAAGTGAAGCTGTAGGAGGGGCAGAGGACACTGCAAGCATGCTGCAAGCATGGACAACTGCTTCCAAAGTTCACCCTGGAAGGAAAGGCAAGAACGCAGGGCAAGGGGACAGTCACCAGGGGGAGCAGGAGGCCAGGCAGAACCTTCTTTTTTTTAAGGATGGATTCAACTAGAGAATCCTTAAATGCTTGGAAAAAGCTGACAGAAAAGCTGAAGACACAGGAGAAGGATCCTCCCAGGTGTCTGGAGGTCAGGAAGGATGAGATCGAGGCACTGACCAGAGCCCAGGAAGCCCAGCCCCTCCACTCAAACAGAACCAGAGGACGGGGGCGGGACAGCTCCTCAGAGCACTCCTGCCCTGCCACCACCCTCCACGCAGGACAAAAGACAAGCAGCGTGGGGGACTGTGTGCACTCCTGCCTCAGATCACAGAGGGAGGGGCACAGGGCTCCATGAAGCAAGGGAAGACCCCTGCCCTGTCCCAGCCAATGCCTACAGCCTCACTGCCACTCTCACTGCACCTGACCCCACCATGCTCTTGTCCCCATTTATGCTGGATGAGGGACTGGGGTTGTCCAAGGCACCTCCTAGCCCTTGGATTCCAATTCCCCCTGCACCCCTCCTCCTCAGCACTGTTTCACTGTTCTCCACAGATCTGTCCGCATCTGACACCAACGTGTTTTATTGGTTTGCCTCCCTCATGAGAAGATAAGCTCCATGAAACAGGGATTCTCACCTATCTTGTTCATAACTGCAGGCCTGGAACAGTTTGTAGCACACAGAGGGAACACAGAATGTGGGCTGGGCATGGCGGCCCCCGCCGGTAACCACAGTGACTCAGGAAGTGAGGTGGGAGGATCACCTGAGCCCAGGAGTTCAAGAAGGAACACAGCATATGCATATGTGTGTATGTACACACACACACACCTTTACATATTAAATAGTATGTATCGTATAAATATATAATTGTATTTTATATATAATAGATAAATGTTGAATGAATATATGATTTTATGTAATATATAACAGTAATGTATATAATGATATCAACAAGCAATTGTTGGATGAGTGGAATGAATGAATGAATGCATGTGTATGTTTGGGAAGATGTGAATGATGTGAATGAACACAGGCGCTTCGGTGGGCACTGTGCCAAAAGCGTCCACACACAGTCTATGCAGCGACCGTTATTATTTACAGATGAAAAACTCAGGGCCTAGAGAAGTCAAGTCATTTCAAGCCCTGGCCTGTGTGACCCCAGAGCCACCTCTTGAACACCTGAAAGAACCATGCATGAGTGGCTGGGTTTGTGGTTTGGGGACAGAGCAGTGACCTGGCTGCTTGCTCAGCTCTGCAGGCGGGAGGGAGGTTGTCCTCTGGGTTGGAGGTGATCGCTGGGGTGCCACAGGAGACTGGGGCAGGGATGGGGGGATGGGAGAGGCTTGGAGGAGAAGGGGAGAGTAAGGAAGAACAGGCTGTGCGGGTGGTGCCCGGTAGGGGCCAGCAAGTGACTGAAACTCAGGGCTGCCGTCAACCCATAAATGTGTCAATCTTCCCCACAAACCCGCCCAGGGCTCATGTGGAAGAGCAGCGGTGGGTTCAACCAGGCTCAGCATTTTACTGAGGGGTTTGGAAAGAAGGACCTAGAAGGGGAGCGTTCGGGACGCAGTGGGTGGGGACCCAGGGGCACCCACGGTGTTTCGGCTGGAACAGGGGCTGAAGTCCAGCCGTCCCTCACTGGCTGCCTGTTCTGTCTGCCCTGCAGGCGTGTTTACTGCTCTGGGCCCAGTGCCTCCCTCGCTCAATGGAGTGACGGCATCCAACTCACAAGACAGGAGACTCAACAGAATGACCAAGTGGAGAAGACGTCTAAGTTCTCAGCGGTCTCAGCCGAATGACTGAAGAGGAACCAGGGACAGGGATGACTCACATGGGAAGAGGACCCCACTTTGTTCTGTTTGATTCTAAGAGGACACAGACTGCTTCATTCATTTCAGTTTCCCCAGCACCTGGCTTAACTCTCAGACATGTTAGACGGTTTGTAAGCACCGGCTCTACTGAACTGGCATCAAATCATGACCTGGTTCAGAAGAGACACGAGGACTGGATCTGTTCTAAACAGATTGTGCAAAGGGGAAAGACACAGACTCAGCATTTCCACAGCTTTTAACATTTCAGCGAGAGGTGAGAAAGCATGTCAGGAACACAGGCCCGGCCGATGAAAGTGTCTGATGCTAACACATGAACTGTCTTCTGCTGGGCACACTAAGGGGCCACAAGCAAGCTACGCCCCAGAGCCACTCCACATTCTCTCTGGGTGCACTGGCCCTCGGCCACGCAAGGCCGCGCCAGCCTCCGAGGTGAGCCAGAAGGACACACACCTGTGGACTCGATGTCCCTGACTTGGGCTCGATGGCCAGCCCCAGGGTGACTCCGCCCGCCAGCGCTTTCTTCAGGCTCTCCTTGACCTCCGTCAGCTCCAGCTCCAGGCTGACACGCTCCGCCTCCTTCTGCCGGCACTCCTCCTCCAGCTGCTTCAGCTTCTCCTCCAGGATCGCCTGCGGCTTCCTGCCTGGAATTCCCAGAAACGCCGTTACTCCCGCGGCAGGCACAGGTTCTCCAAACAACAGAGAAGGCACCTGGTCCCCAAGAAGAACTTCCACAAAACGTCTGAGGTCGAGCTCCCCTGACTTAGGTCCTCGTTGTGAAACTTAAATTCAGCAGTTCTCTAAGGGATCAGAGTCCTTCTCCTACCATTTCCCTTTGCTGCAGCCGTTGAGGACTCGGACCAGGAAAGAGGAGATGCTGATTCTGACGAAGGCCAGGAGCTCCTGGCTCTGGGCCTCAATGTTCTCATTTTAAAACGTGGACCCTAAACTCCACAGTTCCCAAAGCTGCCACCTTCTTGGAGTGTGAACCCTGTCCTCCCCTAACGCTCCGCCGATCCTTCAGTCATCTTATTTGCGCCCGAGGCAATGAACAGTAGCTCAGCTTGCATCTCTACTGGACATGGCACACATTTCTTTAAGGCACATTCACTTATTTTATTTGAGGTTTGCTGCAGTGACCTAAGATGCACCCACTGGGCAGATGAGAACACCAATCCCAAGAGGTGAACGGACTTGTGCCCAGGGCCTGGGCCGGTGGTGGCCGGCAGGCGAGGTTCTCTTTTTCAAAGCCAAAAGCACTCCTGGCCCTCCTGCATCTTCACTATCCTGCAAGCTGGGAACACGGGAGAAATGCTACTTCTGTCTCATTAAACTCCATGCCCCGTCCCATTCTCTGGCACAGCCTCCTCCCGTAGGGTCAGCCTCAGACTGCAGGCCACATCCTGGGCCTCCTATAGGGTCAGCCCGACCTGCCCTGCCAACACCTGCCTTCCCTCCTCTAAACTCCAAAAGCATTTCCCTTCATCAGATCATTGAGGCACAAAGTCCAGCAAGGCTGGAGCTGCTAACCACCTGCTGGGTGTGCGTCAGCTCCTCCCCGCGCGGCGAGCCATGGGAAGGCCACAGCCTCTTCTCTGGACCACCCAGGGCTCTGAGGCATCTGAAGCCCCCGTCCCAGCCCAGGCCAGTACAATCTCAATCTAAGGAGCCAGTCTTCCGTAGTCTAAGCACCGGGCTGGAAGGGAGGCCATGCGTAGGTAAGCGGTGCCACCCCAGGCTCAGGAGCTGAGCGCCAGCTCCCGCCAGCAGGAATTGCACGCGCCTGGCCCAGGGCTGCCACTCTGGCTGCAAACTCAGTTTCTGTGACTTCAGTCCCTCTCTGGTGTCTGTATTCCATTAGCCTGGCCTCTTCCCTGATGCATCCCAAGACAGATGCTGCCTTGCTCTCGCCTGTCCCTTCTCAACAAACGAGGGGCTGCTTCTACCCTTGTCTGGACTTCTGAATATTACTGACCCCTGTGGGCTACCCTCTGTAGAGAAATCCAGCTGATCCCTCCTACCCGGTGACCAGAATCTACTGCGTCCTGCGGATACAGGGGCCATCCTCCAGACAATCTCTGTTGTCAGCGCCAGAAGCCGGAACAGGTCCCCCAGCACCTCCCCTGCCTCGGTGAGCAGCGTGTGGGTCTGGCCCTGGCCTCTGCCTGCACGCCGCATGTTTGACCACACAGGCACCTGCCTCGGGGTTACCAGCAATGTTTCCAAGCCCCAAGAAACACTGTGAGATAACCCACTCTTACTAAATAAAATGACAGCCTTGGTGAGCAATAGGTCCTTTGGGCAAAGCAGAATGAAATCTCCAGTCTCTAATACAAACATGCACCCTGGGCAGTCACCCACACCCTTCATACCGGCGTTCACTTCAATAGCCGCTCGAAGGTCTTTTCTTTCCTTGCGGAGCTGGGCCAGCCTATTCCGCAGGGCCTCTTTCCTCTTCAGCAGCTCCTCCTCTTTGGTCTGTAGCCGCTTGGCATCTGCTTCTACCCGGTTCTTGCCATACTTGTACTGGGCAGCATCTTGAGAAGAAAAAAAAGCAGCAATTAAAAATTAGGTTTACTAGCCTGGGAAATATGGGACGATCCCTTCTCCACAAAAAATACAAAATTAGCCAGGCATGGCGGCACATGCCTATAGTCCCAGCTACTCAGGAAGCTGAGGTGGGAGAATCGCTTGAGCTTGGGAGCTTGAGGCTGCAGTGAGCTGTGATCCTGCCACTGTGCTCCAGCCTGGATGACAGTGAGACCCCGTGTCAAAAAAAAATTAGGTTTATTCAAGCAGATAATGGGGTAACTCAAAAAGCCTGTTGAATCAGCCAACTCAGTAAACAAACACAAAGCATTATTTTGCTAATTCAACAAGAAAAGGACAGGGCTGGTATGAACCAAGCAGAAAAGTGACTAGTTCAAATTCTCCAATATTCTTTGAATCAAATTCTTAAAAACGAAAACAGAATATTAGGAAATTCCTTTAATTCACTTCCCTTTGAGGCACACGGCTTATAATTAATCTGCAACAAGGTGGAGAATGAACATTCTATAATCGGAAAAGACAGGAGTAATATCAAAAATAATGTCTGAAATTTGCTTCCTTCTCTACGTCTTCAAATCCTTCCCTAACACCGCAGTATCTGTTCCTTATGGCCATGTCATCTGACTGGCTCTGAATTGCTGCTACACCCCCAGCACTGAGATTAGCACCCGGCACGGAGTGTGGCACAATAAATGCTTGTTTAGTGAATAAATGAACAACGGATACATGAAGAGGCAACCAGGAGCGGTATCTGGAGCCTGACTGTCTAGGAAGGAGTCCCAGCTTACACTTGTAGCTGCATGACCTGGAACAGGGCACGAATCCCTCTGTGCCTCAGTTTCCCTCATCCGTGAAATGGGGATAGTAAGAGCAGGCAATTCACTGAGTGGTTACGAGGATTAAATATTTATAAAGCACTTAGAACAAACACAAATGGGCAACACATAAATGCTTATTTCATAAAATGAATAAATGAAGAGGAAACTAGCTGTAGGGAAAATTTACAGACTTGGCAACTTCACATCACCAGTGAAAACAGCTTTCAAAACCTGACCCCATGCTCTCTCCTATTATGTTGGCTTTTCAATAACAGTAATTTAGGACAACACCTCTTTGTTAAGACACATGGAAGAGATGAAGGTTCTAACAAAACTCGGATGGAGGATCACCGATTTCAAAGCTTCCGTGGTCTCCCAGTCGCTTCTAACAATCACTCACGCCTGAAGGCAACTCCCAGGCCTTCCTGACTGCACACCCCAAGTGTCTGACTCCCTCACAAGGCTAGAAACTACTTCAGGTAGAAGCCACAGGGGTGGCATAATGATTAAGAATAAAAACACTGGACTCAGAGAGGTGGCTAGAAACCCACACTCCACCCTCCCTTGCTCCATGACTCTGCAAGCAACCTCCGGAGAAGCTCAGCTTCACCCTCTCTAAAGCAGAAACGAGAAGGAATCCTGTGTGTGTGTATGTGTGTGTGCGTGCGTGTGCATGCGTGTTTTAAATTAGAACGTTATATCTGAAAAAAATCTAACAAAATGATACGACGCCTGATGTAGTGGACATTCACTGACAATTCTTACCATATCAGCGATAAGTGATTCCCAGAGCCTTGTCCACTCAGGGACAGCAGGGAGCCATTTCTAGCACCTGTCCTAAATGCTGGATTTGCCAATTCTTGCAACGTAAGTTATCATGATTTCAATGAAATACTGCATTTATGAAGGCATAAAAAGTGATCACTCCCCAGTCAATTTTCCCCTAATCAAAAGAACCACATAGAATGACAGCAAAAGCGTCGGCAGCCTGAGGAGAGGCGAAGCATTCGACAATCTGAAACAAAAGGATCGCTGTTTGCAGCTAAGGTTAACAACATATTTGGCAAACAGGGCCAAGTCCAAACTCTACTCGCTTATTTCTAAACTAAGCTGTTTCCCCAATGAACTCAATGCAATCACCTATAAATTTCCACATCTTTTGGTCCCCATGTAATAAATCCCATCTAATCTATAATGCAACCGGCTGGATTCAAGCAAAAACACGGAATGCCATTATTTTTCTCTTTTGTCACCATTAGACGTCACCACAGTTAATAAAAACTCCCTACAGAACATCCCATAAAATAAAGGAATAAATCATCTAGGAAATAAAGTCAGCACAGGTACTGACAGAGAAACACCATGGCGATTGAGACTCCGTGGGACTCCGATTTTGCTTGTAACAAAGCTTTCCAGGTGTGAGCTGCTCCTCTCCCCCATCTGCCCCTCCTCAAAGAAACAACACTAAAAGAGGTGAAAGTAAATACACCTGATACATTCAGGAAATAAGATTTGCCAGATAAGGTCAAAGGAAGTTAGTACATTAAACAAATGGTGGTAGGAGGGAGGATTTGGCCCAACTGGCTCCAACCTATCTGGTCAACACGTATGTTGGGTAGAACAGAGGTGGAGAAAAGCCTAGATCAGGGATGTATACGCTTCCTTGGGGCAGACGCAGCCTGGCCCTGCGGAGCGATTTCAAGCCTCGTTCACGAACATGGCCAAGGACACTGCCAGCCTCTTCATTCCCCTGTGTGGATGCTCCAACTCCAAAAGTGGAACCACAGGGCAAATGAATGTCGGCACGTGTCGGTATGGCAGCCTCGCTCTTCGACAGCTGGTGTGGGGGTTACCACCTGGGGCTAGCTGGCCTCATCTTCGTTAGCACTGAGACTGGTCTACCAGTTGCACAGATTCAGATTTGAAAATCTCAGGTGCAAATCCCAAGTGGCGATGGCATGTAACCACATCAAACTCAACATCTGCACCTAACTCCCACCTTCTTTCTCTGGGAAATCTTCCTGGACATGCCCAGATGGACTCAGGAGCCCATCACCTGTAAATCCCCACACTGCAGCCCTGCCACTTGCTTGTCTGCATGTGTGGGTCCGCTGGACCACTTTGGTGTATCTTTGAGCCCCTTGAGTGAAAAAATGCTGCCTGGCTGGCTCCCTGATTAGACATCCAACATAATGAGGACTAACACCAATACAAACACTTAAGAGATGACATATCGCCCTAGCTGGATCTACTACAGGGAAGGGAAGAGGGTGCTGGGTCCAGGCAGGCTGAGTGTCTCATGTCTTAATGCTTCTCTGCCCAATCTATTTCCGGCTGGATGTGGAGTCTGAAGGCCTGGCACCCACTCTGGCTCTGTGATTTACCAGCTGTGAGCCTTGGGGGAGCTGCTTACTCTCTTGGTGATTCTTTTCTCATTTCTATGATGGGGTAGAGGATAATGCCTATGCTTACAAAGTGGCTGTGGGAAGTAAACCGGATGGGATAAGAATGGCTTGCTGTGGACCACAGGCACCGCAGGATAACCATTCCTCAGAACTCCTCATACTGCTCTAGTGCTTGGAGGTCCGTGTATTACCTCAGCTATTCCAACCGCACCAACCACGGGAGCCACGTGTCTACGTCTGACAGATAAAGATGCTGAGTTTAGAGTCTGCAAGGCTTGACAACCACAGATCAGGGACAGGAGCTGAGGTCTCCTGACCTGGAGCCCAGGGCCACCCGGAGCTGCAAGAAACCTGCACTCACAACTGCCTCCTATTTTAAAATGCTGAGTCGATCCCACAGGTGGCAAACCAGTTCTGGGCTTCAATTTACAAGCAGTCAGAAAAGCTGGGTTGAAATCGCCACTGTCCTTCTATGTGGCTGATGAGGAAGGATGACGGTGCCCACCGCTCCATCTCTCCAGCTGACCCCAAGCTGGCACTCACGGGTGGGCAGGCTCAGACAGGCCCAGCTCCACCAAGTGCACTTGAAGCCGGAATGCAAGACATCCGATGGTATACTTACTCGAACCCGTCCTTTTCACAACAGCCGCGGGATCCGCTTTCTTTGGCTGACTGCTCAGAGTCTTCCCTTTTCCTGTGACCCCATTAGACGCCACGGGGGGCTTTTTACCCTTGAGCTGTTGAAATAAACATATAAGAACATTAAAAATAAACACAAAGTCAAACAAATCTTGGTCTTTTTTTTTTCTGGAGTCATTTCTTTCAGTCTCTAAGTATTGTAGAAACTGGCATAGATGGAGGAAAAATCGAAAGTGAAAGAAAACCAAGATGGTTTCCAAACACTGGGCTGCTGGGATTCTGGGGAATGGCTAAGGAGGGTACGGCAGAGGCTCTGTAGGATGTGTTCCGCTGGAACACTGCAGAAGTGGCCCCTTTCTACTGGCAGACCACAAATGCTAACCAAGCTGGCGCAGGCAGCTGACTACCCCAGAGCACTCAGATGAGAGGAGTAGTTTGTGTTTCTGAGGATAAGCAGCTTTTATTTCAGTGGGATGCCTTTTAGGAGAGGAGCACGACCCTGCAGTGTGAGTTCTGCTGCTCCAAGTGCTTTGACACTGAGTGACATCCTACTGGGATAAGTGACCGCCTTCTTATCGCCGACGGAGTCCGCAGAAGGAAGCAAGAGAAGCATAACACAGGCACAGCAGCAACACTATGGAAACTGAACTTCCACTAACTACAGGTTTCTGAAAAAGTGAAATAGTACTCTACTCCTGAGACTGATACAGGCCAACACGTTTTGCATTTTGCTGAAGTGACCTTATGTGCAGCTTAGCTGTGTAATTAATTCAGCATGACAGCAAAGGCTCACTCCAGCATCCACGCCCACGCTTTTTTCCACGATACAGCTTCCTTCTGTTGCAGGCCTCACTTTTTGGGAGGCAGAGAGATCTAGCTCCAAATTCTGGCTCTATCAATCATTTAGGAGAAGTTGAGCAAGTTATTTAAACTTTCTGAGCCGCCATTTGATCATTTAAAAACATAAAGAGATACCTCCCCACAGTGTTCCTAAAAAGATCAGATGACGTGCCATACATGGATAGAGCATATGGCACATAAGTGCTCAGAAAGTGCAAGGTCTCGCCATTAAAAACAGGTTCCCATTAAAATGACCAAATGAGGACAGGAAACCCAGAGGTCATGTAATTTAACTTGCAAAAATGTTTCCTATTTCAACAAAAACAAAACAAAAGGGGACAATAGTAACAAACACTCCACAGGGGAACCATACATCAAATGATTCCCAACCAATGTGGGGACAATCCAAGAGTGCAAGATGGCAAACTGTGTGGCAGGGTTTTACCTAAGGCAACTCTAATGCCAATAAAAAGACATGTAGAAACATAGAGGGAGAAACTTTCGCTTAGTGAGTGCAACACATAACCTGACAACTTTTTGGCATAAGTCCTCAAAAGAGGCCAACGGCTCCCCTACCCCCGGTCCCCAACTACACTTAGCTCAGGGCCACTCAGACTCACTGAATGGGAATCCCCAGGGATGGGATCTGAACAACCGTCATGAAAAATCAAAAAGCAACACCAACCTGTGCATTTGATTTTTGATGAAGCCGACCTATTGGGAGCTACTGTTCTAAGTCACTACTATCTATAATTCTACAATTTTATCTGGTTATTTTCTTAAGATTATCCAAAGAATGGAGAAAAAACAAATATTTAAAACATGCCCATTTGCTATATATTCATATTCTTACATATGGGCTTAGGTCTTTAGGCAAAGCATGAACAATTCTTAGGTTAAATATGCATGATAAGCTGGGCACGGTGGCATGTGCCTGTTGTCCCAGCTACTTGGGAGGCCAAGGAAGGAGGATCACTTGAGCCCACAGTTCAAGTCCTGCCTGGGCAACATAGTGAGACTTCATCTTTTTTTTTTTTTTTAAAAAGGCCTAACACCACAAAATTACTCTGAAATGTTACTGTTTGCCATAGATACAGGGTGTGCAATGGACAGTAGTTCAACATCACGGTTATTATTGTTCAATGGTCATCAAAAGTCCTTATTATCGTTATCTAGTTTTTGGGAGTATACCTTTAGACTTGTCATGGAGAAACACCACCGTACTCTGAATAATCTATTTCATGTTTAAAAAGTCCTTATTATCATCATCTAGTTTTTGGGAGTATACCTTTAGACTTGTCATGGAGAAACACTACCACACTCTGAATAATCTATTTCATGTTTAAAGATCAAAAGCAATGACTACACGGAGTCAACCCTTCCTCATTAAGTGTAATGGAAACATAGTAAAGAAACTTGCTGTTCAAGAATCTTCTGGAAAGTTTTATTACCCGTTTCTTTTTAACTTCTCTGCCTTTAGTTGACATAATTCACAAAATTTCACTGGGGAATTTTCCAAGAACAGAAAGAGAGCCAGATGTGGGCAAAGAAACACAGTGCTCAGATAAACCATGAGCTCGTTAGAAATATCTCATCAGTTCCTTGGTAGTCAGGCTGCAAATTATATTCTAGTTGAGAAAAAAAAAACACATTATGCTTTGCCTTTGATGAGTCCCATTTACTACAAGTTGCAAAACTCTGTTGGAGCAATGTGACTTGAAGGTGGTTCTAGAATCTTACAGAAGAAGATGCCGTACCTGCGAGTTGAGCCCGAGAGACGCCCTCCCCACAGAAGAGGTATTAGTGACAGACTGAGCGGAGGCAGGGTATTTGTAATGGTTAGAGGACAGCTTGTCAGCAGACAGCCTAGAGGCCTTTCTGTCAGCAGGAGAGTAGCGGGCAAAGATGTGCGGAGGCGGCAAGTTATCGTACAGGCCTGCGTTATCATAAAGCACCTCTTCTCCCAAGCCTCTGCTGCAGGAAGCAGGAAAGCCGTCTTCCGGTTCCCACTGCAACACACATAGCTTTGTGGTTAGTGACTTGGACACAGGAAACAGCAGCTTTTAGCACAGTGAGATGTCATTTATTAATAGTACGGCATTTAGCATACATTGGCACCCCAACACTCTCCTGCACACAGACTGCAGTTGTTATCAATAAGGCATGCACCCACCACCCCCCTCCCACACACATACACACACAGACCCAACACAAGCATGCAGGTGGATTCAAAAGGACTTGACTTCTGAAGCCTTATGGAAAAAATTTTTTTTTCCTTAAACCATTCCCAGAACTCTTGGATTATGAAGTTTTTGTTTTGTCCTTTCTTTTAAAGGAAAAAGCAATGTTGATTTGGCATTTCCTTCTTTAGAGAACCTGGGGTTCAGAAGTTCTCCTAGCGCAGGGCGTGGATGGAAGGGGAGGAATGAGCATGGGACCAGGGGCCTGGTGCTCTGGGTCTACATAAAGACACACGAGGTCCTAGCAGAGCACCCGATGCTTTACACAGCACTTCTCACGTCCTGGACGCTGACTTCGTCTCACAGTCATCCGGGGAAAAAGGGGGAAATGGAAGCAGAGACAGGGCCTGGAGCCGGTGAGTGGCAGAGCGGAGGGAAGGGCGCGCTCATCCCCACGCGGTGCTCCCGCTAAGCCTCGCGCTCCTTCTGGGGACATGAGACCACCTGCAGGCTCCTCCAAGCCCCTGTGCAGGAGTCAGTGACCCAAGTCCTATGGGAACTGTCAACACAAACCCCCTCTGTCCCCTGCTCTGTACTGAAGAAAGTGCCACAACCAACACAAGCAAAACCGTCTGTGAAAAGAGAAATCAAATCCTCATAGAAAATTAGATGCTTCCAAATCTAATGGATATAATGGTTTTATTTTAGCAGAAAATCTCTAACAAAGGACTAAAATAGCTACATGCCACTGCATGGGACAGAGGAATCTGAGAACATGGGTATTAAAGTATTAACTCAAAAACTGATAACCACAGCCAGGGCCTTTTCAGGGGTAAAGGTCTTTATAAATCGCCTGGCATGACAAGAAAGGCAGTATTAATTCCTCTCTTATATTCCTTTTACCCCGTTGATAGTCTTCCTGCATAGTCCTTTCTGCCAGACGGTAATTACAACCTTTTGTTATAAAAATAGAGAAGACTTAAAATTCTGCAGTAGGAGTGTCTGTATTCCTCCGCAATCACTTCAATGTGTCTATTTTTGTGATCTAAAAATAACGGCTCCTGCAGATAAACTCGGATATGAGAGTTTCATAATGACAACCTAGCATATATTTGTCCAGAGTTATTAAAACGGTCTAGACGAGACTATCATTTTCCTAAAATACCAAAGATTAAGTCACACGGAAGACTCAGAAAAACACCTACAGAGACCTCACAGAAGTTTCTAGTTTAAAGTATGTGAGTGTGCACACTTTCATCTTAGTCTAAGCATCAGGGGGAACGTTGGGTAAACATTACTAAAGCTGAAACAGTGCCACGATGCCAGATATTAGGTCATAAATATGAACTTTTTTTTTTTGAGATGGAGTCTTGCTCTGTTGCCCAGGCTGCAGTGCAGTGGCACAATCTCAGCTCACTGCAGCCTCCGCCTCCCAGGCTCAAGCAATTCTCCTGCCTCAGCCTCCTGAGTAGCTAGGATTACAGATACCCACCACCATGCCCGGCTAATTTTTGTATTTTTAGTAGAGACAGGGTTTCACCATGTTGGCCAGGCTGGTCTCGAACTCCTGGCCTTAAGTGATCTGCCCACCTCTGCCTTCCAAAGTGCTGGGATTACAGGCCTGAGCCATCGCGCCTGGCTATAAGTATGAACTTTTAAGAATCTAGAAATGAGGCCCTCCAAAAAGAGATGAGCTGGTAACAGAGCCGAACACACAGAAAATAGTTTCAGGAAGGGCCTGGGCAGAGGAAGGCCTAATAAGCAAGGAAGCCACAAACATGTAGCCCAGCAATACACACACACAAACAATTCCTACATGCAGAGCCCTTTAGGAATGGCAGACCTTTGTTTCTACAACAGATGAAGCTGTGAATAGCCTAAAGAACACTTGCTCCTGGGGGTGGCCTGTAGAGTGTCATAAAAGTCTGAATAAAACGGGCTGGGTGGAGCTGGATGATCACGTGTGTGGTTCCACAGGGTGAAGACAGCATCCGGTTCACAGTCACAGGTTCGTGTGTAAGGCGTGCATGTGGAGAAACGCCTTTGAGGAAAAGGCGTGTGAAAGGGTCTTTGGGGGGGACGGGCTAGACACAGGCTCAGAGAAGTGGATGGTTCTCAGGATGCAGATGAGTGTGGTAACTGGAGTCTAAATCCAGTGGTAAGACTGTGCTGTCAAGAGACACTGGGGTGACACAGGGCAAATGGAGGCAGAAGAGCAGGTCCCACCTGAAGAAGGGCTCAGGGGCTGGAATCTAGGGCAGGAACTAGCCTGAGAGCCTGCCACAGGCTGGTATGGTGCCATCTTAAGCAGGAAGAACTCGCACAAGCCCCTACCCAGGGGTGGAGTGCTGTGGTGACTGTGGGCACCCAGAGACACCCCAGGGAGGATTGGCTGAGGGGGAAAGGAGGAGATTCACTGGACCTGATACCCCTCCGCCTAAGATGGGGGGCTCTACTGGATGGACTCTGAAGCTAGGATGGGATCCTAAAGTGGCTCTGTTTGCCCCGTGCCACCCTGTCCTAACATGGGACCTACAAGCGGGCCCTGCCCTGCCCAGGGCCCAGGAAGCTCTCCCCGCTCCTATGTCTGTTTCCCTCCCAGGTCCACTCACCCCCATGAGACTCAAAGGCCCTTTCAGGACAAAGACAATCGCTTCACCATTTCTTCTTCAACTCCTGGCACAGAGTCTGGCCACTGGGAGACACCCAGCCAATAAGGCAAGGGAGAGAGGACTGAGGAGGGAAGGGGGCAGATCAAGTGATGAGAAGATCCCTCTTTAGAATCAGGTGGGGGCCTCGCACAGAAAGGGCGGCCTCCCCCACAGGAACCCCAGGGCAGGTCCAGAGCAGCAGGAAGGAGGAGGCGGCCAATGGGAAGGCAACCGAGCCCCAGGGACACACTGCGTCCATCGTGGCTCCTGAGGGATGGGCCACCCACTTCCGACCCCGGCCACTAGAACCTGCTTTCAGTTTGTTTATGCTCCTGAGCACTGGGGGTCCTCAGCCCCTCTCTTCCCTCAAGGAGGCTGTTGTCTCTTGGTTCCTGCTGTGGGGCAGCTATGAATTTACGATGCCAGGGCTGATTGAGGACATTCATCAGGATATCGGGGAAAAGAATGGAGAATCAAAACAGTAAGAAAAAAGTCTGAAATACCTTCCAAGTCTATTTCATAGCCTTGGAAAACATAACAATAAATTTACTTTATGTCTACCTTTGAAAATTATCTTAACATAGATGCCAATTTCAAACCCTCCCAGTACTGGGAGACAAATGGCATACTGGTTTCTCACAAGCCTCCTTCATTCATCTGCTAACTGTGAAGGCCTCATCTCTGAACGCCCAGGGCCGGGCACCGTGCCTGGATCAGGCAGGATGCTCAATACGCGGTTGTGAGATGAGTAACAGGCAGACACCGTAGAACCAGCACTTGATGAGGCCTGCTGATTACACGTACGACACAGACACAACACACTGAGAACAGACTTCAGGACTCCTAAGGCCAGACAGACCCCCGAGGCCAGCGTAACAGGGAAAGCTGTTACTAAACACCTCCTGCATGGATAGATGGATAGATGGATATACAGATAGCGCTGTGCCAGGAGCCAGGAGCCTGGCTCCTCCAAATCCACCCCAAGGTAAGCTGTCGAATTTGTAATGTGGTCATTCCTCTATGTCATCATTTCCTTCCTGAGGGGATTTCACAGCATTTTAATCCCATCGGGAAATAACTACTCATTGATAACCTATACTGTGCTATGTTTTGATTTAACAAGTTATCCAAGTATTACTCTAACATGTTCTCCTTTAGTCAATATTTTAGTGGGCTGACACATTTAATTAGTGACAGCGACATTAGGCCAGGCACAGTGGCTCACATCTGTAATCCCAACACTTTGAAAGTCTGAGGTGGGAGGATCACTTGAGCCCAGGAGTTCAAGACTGGCCTTGCCAATATAGGGAGATCCCATCTCTACTAAAAATAAAACAAATGAGTGGGATGTGGTGGTGTGCACCTACGGTCCCAGCTACTTGGGAGGCTGAGGTGGGAGGATCGACTGAGCTGGGGAGGTTGAGCTATAGTGAGTTGTGACTGCACCACTGCACTCCAGCCTGGGCAACAGATTGGGACCCTACCTCAACACCAACAGAAAAATGACAGTGACATTAAATGACAAACTGTCTACTAGCCTCAAACTATCCACTTGTTCAAATGCAGATTCAGATAAACAGCATGTCAGAAACCAGGAGAACAGAGATGAGATGGAGTCTCCTTGCCTCAGAGCATTAAAAAGCTGACCTTATTCAGACCTGAAACCAGGGGAACTGAAGCACAGAATTTTCACAGCCTCGGCCTCTAACAAAACCAACCATTACTCCAAAAAAAGGGCACTCACCGAGCCGTTGATGCACGGGACATCGTCATAATGAAGTGCCGTCCCGCTGGGGTGGGCATAGCCGTTGGAGGTGCCCCCTAGATATGGGTTAGCAGATATAACACGCCTGTTCATGAAACTGAAAGAAAGGAAATGCGTTAAAATCCATAACCTGACCACCTTTTACTCCAATCAGTCAAGTCTTTAATGAGTTCTGACTTTATGCCCAAGGCTATGTCAGAGGTCACAGGGGCAGAGAAGAAATACTAGACAGAATCTCGGCAGAAATGAGATGATGCGCTGGAGGGACTGTCCTATAAAATTAGGATGGCACATAATCTGCAGAACTGCGGCACAGATCGCCAGTAACCAACACCAGGTACACGCAGCAAAGCCTGCAAATAACAGGTGTTCAGAAATACCAAGCGTTTTGATTATCATCCGTCTCTCACTGTGGCCCCAACGCTAGGTACACGCAGCAAAGTCTGCAAATAACAGGTGTTCAGAAATACCAAGCGTTTTGATTATCATCCGTCTTTCACAGTGGCCAACTCCTCTCACAGCTTGTGTTCATAATAAAGTTTTATTGGAACACATGCCTCTTTCACAAGTGTGTTACTTCCAGAAGGACAACATGGCCTGCAAAGCTGAAAGTTACTGTCTGGTCTCTTTTGGAAAAAGTTCGTGGACCCCTGTTCTATAAGCTTTCTGGAACACTCATTCAACAAATATTTATGGAGTTCTTAGTAGTCAATCAGCACCACTGCCACCCCACATCTCTTCACCTCTTCCCTGAAATTTCCTCAACTTCTGAGAGCCGCTGACAGCGGCCCGAGAAATCCTTTAGAAGGTGTGCTACTGTGGCGTAATAAATATGTATTTTGGTCTTTGTCCCAAGTTCCTGGTCAGGGCTCCTAAAACTCTTGGAATTTCATACATGAAGAGTAGGATGAGAGCTGGTTGCCAGGGAAACCAACCCTGTGATTACGGCTGGAACTTTCCATAAAAACCCAAGAGGATGGGGTTCCCGGAGCTTCTGGACTGTGTGTATGCGGCGGTGCCGGGAGCGTGGTGCGCCCAGCGAGGGCACGGGAGCGCTGTGCCCCACATGCTTTGCCCGGCGCACCTCTTCCCTCACTGCTTCTGAACTGTGTCCTTTCATAGTAAACTGGTAATCCAGTAAGCAAGCTCTTCCTGAGTTCTGTGAGCGTTCTAGCAATGACTGAACTGGAGGGGAGGGGTCGTGGGAACCTCCAACTCACAACCTATTGGTTAGACGCACAGGTGATATCCTGGACCTGTGACTGGCATCTGAAGTGGAGTCAGCTTTGTGGACTGGGCCCTTAACCTGGGGAGCCTGACGCTGCCTCCCGGAAGACCACTGAGGGTTGAGTTCATGTATTAGGACACCCAGCTGGTGCCCACAGAAACCTAGAGAATTGCTGGGCATGGGAAAGACCTGCCCGTTTAGTGGCCAGAGGTGAGGCCCAACAGTGTGGAGCCTGTGGTGAGGGAACGGCTCACTCCCCTTCAAGGAGGGCAGGCCGGGCCACGCCAGCCTCCGCCCAACACCCCCAGGGGCTTCTGAAGTCGCAAGGTGCTGCCCAGGGCCTCGGGGCTCCGAGGGACTGGGTTTCTGCTCCGTCCCTGCGCTGTGGCTTCCTGCGCTCGGTCAGTCTCCTGGGTGCCCCGGCACTCCCCTGGCTCTCGCGGCTCCCCCAGCCACTCTGCCTGCCGAACTCCTCTCCTGACACCCCTCGCACCCAGGTCTCCGCGTGGGTGCTGCCCCCCAGGAGGCGGCCCGTCCCGCAGCCCCACAGCGGCCCCTCCCTCCCCTCCGGGCCCAGGGCAACCGCCCTGCATCTGCGTCCTGCCTGCTCTCCCCACTGGAGGGTCGGCCTCAGGAGCGCAGGGACCATGCGGGCACACACAGGGGTCCTCACGCAGGGGCAGGTGCCTAGAGCCTCGGCCGGGTTCCGAAGCCACGGGTCAGGACTAATAATGTAAATCCCAGGGAAGGGACCACCCTGACAGCATTTCCTGCTAGTGTGGGTATTTCATAGGATCCTGCGCTTCTGTGATCACCAGATGAAGAAAACACAGCGTAAGTGAAAACCGGGGAGAGAAACACAGGGGCAAGTGAAGCCCGCCTCTTTGGTAAGAAGTCTGGCAGCGTAGCCTCGGGAGGTACCGGGCTTGGGGCTCCGGGCTGGGCTTCAGCAGTGCGGGCCGCGGAAATGGCTCCTCACAGAGCGCGTGTGCGCCCCATGCTGGGGAGGGACGCCATGCACGGCTTGCTGCCTGGACACATTCTTCAATTATAATTTATAAACTTTTTCCTTTGCTTATAAAAAATTAATATATGCTAAACTTAAAGTACATAAAAGTATACGTAGGAAAATAAAATGAAGAAGAAAACATACAAGAAGGAAAGGCACAGCAAAACTTGAACATTTAAGAGTTCCACAGTAAAAGATTTTGATTTTTAAAAAATACATATTTAAGGTTTTCTAATTAAATGCCTCATTGGAAGGCTTTTAGGGAGACAGCGCTATGTATACTTTCTGTCAGCGAGAGGCAGTAAATGGAGGAATGAATAAAGCCTGGCCACAGGGACCATCCCCTCCCCTGTGCCCTGGGCCGTACTGCCTTGGGTCTTTCTCCTTCCAGCGGCAGGCACGTCTCTCACGGGCTTGCATCTTCAGTTTCCAGCATATGCCCTGCACTCACCCTGCTGCAGCAGGGACAAAGGATGGGGTCAGAACAGAGGCCCTGGGGGGCTCCACTCCTGCTTCTGTGCTGGGAAGAGCCACTGCAGGATGCCTCTGACAGGCTCATCTGGCAGGACCTGGGAGCACAGGGATTAGGGGTCACAGGCACACAGAATGTCCTAAGTGGAGGAGGCCTCAGCCAGCAGCTAGTCACCCTTCACCCTACAGAGAGGGACCTGGCCCAGTGAGGACAACTCTGCCCAGTCCCCAAGAGGGCAGGGCCTGAGGTCGCAACTAAACACGAGGCCTCGGTCTTGTGCTTGGTGTCTTTCCACAATAGGATTTGCAGCCAAAGACAGAAGTGGAAATGAAGTAAGAGGCCACATGCCACTTGTTACACCAAAACCAGGAGAGAGTCAAGTGGAGCTATTTCACAATAACCTCCCGGGACTCCGAGGAAAGGGTGGCCAAGAGAACTGCCTCCCATCTGTGAATCTCTCCATGCTCCGCACCAGCCCCGGCTTTCCATCCTCTTCATCCTCACCACCCCATCCGTGCATCTCCCCACGCTCCGCACCAGCCCCTGCTTTCCATCCTCTTCATCCTCACCACCCCATCCGTGCATCTCCCCATGCTCCGCACAAGCCCCTGCTTTCCATCCTTTTCATCATCACCATCCCATCCGTGCATCTCCCCACGCTCCGCACCAGCCGCTGCTTTCCATCCTCTTCATCCTCACCATCCCATCCGTGCATCTCCCCACACTCTGCACCAGCCCGCTTTCCATCCTCTTTATCCTCACCACCCCATCCATGCATCTCCCCACGCTCTGCACCAGCCCCTGCTTTCCATCCTCTTCATCCTCACCACCCCATCCGTGCATCTCCCCATGCTCCGCACCAGCCCCTGCTTTCCGTTCTCTTCATCCTCCCAACTGCTTCCTGAGGGGCTCCCAGCTGAGTGTGACTTGAAGAGAGTTTCAGGAAAACTCTGGAGTATTTTCCTGTGTTGTATAATTTATGTATCTCATTGTAAATAGGTTTTCAGGAAAATATGTTTCGATTGTTTACCATTATTAAAGTTCCTAAGTATCCCACTTTTCCTGGGAGAATCTCCATTATTATCTTACACTTTCCTCTTTTCAAAATATATTACTGCCGTCTCTTCCTCAGTCATGTACAATGCACAAAGAATTCTCCTAAGAACCTTGAAAAGATTCATTAACTGGCTGCCAGTTTATATAAAAGCAAAACATTTAATCTTAGAATATTCATCACACTGGCAAGCAACCATATTTTGAACACTGTTTCCTTGTCACATCTCATCTCTCTTAAGTGTTACAGGAGTGTTTGGCTAGAAAACTTGAAAATAAGCTTTATTGCTAACTGACAGCTCCTATAAAGACTTTAACGAGGTAGAAAAGATTCCTGCAGCCATAAATTCATTACATGCATATTTTTAATAAATATTTTTAGTGTTATAATCTACATTCCTTTCTCAAAAATGTGACCTTGCCACATTTGATTTAGATTAATACTCTAGTCATTTATAAAGTAAAAGCCAAGCTGTATTCTAGGGCAACGATTTTAATTCAGGGTTTCTCTTAAATGTGGTTATCGGCGTGCTGATTATACTTGCAATTACATGTGGACGTAGGATAGGTTTTTATGGAAATTTAGTATCTTCCAAATAAATATAGTGAACAACCATAACCACTTTTATGTCTGCTAGTTGGGCAGATTTTGCAAAAATAGACTTACGGATCTTATATCTCTTTAAAAACACTTTAAATGTGCTTTCTTTACTGCATAGTACTTAAAGAATTGGAGAATCATTATAATTTACCTATATTTTGCTGATTAGAAAGAATATAATTAAACAATAATTAGTATAAACAGAACGGTAAGTACTAGACTACATCTATCCTGATTTCCACACAAAAGGACAGTGGTGAGAACAGTGTGCACTGTAGAAAACCTCCAGTATTACTGGGGATTTTATGGACAATCTGTGCAAGACTAGTTCCACTTGTCAAGGCTATTGACCTTAGCTGGGTGTATGTAACATGTGGCTTGAGTCCTAAAATGGGCCAAGTTATCTTCACTTTGAGAACTATTTCTTAGCCCCAGAATGTCCTAGCTAAGCATTAAATGAGTATCCATTCACCATTCAAGACACAAAGGAAGACTGCTCCAATTCCCCATAAATAGCACTTGTGTGGAAAAACTAGATGGTGGAGTTCATATTAAACGGGCACAACACAACAGCACAGGCATCTGAGCCCATCTTCTTCACACTTGAAAGGTCGTGTAATCTCAGCACTGGCAGGTCTGCCAGCAGCTGTCTGTATGTTTCTCCTCACTTGCTGATGATGGAATTCATGACCAGCTTTGTTTTCATTCACTTCCCTCACCCCAGTCCCAACTCTCTAAGGATGAGAGAAACATATGCAGCAGTCAAGGGGTGAAAGATGCTGGAGCTGCAAGTTTCAGAGATTATCTCACCCACCATCTCTATTTTCTACAGAAGGCAGCAGAGGTACTAACAGGTAATGAATGACTTGTCCAAATTGTTCTAATTAGTAAATACCACAGCAGGACCCAAGCCAAGATGCCCTACCTAATACCTGCTGGATTTGAAATTAAAACCTGAGAAATGCATTCATTGTTATTCACTTAAAAGTAGCATCGCGGGTCATGCCTGGAATCCTAGCACTTTGGGAGGCCAAGACAGGAAGATCACTTGAACCCAGGAGTCCAGGAGTTTGAGACCAGCCTGGGCAACATAATAAGACCCCGTCTCTACCAAAAAAAAAAAAAATTAGCCAGGCATGGTGGCACATGCCTGTAGTCCCATTTGCTTAGGAGGCTGAGATGGGAGGATCCCTTGAGCCCAGGAGGTTGAGGCTGCAATGAGTCATAATTGTGCCACTGCACTCCAGCCTGGGCAACCCTTAATCAAAAAAAAACAAAAACAAAAAACAACAACAACAAAACCCTAATAACAAACCAAAACGTGGCAGAGTGTTCACGTCTGTAAACCCAGTTAATGTCCAGCAACGCCAATAACGAACCAGAAAGTGGCAGAGTGTTCACATGTTTGTAAACCCAGTTAATGTCCAGCTTAATAGAAGGTGGCTGGATTCTCACACCTGCTTCTGCCCTCTGTCACAAAATGCTCTTTTGGTTGAAGTATGTGAAGAAAATCCAGCCTCAAACACATGTAAGCCGGACAAGTGGGGCACATTTTAATTGCTTTTTCTGAGCTGTAGTGACACTTCTTCGGGACTACACCAAAACGCAGCAAGTGGTGGTCTCTTACCGCCAACTGCCATGGAGTCGGAAAGCAGATCAATCGACTCACATTAAAATCCAGTCGTTTATCTTGCACTAGGAATAGATCTTTCCCCAAGCATGACTTCTGCCGATCTTTCAAATGTTGACCCCTTCATTATACAACATCAAAAAAAACTGCTCACTGACATGACTACAGATCTCAGCAGGAGTCTATGGGTGCTGAGTAGCCGGCAAGCTCACCACGGCAGATGCAAATTTTCCAGAATTCTAATTTCTAAGGAAAGCTTAAATGTATCATAAGCAACAAATACTGCCAACTGTTTGCCTAGAGATGATGGGTGTAGCTAGCTCATTTTCAAGAAAACATCTGCAAATGCCTATGTGCAAATAACTAGTTTGTCTGTTGCTTTTTAAAGTAAAAATAAAAAAAAATCAAGGCAGCTAGTTCTATGAGCACCTCACTTGTCTGAGCTGTTCCTCAACAGGACCACTGTCATTGGACACACCTGCATGCTCTCTGTGGCCTCTCATCACGCTACGCAGAACAGGAAAAACCCACGGGCTTCAGAGCCTTCATGCAAATGTCTACTATCTGATCCTTTATAGAAAAAGTCATCATTTTTACTGCTTCCTCAAGGACATCTTAAGTGAAACCAGCATTTTCTTTTACTATCGCAAATGGTAAAATTCTTTGACTATTTACATTGGCAGTGACAATGATTATTCATACGGCGAAGGGCGACTATTGGTGCGAAGCTGCCAGCCAGTGATCACTAATGCAAATGTCCCAACAGTGGAAAAAGGAAACAATGTCTTAGTATATTATGAAAATAATTTAACCCCGCAGACTGCCAGAAAGGGTCTGGAAAATCTCCAGGGGTTCTGTGGACCATACCAAGAACTGCTGCTACAAATATTCTGCCATCATTATGTTAAAGAAATATTCACTGTTCAAAAGGACGTTTTTATAGATGACTGCAGCATTTTTTTTTTTAAAAAAATCACAATTTAAATTTACAAAGTACTTGACGGATAGCTTTGAAAACTCAGTCCTCATTACAGCAATATGTAGAATCATTTCTGCTTCGTAGAACTGTTCCCCTAATACAGGGGTCAGCAAACTATTGGCCAAATCCAGGCCACGGCCTGTTTTTGCAAATAAAGTTTTATTAGAACACAGACACACCCATTCGTTTATGTACGGTGTCCAGCTGCAGCGGGAGCTGAGTGGTTATTAACAGGAAACGTGTGGCCCACAAAACCAAAAATATTTACTATCTAAGTCCTTCATGCAAGTTTGCCACACGCTGCTCGAATAGAAAACCCAGTGGGCTGACACGACAAAAACATTTCTGCAAAATTTGGCTTAAGATAATGCAAAAGGGAAAGTCTTTAGTTTTTCTTCTGGGTCTATATCCTCACACAAAAACTAAGTTAAGCTAAGTTAGGGAAAAGACAGTTACTGAACTGTGGTGCCATTTCACATGGCAGTGGGTCTTACCAGAAGGTCTGTTTGGCTGTCTGAATGACACTTGCAGACATCTCCACATCAATGTAGTCATAGTGCAGAGCCTCCGGGTCTGTGGACGATCCCGTCTCTGCGAGTAAAATCCCAATCCACCTGCCCATGTCTTCAGAAGAAGATGCCTGTTGAAGTGGGAAAAAAGGTAGGCTGTATTTAACTAAAGATTTTTACATTTTCATAAATGTGTCAATAAAGAGACCACATAATAGGAAAGGCGATGAAACATGATGTCCCTAAGAAGAAACGAAAAGGAAGATGGCTGAGCGATGGGATTAACGTCACGTTCGCAGCAGGCCTTAATTTAGGAAGTGTCATCCCGATTACACCAAAGGTGAATGAAACTCTGAGGTCCTAAACTGCCTTCCCATTACTGTGGGGAAAGGCACTAGGGTGTAAGACAGGAAAATTAACAGGATTAATTGCATCCCGGCTGAAGGAAGTTGCTGGGGTGCCTTTGGCAACACCACCTGACCATGAGAAGGGGCACGTCCCAGCTGCTGCTGCCTGACTTGGGAAGCGTGACCAAGCTCCAGGCCCTTTACTGGTCGCAAACTTTTTTATACCAGGAGCCCTGGGTGAGCCCCCCTACATGGGCCTGAAATGGTCATTTAGTTTCTTGATTAGATGATATAAAAAAGTAATTTCCTTTGATATCAATTGTGTTTCCACAGGGGAAATGACACTCTGTAATCACTGGGCTGCTTTAGGCACACCATTTTTTAAGATGTTTGCTATCTCCTCCATTTGGTCTGCTTAATTTGCAAGTCTGAAATATGTCTTTAAGATTATGTTCGTTCAATTTTTAAGCCATCCTTTTATTTATTTATTTTTTTTTGAGACAGGGTCTCGCTCTGTTACCCAGGCTGGAGTGCAGTGGTGTGATCATAGCTCACTGCAGCCTCCAACTCCTAGGCTCAAGCAATCCTCCTGCCTCAGCCTCCCAAGCAGCTGGGACTACAGGTGCTCACCACCAAGTCCAGCTAATTTTTTTATTTTTTATTTGTAGAGACAGGGTCTCACCATCTTGCCCAGGCTGGTCTTGAACTCCCAGGCTCAAGCGATTCTCCTACCTCACCCTCCCAAAGTGCTAGGATTACAGTTGTGAGCCACCATGCCCAGCTTTAAGCCATTGTTTTAAAGTGATTTAGAAAATCAGTTACATTTTTAGTGGTATTTGAAATCTTTAAAAATTTTGATTAATCAAATATGCAAATAATGGTTAAAGTTTAGGAGAAATTAAGCTATCAAATCTATGAGTTAACTGAATGTTGAAGAAAAAAATTTATTGCTTATAAAAATTACTAATTTAAATAAAGATCTCTAAGTTGAGCTTAAAGAAAATTGGGTTTTATAATTATAACCTTGACAAGTTTAACACTGATCATAATATAAGTAATTGTAAATATTCCATGCAATGTATAAAGGCCTCTCTAAAGGAAGGGATGTTAACAAACAAGCAGCTACTTTTTATGTTGAGAAATTGGCTAGTGATATTTTCCATATAACAAATCATTACTAACCATATACACAATGAGGCCATGAGGACAAAGGGAAGGAGTGCCCATTAAGTACCTTACAGAGAGTAAAAGAGAATCAGTGTTTGCCAAATTAAAATGAACTGATTTGAATACCTGGATTAAAACAAAAAAAACCACAAATGTGTTCTCTTCACAGGTCTTATGTCCTTCCTAAAACAAAATCTTTTTTTTTTTTTTTTTTTTTTTTTTTTTTTTTTTTTTGAGACAGAGTCTTGCTCTGTCACTCAGACTGGAGTGCAGTGGTGTGATCTCGGCTCACTGCAAGCTCTGCCTCCCGGATCACGCCAGTCTCCTGCCTCAGCCTCCCGAGTAGCTGGGACTACAGGTGCCCACCACCACGCCCGGATAATTTTTTGTATTTTTAGTAGAGATGGGGTTTTCACTGTGTTAGCCAGGATGGTCTCGATCTCCTGACCTTGTGATCTGCCCACCTCGGCCTCCCAAAGTGCTGGGATTACAGCACCCGGCAAACAAAATCTATATTGAGAATGTATCCATGATTAATCTATACCTATGTCACTATAACCATTTCATCAAAGCATTTTAAAAATGTTTTAATACAATTAATATCTAAGATGTAATTGATATTATTACTTTAGAGTTTACCAATTGTTTTCTTCACAGTTCATTGTATGAAATGTCCTCAGAGGCTTTTAAAAAATAATACTGTGGTGTTGGAGGTATTAGTTCTCACAGCTTTTAATACATAGATAGGTATAGACATAGAGACGTGTGTGGGTGCATATATGTATGTATGCATGTACGTGTATATATACACTTGTAAGTATCTGTCATATGTATAACATATAAACGTGTGAATGTGTGTGTATGTATCCACATCCACACATCTGTTTCTAGCGTTTGTCTACTGAAAAGACCCAGGAGCTCTGGCCCGCCGGCAGAAGTGAGCACATCTGGCCCCCAGATCCTGGCTTCTCAACTCTCCGCCATTCTCCACTAAAAGGAATCACATGCTTTTGGGGAACGGCTGACTCCAGGTCTGGAGCAGGGAAAAGTACAGGATGAGCCTGGGGCATCTCCTTGTGCCACAAAGTAAGGAAAGTGCTCCAAGCATGATGGACTATATAATCTCTTTATTACAGGGACATGGCAAAGGACAAACAGCCAGCTCCGAGGGCCTCCTGCTGACCAAATCTGTGATAGTTTGACCAAAATAAGTCACGACAGTAAAGGATATAATCACTGATTAAAAATCTATAGGCTGGGCCAGGCGCAGTGGCTCACGCCTGTAATCCCAGCACTTTGGGAGGCCGAGGCGGGCGGATCATGAGGTCAGGAGATCGAGACCATCCTGGCTAACACGGTGAAACCCTGTCTCTACTAAAAAATAAAAAAAAATTAGCCAGGCATGGTGGCGGGCACCTGTAATCCCAGCTACTCAGGAGGCTGAAGCAGGAGAATGGCGTGAACCCGGGAGACGGAGCTTGCAGTGAGCTGAGATCACACCACTGCACTCCAGCCTGGGCAACAGAGTGAGACTTGTCTCAAAAAAAAAAAAACAAAAAAAAACTATGGGTTGGGCACGGTGGCTCATGCCTGTAATCTCAGCACTTTGGGAGACCAAGGCGGGCAGTTCACTTGAAGTCAGGAGTTTGAGACCAGCCTGGCTAACATGGTGAAACCCCGTCTCTACTAAAAAGTAAAAAAAATTAGCCAGGTGTGGTGGCACACCTGTAATCCCAGCTGCTCGGGAGGCTGAGGCAGGAGAATCGCTTGAACCTGGGACGTGGAGGTTACAGTAAGCCGAGATTGCGCCACTGCACTCCAGCCTGGATGACAGAGTGAGACCTTGTCTCAAAAATAATAATTAATAATAATAATCTATGAATTCCCACTGATATACATACATATATAAACAAACGAATAATTAAATGGGAATAAAGGAAAATGGTCTCGCAGTCGATGCTAGCTAATAAATGTAGAAGGAATAACGGAATTAGAACGTCACCATTTAGAAACTGTCATTATGATTGTTACAGGCAAAGAGTCATTAATGGATGCTGGAACCAGTGGGTGAAATTGTGAGTAATAATAGGATAGTTACATAGTTTCAAAGCATCTTCCCACATGAGACTTAGAGGGGAAAAATGCAGTCAATTTACAGTGGGGAAACCTTACCCAAGGGATCAAAATTAACATCATGAGCAGTGAGACACACAGACGCTGTGGGCCTCCTGATGTAACGCAGCATGAAACATGCCGCCACCTCCATGGGCTCCCGCTATAATTCTCTGCTGGATCCCAAGGAGAGGTAACAGCAGACGCGCCCAAACCTGGGAGCCTTCTACAGAAAAGCAGTCTCCTTCCTAAGTGTCAATGATGTTGTCGAGGCAGAGGGAGCAGGCTAAAGAGACGCGGCAGCGGACTACAACACACAGGCTGGGGTTTCCTTGAGCTCCTGAAGGACATGATAGGAATAACTAGAAAAACCTGACGAAGATCTAGGACTCAGACCAGCATGCTGTATGCATGGTAGTTTCCTGACTGTGATCATATTACACTGTGGTTCTGGTAAGGTGTTTTCAGCAAATATACATCAAAGTATTTAGGGATAAAAGCACAACATACCTGCAAAAGGTTCTGAAAAAAATCCTACACAAAGACATACAGACGTAGAGAGAAAGGGGCACGGGGGAGAGTACACACGCAGGGCTGTGCAAGAGACAGCAAGCATGCGGAATGTTGGTCTTTGGTGGATATGGGTGAAGGGCGCACAGGCATCCTTCGTGCTATCCTTGCAACTTTTCGGTAACTCTGAAATTATCTCAAAACAAAAGTTAAAATAAAAGGATCTTGGAAAAAGTATAGATTGCAACTCTATTGGCTGGCTCACGGCATTGCAACTCTATTGGCTGGCTCACAGCACTGCAACTCTATTGGCTGGCTCACGGCACTGCAACTCTACTGGCTGGCTCACGGCACTGCAACTCTATTGGCTGGCTCACGGCACTGCAACTCTATTGGCTGGCTCACGGCACTGCAACTCTATTGGCTGGCTCACGGCACTGCAACTCTACTGGCTGGCTCACGGCATTGCAACCCTATTGGCTGGCTCACGGCATTGCAACTCTATTGGCTGGCTCACAGCACTGCAACTCTATTGGCTGGCTCACGGCACTGCAACCCTATTGGCTGGCTCACAGCACTGCAACTCTATTGGCTGGCTCACAGCATTGCAACCCTATTGGCTGGCTCACGGCATTGCAACTCTATTGGCTGGCTCACGGCATTTCACCACTGATGAGGTCAGGCTTCTTGCTTACATTGGAAGGCTGTAGATGTTTATGTGTCACTTGTAAGTGAAGTCACTTTTCAGCTGTAAAAATAGTTGTACACGAAGTGATACTGGGTAAATTTCCAATTCTTGCTGTCGTGTCATTCAGGAAACTGCGTCTACTCACTTCAGCTCTCTCAAGGAATAAGCACCTTCCTCAGTGGTCCAAGCGTTTGTGAAGGTATGAAATGCTACCACTTTCTCTCCAGGACTCGGGGCACACAGCTACTGTGCCCCCAGCAATGGCAGGGCAGGTGACTTCTTCACCAAACAGCTCCTGACTTCCACCCACCCCCACCGCACCCCGAGCTTCTCTGTCTGGGCACTTGCCCAGCATCTCCCTCTTCATTCCTGTATCTTACCCGTGCCAATTCATGCCTCCTTCTCCTTGCAACCCTTCTCAGATCTGCTGTCAGAGCTCTCATGGGAGACCCGCATTGTTACATCAAGAGTACAGTTTCTTTATTTAAGTTTTCAGCTTTTTTCCACCGCCATCCACCCTCCAGTTTTCAGCCTACATAAATGTTTACAAGGTACACTGACTCTAGCTCAGCATTCGTGTTTTACGGTGGGTAAAGAAGCTGAGAGAGAACAAAAGCTTTGGCCGTGGTCAGGGTCTGCACAGAGCTGAGACTGGAACCCAGCTGTCCCAAGCCCATCTGAGCCCAGCCCTCTCTGTTAGATCACACTGCTGCAAAACCAGCCACGGGGGCAGCAATGCGTGCTTCTGACCTTCCCTTACGTCCTGAGCCCTGCAGGAAAAAGACAGTGTTCATCTATTTTTCATCCCCACCAAAAAAAAAAGCAGCCTCTATGAAAACAGTCCCTGCAATGAACTCCTATGTATGAAATTCAAGATCTTCAGAAAGACTGCCTGACTGGGCAGCCGTGGCTTAGGTCGCAGCCCCAGGCACTCTCTCCTCTGCCGATGAGTGTCACTGTGCACGCATGTAGAGCCGGCTCCCACACCAGGTGAGTTTCTGCCACACACCGGCCACCCAGCACGCCTCACATGAACTGGTTTCTATCGATTCTACAGCACAAGGTGCGTGACATGGATGCGACCATCTGGCGTGTGAATGCACAGATCTGTCTGTGTGTGTATGTTTGCATCTTGGTCATAATAACACTAAGTGGGGGAAAAGACTCAGAAATAAAGGGAAAAATCACAGGAAAAAAAGGTCTAAAACTGGGTAGAAAACATCAACAGAATGTTTTCTATGATGAAAAATTAAAAACTTTCAATAATGAAAGTTTTGAGTATGTAGCTATGAGTTTTAACTGTCTTTTCTGCTTTCATGAGTAAGAAATTCTAGTGAAGCAGCCAAATAAATAACAAAGCGTGCACCAAGCCCAGGGCTCCGAAACAGCAAAGGCGCTCTTTCAGTGTCTGTGTCATGTGGCTCACTGGCCGCCGTCTATAAGGCATTCAGATGGCCCCAAAAAGTCTTCCATCTGTAAAGAAGTCCAGAACATTCCAAAGGAAACATTTACCACCATTTCAAAGAGCTCCTGGGGGAAAGAGCTTTCCTGGAAATTTTAAAACAAGTTATTTTCCAGGTGCTTTAGAAAAGCAATGTACTCTATGGGATTGTGTATTTAATTTCCCTGCAACCAGGCATAAAGAGGAACTCAGACAAGGAGGCAAGTCAATCTGATGTGTACAAATGGGTAGAAAGTGGTGCTGGGGTGCCGTCATTGTCGTATCTCCCAGAAAAAAAACTGAGGCAAGAAGTAAAGCAAAGACTCATGGACTGGGCAGTGAGAGAAAAGAGGGTGGGCCCAAAAGAGGTACTGTCAGCGAGATGGGAGGAATTTTGATAGAGGAGTCAGCATTCGCCTTTTGAAAGGAAGATCACCGCGTGTGTCCCTCTGTGGAGTACAGCCCCTGGGAAATATCCTACCTCCAATACTGCAACCTCCTGGCCGTTGCGCAGCAGCCGGAACGTCAGAGGATGTTTAGAATCCAAACCCGGGATCACCTCGCAGCCACGGAGCGGAATAGACACAATATGGGTCTTCAGGTCGGTCCTGTCCTTGTGGAAAATGAGCTTGTTATCTTTCACTCGGCACCAGCGCTCTCGCCAGCGGCTGTTGGAGAGCACGTTCAGATAGCCTGCGGAGACACAAGGCCACAGGTCAGCCGCCTCGGACAAGACCAGGCGAGGTGAAGACGTCTAGGGTCACACTGAGGAGGCCCAGGGATGGGAGTGTGGATAAAACAAATCCTTCACACGATCGATCAAGCTTTAAATGCAAATTCGCATAAACTAGGAGAGCCGTGGCTACGGCATCACAAGTTTTGGGGGCTTTTCATGACACCACACAGGCCGTATCTGGAAGCCCCTCATTTAACATGTGCAACGAACCAGTTACCAGATGCCTGGTGTTGATGTGGGACTATGGAATTCACCTAAAGCACGTGAGAAGTTAGCAAGCCATCAGGTTTCGGATGGCCAGGATGGGGGCACGACAGCTGCCTTCAAACTGGAAACCGATTTCACTTATTTTGAGGAGCTGCAAATGATACAAGTAGAGTAAGAGTCACAGGCAGGCAGATTTTGGCTTAACATGAAGAAACAAAAACTATCTAAAAATGAAAACTTTCCAAGAAATAGGAGGCCCTGGGAGGCACTAAGATCCCCAGCGCTGGAAGCAGCCCGCAGATGGCAGAGGCCCTGAGTGCAGGTTCCCACCTGAGGCTGAGGACGCACCTGCCGCCTTCCTGCTCCTCAAACTGCAAAGCGACGGGTGAAGCTGCCCGGAGGAAATCTAAACTCTAAAGTCTGAATCTTCATGAAAGTTTGTGATCCGTGTCTCTGGTATGGCACAACATCTTCAGTATATCACAGATAGAGGAGTGGTAGAATGACAGGAAAAATTATTATCCTCATTTAAAAAAAAAAACCTCCTCAAATACAGGAAATGGACACTTTTCACTTGTTACAAACATAAAATGAATTCTTCTAGAAATAACAAGACATGAAAAAATAGATACCAGGGTGGCTGTACCTTCCAACCACACCATAATGCTAGTAAATTACTGCCCCCTTCCTTTAAGATTTAGAAAGCGAGATAAATAGCATAGAAAATGTTGATAGTGGCAGAAAAGGAAGTACCAGATTCCTAACTCAAGTTCAGCTACTCCTTCAATTCACACATGCACACACACACATACCCCTGCCTCAAAAATGTCACACATACCCCTACCTCAAAAATGTTAAGAAACAAAACAAAATACATCCTTTCCAATTCTGATTTTTCAGATTCCTTTTCCAGCCAATAGTAGTCCCAGCTACTTGGGAGGCCGGGGCAGGAAGGTCACCTGAGGTTAGGAGTTCAAGATCAGCCTGAGCAACACAGTGAGACCCTATCACAAAAAAAAAAAAAAAAAAAAAAAAAAAACTAATCAATTAAAATGCCTTTCCAAAAGGGTTTTGGAGGATGTTTCTTACTGCTTTTATGTTCTCAATCTTACACACCTTATTAGCAATTGATAAATGCTATAAAGACAAAAAAAGAGAGGTATGTTCAGGACCCAGAATGATGCTTTATTACTTATAACTATTGGTTCAGTGACTTACTAGGTACACACTTATAAAGTCTAAATTTTCATTGGCTGAATATGATGTCATTTCTACCAACACACACTGAAGAGAAATGCACACTGCTTCTTCTGGAACTAAAACTTTCATCTGGGGTGTGGGCTGATGTTGTTAGGGAGTGACAGAGAAAGGAGGAGCCAGGCTGAGGCTCCAAGGCCTGTGCCGTGGCCGCCCTCTTGTGTTCAGAGAGCAAACTACACTCGATCCAAGCTCCTTGTATTTCAGACACTTAGGAGGGCTGCAGGGAGGTGAAGAGGCCCTAGAATTAAAGTAGGAAAGAGTCTCAGAGGCTTTACTTCTTGAAGGAGGACGTTAACTCCCAGATAATGTGAAGTATCTTGTCCAAGACCACACAGCAAAGCAAGACCTGAACCCCTGTTGGGAGTTAAAGACGGCAGATAAAGAGCTGTTAATATGAATACAACTGGGGCCTTACATTACTATTTTTGTTCTGCAAAATGCTATTTGTAAATGATGTAGTTCCAATACATTTATTCTTTTTTTTTTTTTTTTTTTGAGACAGGAGTCTTGCTCTGTAGCCCAGGCTGGCAGGCTGGAGTGCAGTGGCGTGATCTCAGCTCACTGCAAGCTCTGCCTCCCGGGTTCACGCCATTCTCCCGCCTCAGCCTCCCAAGCAGCTGGGACTACAGGCGCCCGCCACCACACCTGGCTAATTTTTTGTATTTTTAGTAGAGAAGGGGTTTCACTGTGTTAGCCAGGAAGGTCTCGATCTCCTGACCTTGTGATCCACCCGCCTCGGCCTCCCAAAGTGCTGGAATTATAGGCCAATACATTTAGTCTTTAAAAAGAAAAAAGAAACCTCTACTTAAAAAGAGAATCAACTATCATATCTGAGCACCCGAGTAACAGCGCTGGGAACCACGTGCTCGCCATGGCTCTGACACCATCTAGAGTAACCACTCATGCTGAAAGCCGACACTTTTACATTTTTAGACTTCCATACAATGACAGCCAACTGTATCAATCCTAAGTATGTTTTGAGCATGAGTTGACAAATGTAATGGTGTATCTGAAAGGAAGAGGAAGGCAAGGAGTCCCCTCAAATAACTTCACATACTGAGGTGCATTAAGATAACATGCCCAAAAATGGCTTCTGAAAAGGAGCAGTAAGCTACAGGGCAAGGAAAACAGCCCGTGCTCTGGAGTGGTCAGGGCCCAGGCAACCCTTCACGAGGCCGTGATAAGGAGCAGAAGAAACCAAGAATTGAAATGCCAGTGACCTCAATGACAGAGACCACACAGTGCAGCAGGGCAGCAGTTCCCAACCACAGAGGACCCAGTCCCGATCCCCAAAACCACAGGGGACCCAGTCCCCAAGAGGGCAATTCCTAGCCACAGGGGGACCGGCCCTGATCCCCAACCACAGGGGACCCGGCCCCGATCCCCAACCACAGAGGACCCAGTCCCCAAGAGGGCATGGACTCTGCAGTGGGGCGGCAATTCCCAACCACAGGGGGTCCAGTCCTGATCCCCAGCCACAGGAGACCTGGCCCCGATTCCCAACCACAGGGGACCTGGTCCCGAAAAGGGACATGGACTCTCATGGTGTCTTCTTCCCTGACAGAATCTGGCCAAGGCCACCAGATACTATGAATTTCTTGACATTTCAGCTGTAAAAGGGATGATTATATTGGACAGATCCACATTTTATTTAGAACATGATTTTATATGCAATTATCGTAATACCCCCAATTTTCCCCCCAAAAAAATCCCCTGGGATAACAGACCTGTTCACAACAGCAGGTAAATCCACAGTCACCTGTCTGTTTTCAGCGACTGCCCCTACCCCATCCAGCCCCCTGCCACCATTTCTCAAAATGGGGAGGCCCAAAGTTCCTATTTTCTGGCTGGGGAACATGAAGAGGCCACGAAGGAAATGGCAGACAACCTCATCTAAGGAGTCTAGAGTCAGGGGGTCCTCTGGACCCCCCAATATTCTCCCAATCTGACACCTCTAGCCTGGCTGATGAAATCAGTGCTGACCCGGACCCCAAGTCATGTCCAGGAAAGGTTACGCTGGAGCAACATCCACCACCAGGTGGTGCCAGAGTGCAGCCAGGACGGGGCCAACTTGGCTCCTGGATCAAGAACTGCAGGCGGGAGCTTCAAGGCTCACCCAGGGCGTCTCAAGATTTAACCACTTAACAAGGCAGGTCCAGATAGAACTGATTTTATTTTTGAATCTCACTTATCATATTATGGTAGGGTGTTACTGAATTTTAAAAATTTCTGAGTTTAATGTTTTCTGCTAATTTCTGCTCCAAATTCAAAATAAAGAGTGCAGTTTCTTGCAACAACACTGTGGCAAGAGGATCATGCTAGAAATAGAAAACTAACTTTACAGCTCGAAGATTAAACAAACAAAAAATACAGATGGAGGGGAACAGATATAAACCCTCCCGGTCAGCTGGTCCGGATATGGGGCGTCGCGGGTCTCAGTGCCGGGTGGCTCTCGAATTCCGGCAGCTGCAGAAGAGCAGGCAGGCAGAGCCTTTTAGAAGAGTGGCCACGTTTCCATGTATTTATTCTCTTTAGGAAGGGAAATGATAGTGCCTGCCCACCCCAGAGGCTACTGTGCTTTGGTTACATGTGGCCAAAACGTTCAACACTTTTGAGAGACGTTTTATCCCAATGTAACTGTTCATTATATCTTAGCAAGTATTTGTTTCTGATCAGCTAGGAGGAGAGGGGCCTGCAAGAGGGGCATCAAGAAGCAGCTTTCGGAGAAACCAAATGTCAGGAAACTGCTGGCAGCTGATCACAGGCCTGCCGAAGCCAAACGCCTCCTTCCCACTCTTCGCAGTGTGTCCTCGACGAGGCCAGGGGCAGAGGAGCTGGTACACTAACAGCCTGTCATGGTGGCTCCTGGACTAAGAATGCCTTCCTGCCCTTTCATCAGACTGCATCTGATTTCTTTTTTTGAGGTGGGGCCTTGCTATGTTGCTGAGGCTGGTCTTAAACTCCTGGCATCAAGCGGTCCTCTCCCCTTGGCCTCCCGAGTCGTGGGGATTCCAGCTGCATGCTACAGTGCCTGGCTTCGTCTACTTTTCGTGGAGGTGGATTATGATACCAAATGAGACGTATCTAGCTTTCCTGAATATCTACTAAAAAATCCTGCCATTGAAAGAGCTTCATAAAGTGACAGAACATTTCAGCTGGAAGGGACCCTGGGAATGGCTACCCAGGCTCCATGAAGCCTCCGACTTGCCCCCTGGGGCCTTTCCTTTCTCTCAGTCTCTCCGTTTCTCATGATTTACTTGTCTGACGTTGCATTTACTGTGCCTTGGATAGGTCTGGTATGCTTAGGTGATGTTTTTAAAAAACATGTCGGATGAATACATGGATAATCACAGTGACCAGGTACTGAGCATAAATGATGGGCTAGGCACTGAGCTCAGTGTTTCATGTATTTTATCCTCAGTTTTTATGAAAACAAAGGAATTGAAGTATTGAGCCATTTCCTAGATGGAGGAGCCTGACATCCAGAGGTGAAGCAATTTGCTTAAAGGAATGCATGGCATTCAACAAGTATTTACTGAGCTGGTATCGTCTGCCAAGCTCTGCACGGTGCTGTGGACACAGGCAGTGAGCCAATGAGCCCCTGTTCTTACGCCAGTCATGTAGAAGGCGGAAAAGTGAAGCGGGGACAGCAGTGTTAGAGGCCCTGAACTGGCAACAAAGGAGGCACTTTTGGTTTTTCTCAATGCAGAATGTGATACGGTTAGTCTAACGTTTCAAAACTTCCATCTGGTGGCCTGGGGAGGGGGAAGCAGAGTAGAATGAGGTGAGCCAGTCAAAAGGTGCCACAGTCCCAGCCACAGGCGGAAATAGGGATGGGGAAGAGAGAAAAAGGTGGAAACGCATTTCCTGGTAACAACGGCTTAATTCATACGGTGACAATAATTCCAGGACTTGTAAGCCCAGGAGAAGGGCAAATAAGAGATAAATTTTGGTCAGGGGCCTTTGCGCATGTCTCAGATCATATTATCTACGCGGCTGTGTGCTGAGCTGACCTGCCCAATGCTAAATGCGTCAGTCAACGTCACTCAATAGGCGTTGCAGGGTTAGGCGGGCGGACCTGGCCAGCCAGGCTGCAATCCTCGCCACATTAATATGAAAGGCAATTGAGAGACTTTGGCCCAAACCCCCCTAAACCTTTCCAGCCGGCAAGCACCTGCAGAGAGCCTTCCCTCCCCTGCCCCCACAAACAAGGCCCTCACAGCAGCTCTGTCCTGCATTTAGGGGAACGGCTGACCCAGCTGCACTGTGTGGAAGGGCTGGCATTTGAACTCCGCTTTCAGTGGCTCCTGGGAGCTCTGTCCTATGGGCTCAGCAGCACTGCACTTCCGGCCAGTCCAGCTCGGCCCTTCATCTCCCTGGAACAGAGAGCAGCAGCTGCGGAGACTCAACTTGGCAGGCTCAGTCTCAAGGGCCTTTGTCCAGCTCCTTTTTTCTGCCTGAAACTTTGCAGCTGTACTAAAATAACTGAAAATGGTCACTGTTGCCCCTTTATTTTTCTAAAAGCCCCTCCCCTCTCCCCTTTCCCCTGCAAGGAATTAGATGACAGCTTTAAAATCTTGTGGACAGAGGATGTTCTGTTAATATTGAGGCAAAAGCTGTCCACTAAGCAGTTTGATAGGAATCCATGTGTCTAATTAGATGCTGTGGATTCAGTATTCCTGCTCCCTGAGCGACCAACTGTGCTTCCAAGAAAGTGCCCAAGAAGAGGGTTTACCGCAGTGTCTAGTCACCAGCACAAATGCAGCTATTTATCAGGAGCCACGGGAGTGTTCAGATCTTTCGGGGGAAGGGATAAGGGGAAGGCCTGTGGGACAGGGAACCAGCACAGTTGGGTCAGAGGCTGTCTCTGTTCTCAGCTCGCTGTGTGGCTCCGAGCAAGCCATACAAGCTCTCTGAGCTTCAGTGCTCTCCTTTGTAAATGGACGGGTTTGGGCCAAAGTCTCTCAATTGCCTTTCATATTAATGTTTAATTGTTTTTCAAGGAAGAATTTCTATTTCCTCCACTGACCTGGAGCATTAAAAAACAAAAACAAAAGAGTAGTTTCCTTCTTGTTGGCTAATTCCTGCTTTCTGTTTTTAATCCATAACTCCTGTATTGAATCCCTAATTCCCGCTTTCTATTGTTAATCGATAACTCTCAAGGGCTGATGTGAGGCAGTCCCACCTTCCATGCGCTCCAAGAAAGGCAGAGGTCAGCGGGCCCAGCACTGGGGCACCAACACATTCACCCTCCCCATTCCGTGCTACAGCTGTTTCCTCTGACAGCACTTCGGCAGGGTGGCCGCCCTTTCAGCTCTAGCCTTATTTAGGGAGGGAAGGGAGGGTAGTGGAAAAACATCAGTACCAACTGGCCTGCTTCTGTGACTCAACTGCCATTTGACCAAGTTCAGGGAGCTTGGAACGCACCAGGCTCCTCGGTTACCCTTATGGTGATAGCCTTCCCTCCTAACTCAACCCCACAGGCAGCTGTTTCAACAGGACCCCTCTGCAAGACTCCTTCAACCACATGACGCCTTCACTGCTGTCTGCCCAGACAACTTCATTGTGTCCACCAGAAGTCAGTATGACGCAACTTCCCAGATCACACTGTGAAAGCTGCCGAGGAGCTGAGACTTTGCCTGTCCTCCCTTCAAGACAGTGCACGCCATAGTGCCTGCTGGGTCCTCGCATCTGCCCCTGCAATCCATCCCTCCTCCTGACCACCATGGCCCATCCTCTGTATTATCCTTGTGGCATGAGCCCACACCGCTGGGACGTGAGATCTGTTGAATACATTTATCTTTGTGTGTATAGCCCCATTTAGGCGCTGTGGGGCAGGAACTAAATGAGGTATCTTTTGGCATCTCAAAATAAAACCCAACACCTTGGATATAACGGGTGCTCAATAAGGGGTGGGGGCAACTAGAATGACTATTCAAATAGAAGGAATGATGGGCTCACACTGCAGGGAGCTGAGTGAGCCGCAATAGTACACAAGGAAAATGACAGCACATTCCTATAATTTCTCGAAAACGTAGCTCATCAAGTTTTCCTCCTAGGAAGAGCTGCACGGTTCTTCTGAACTTGATTGCCTAGAAGGCATTCCGGATGGAAACTCTCACCCATGTCTTCATGGAGACCACCCCACAATGCTGGATCCCCCCGGCCCACTGAGGTTCCTATGATCCTCTCACGGCCTCTTGGGTTTTCCCTCCTATCGCCAACCAGAGCCAATTATTACATACATGTTTCTGTGGTAACTGGGCTTGTACTTATCTTTTGCTACCAGACTGGAAGCCATGGGGGGCCAGGGCTGTTGTGGTCACCAAAAGGTAGCTGCTCAAAGATGACCAAAAGGTAGCTGCTCAAAGATGACTTACTGGATGAAAGACTGACCGGGGAGATGGTCTGTGTGTTAGACTGGATTTGAAACTTCGGTTTGAGAAATTGGTTCGGTCATTGGTATAGTTTGGATATTTCTCCCCTCCAAATCTCATGTTGAAATGTGATCCCCAGTGTGGGGGGCTGGCCTGGTGGGAGGTGCTTGGGTCATGGGAGCAGATCTCTTATAAATGGCTTGCTGCCTTCCCTGTAGTAATGAGGGAGTTCTCACACCTGTGGTTCCTGCGAGATCTGATGGTTTAAAGGACCCTGGCACCTGCTCCTCTTTCTCCTGCCATGTGACACACACCAGCTCCCCCTCTGCCCTTGCCACGAGTAAAAGCTTCCTGAGGCCTCATCACAAGCTGCGCAGATGCTGGCACCATACTTGTATAGCCTGCAGAACCATAAGCCAGATAAACCTCTCTCTTTATGAATTACCCAGCCTCAGGCATTCCTTTGGCAGCAACAGGAAAGTGACTAACAGTGACGTGATAAGGAAGCTTAGTTTTGTTTTTGTTTTTTTTTTTTATACTTTAAGTTTTAGGGTACATGTGCACAATGCGCAGGTTAGTTACATATGTATACATGTGCCATGCTGGCGTGCTGCACCCATTAACTCATCATTTAGCATTAGGTATATCTCCTAATGCTATCCCTCCCCACTCCCCCCACCCCACTTAGTTTTATCACTTTGCCCAAGGGAAAGAACTGGCCTTAGTTCTGTAAAGGTTTTCCCATAATCCTTTCTTTACCAGCAGCCCCTGCGTATGTTGTCCTTTAAAAACACTTCCAAGGGATTTGGGGGAACTTCAGAGGATTAAAGGGAAATTTTTTTTTTTCCTTGAAAGAACCTTAGAGATCATCTAAAAGGCCTGCAAAGTCTTGTATGAATAAGAGGCAAAAATGTAAACATTTAATACATTTCCCACTATCTGAATGATTCCAAGTCCAATGCAAAAGAGCTCAAATTAACGAGCCTTGGATGAACTGGGTACCGACACCACTGCAGGAGAAAATGAAACCCACTTAGGTGCACGCTGCTCGTCTCCGGGAAGCGCAGTCTTACCGCAGGTGGGAACATCTTCCTCAGCTGAGGAGGTCTGCTCGTCTGTGGACGGCTTTTTCTTTCCCAGACTGATGATCTTGGTGATTTTTTTCCCAGTGACTTTCGACACAGTGCCCTTGGCCTCTGATTTGGAACTTTTCTTCCTCTTCACTGTCAAGAGTAACAACAGCAAAAAAGCATGTTTTAATTGTAGATATTAATTGAAAAAAAAAACATACATCAAAACCCATTTCTTCTTTCCCTTGGCATTTTTTTCTTTTATTAAAGACAGGGTCTCACTCTGTCCCCTGGCTGGAGTGCAGTGTTGTGATCACAGCTCAATGCAGCCTTGAACTCCTGGGCACAACTGATCCTCCCACCTTGGCCTCCGGAGTAGCTGGGACCACAGGTGCGTGTCACTACGTAGGCCTGGTTAATTTTTGTACTTTTTGTAGAAATGGGGTTTCCCCATGTTGCCCAGGCTGGTCTCAAACTCCTGGACTCAAGTGATCCACCCACCTTGGCCTCCCAAAGTGCTGGGATTACAGGTGTGAGCCACCGTGCCCGGCCTTTCCCTCAACTTTTACTTAATGAGCACTTGCTACGTGCTGGCTGTTGGTCTAGATGCTGGGATTTCAGCACAACACAGGGCTGCTGGTAGGAAGCTTGTAACAAGGACCACATGGAGATCTAAGATAGGGTTATGTGGAAGAGCAGCCGGGCGGTCAGAGAAAGCCTGTCCAGGAGTTGACTTAAGTTAATAATTAGCCATGCACATCTCAGGGAGAAAACCGTCCAGGTAAGAAAAACATCACTGACGCAAAAGCTGTGAGGCTGAAAGCAGCCCCAAGTGTCTGAGGAACAGAAGGCAGCTAGTGCAGCTCTGGCCTGGCTGGCAAGGGGAGGCCCAGGAAAGGAAGGGGAATTGACTCTTCCTCAGGAGCCCCTCGGCCATCTGTGAGACACCTGACTCGGCCCTATGCAGAGCTCTCAGACCAGGGGCCTGCCTTCCAGCCCCTCATATTCGGTTTAGCCAGGACAGTGTTAAATTGGAGTTAATTTTTGAAACATAGAACTCATACACATTGTGCATAAAAATGATGCCTGGCTTCCTTTGAAAGATGGAAGTCTAGCAACTCTGGACCCGCATGTGGGCAAGCAACAGCGGCAGGACCACAGAAGCAGTCTCCATGCAGACGGGCCGGTGAGGGACAACACGGGGCGGTTCTCATCACTCCCCATCATCTCCCACGATGGAGGCCCAGAGTCAGCTGCCAGCTGGCATCCTATGTCTGCCCCATCCCGTCACTGGCACCTCTCTCCACTGCCGAGGGCTCTGTCCGTGACCTCCGGCGGAATTGCAGGGGCAGGGATCAGGCAAGAAATCAGAACGTGCGTGTGAGACAGCACCAGAACCGAGTGACAAGATCCTTTGGGCCAGAGAGCGACCCTCGGAGAAGGTGAGCTGTCTGCCCGTCTCATCTCCTGAGGGCCGTTATGTGCCCAGCACTGGAGCTGAGGGGAGGCCGGCGAGGCGCTCGGGACACAGCTGCACTGCAGGGCTCACTGGAGCTGAGGGGACAGAGAGATTCTCAGTGTCGTGGGCAAACCCCAGCGCCCGACCCTTTCCCCTTCATCTCCAGCATGAATCCCTCAACCCGCTGGCTGCGGAGATCACAGACACTTCAGAAGGTGATGAGAGTCAAGGACTCCCTCCCACCCCCACCGCAGGAACAAATGAACCCACACACATCCCACGGAAGAACTGCAGAGGAAGAGCGGCCAGGGACACAAGACGACGCGCCCTGGCCTAACTCCTAAACCCTTCCTCTGCACACGCACACACTCACACGCAGTCCCCTTATCCTTCCCAATCTCCGCCTCTCTCTGCTGGGGAGCGGGAAGTGGTCCTCTTTCTGCCTCCACCCTGGTGCCCCCACCACAGCCAAACACGCTAGGGCGGCAGAACATACCCCTGGTGTCTCCTGCCTCGGGCCTTGCCCTCCCACACTCCACCCTCCCGCTTAGGTCCTGGTCCTATAGCGTTAGTGCCCTTCTAAGAAGAGACGGCACAGGCACAGAAGAAAGGCCGTGTGAAGGCGCGGGAGGGGAGCCGCCTTGGAGGAAGACAGCCCTCGCTAGACACCAACCCTGGCGGCACCCGGGTCTTGGACTTCCAGCCTCCAGGGCCGTCTAAATGCATGTTGTTTCAGCCACGCAGTCTGTGGTATTCTGTTATGGCAGCCCAAGCTGACTAACGCAACACAGTCCCAGCATTTCTGTGTGACTTTAAACAAATCAGACTTAGGCCTCCTGTGATATTAGAAACAAAGAACCCAGGAATGCCACCCCCACCCCTCCTTCCACTCTCCCAACACGTACACACCCTCTTTTAAAATAAAGCGCCGAGACTGGCTTTCGATCCCTAAGTCTGAAGGCACAGCCCCTCCCAGCTACCATCAGACAGGGAGCGGCGGCTAGGACAGCTGTATCACTTCAATGTTACTTCAACCAAACCAAGAGGGACAGCAACAGCGGACGGCCCCTCCCAGCTGTTTCTGAAGACCCAGAGGAGGATGTTTCACCACAGCCGCATTCCCGTGAGCTTTACAAAGAATAACCTGTTGGCCAGGACAGCCCGAGTGCCCGGGGCACCCTCAGAAAGGCTGGTGGAGCAAGAGGTATCCCCCACAGATAATGTGGCCCCCCCCAGAAAATGCAGCTCATCGCGGTGAGCTGGGGTGTCAGATGAACGCCCAACTTGACCGACAAAGTGCTTGCTCGACTCTGACTGCAAAGAAATGAGATCATAATTAAAACTTGGAATTCCTTGAATACTCCCTGATCAGTTTTTTACAAAGGCAGACATATGGTAATCCTGGGGCGAAAAAATCCAAGTATATGGGAACATGAGGAGAAAACCATCGAGAACAACTTGATGCTATGTATCAAACAAAAGGCAGAGATGAGCACAGATCACAGAACCAGGAAGAAAAACTCAACACTCAGAACGCTCAGCCCCCTGCAGCTAGAGGGTAGAAAAGCTGGAGTATCCAGGCACACGCTGGCCCATGAGGTGGGCAGGCACTGGCGCACGCCACTGGAGCAAGACTAACGCCGGGCATTCTCTAAAACCATGAGTATCATAAACCCAGAGAGTTTCCCAGTAACCGACGGAAACGGGAATTCAGGTGCTTTTTAGTATTATTATTTAGGCTACTGGGAGGAATAGGGGCATGAGAAATTAATACTGTCAGACTATTTATTCAATGACTTTTACCAACAGACACATTCACAAATGATCACATCTTACAGATGTGAAGTGGGGCTGAGGAGCCTCACAGCCCCCAAACAGAAGGTCCCAGGACCTTCTCAGCCCACACTCCTCACACCTGCTGCAGGATCAACCATACTGTGTCGGTTTATTAGACAGGAGGGATTCCGCCTTGAGAGAAGAAACAGGAGTTCCAGAGTCGTTCCCTGTGGCTTTGACCGCATGGAGCCTGGACTGTCTCTTTCTTCATCTGAGATTCTAACACTAAGAAAAAGCTGTATGAGTTCAGGATTTTCTCTATGCAGCCCGCAGAGAAATGTGTCTGAGTTACCACATGGCTGGGATAAAAGGAGCTTAACTCAAATCTCTCAGGTGCAAACTGGTCAAGAGTGAGAGGCAAGGATAAAAGCTAAGAGAGAAGGTTAGAATGTACTTCAACCTTAACTTTCTCCAGTAACTAACGAGCGTCTGCTACATGCAAAGCACCATGCCAGACAAAAAGAAAATGTGTAAACCAAGGTCACCACCGTTTAATTCCAAAGCATAGAAGGTTGTTCTTGTTAAGAGGAAACAGGAGAATTTTAAATACAGATATATTTGCTTACAAGTGCATCCAGACACACATATTATTCTGTAGAACCTAATAGATGCACTGGGAGAAGAAACAGCAAACCAGAAAATGAACCAACCAAACCAACGTCTGCTGTGCCTCAACTTCTAAGCAGGAACATTGAGATTGTATGTTATTTTATTTCAGGGCAAAACTTAAAGATAGCTTTCCTGGTTTTGATTACACATAATGTGTGCCCTGTGGAAGACACAGATAATACTTTCCACTGAATAACTTCCGATGGACAGAACCAAAATTGCACTCAGATAGGACAGACTTAGAAAACCACATATGAAAAAAGTGGGTATCGTGACCTCTGAGAGTGAACTCTGTAATGTCATAACAGTCCAGATTCTTTGAGCTCCAAGATTCTTAGTGGGCTGGATTGCTACTTGGTTTAAGGTGATTTCACCACAGAGACAGGAAACACTTGGCTCCCTCCAGGAGTGGGCAGGTGGATTTGGGTGGTTGGATTACTCAGCTGAGCAGCCAAGGTCACAGGTTCAATGAGCAAACAGGCTGTCTGGTTTTGCAGTGGGAACTCTCCCTCCACAGCCACAAGTCCTGCCCTTCACCTCCGTCCACATACTGCTAAGGAAAATTAAAAGTCCAGCCACAGATTGGGAGACTATACATCCAAAACACATCTGATAAAGGACTTGTATTCAGAAAAGACAAAGAACTCTCAAAACTCAATAAGCACAAATAATCCAATAAAAATATGAGCAAAATATCTGGAGACATTTCACCAAAGAAGATATACTGATGGCACATAAACATATTTAAAAATGTTCAACATTGTTAGTTATTAGGGAAATGCAAATTAAAACACAATCACATACCACTACACCCCTATTAAAATGGCTCAAATAGAAAGAACAAAACAAAAGTGACAATACTGAGGCTGGAGAGAAGCCTATGACCAAGCAATCCACTCCTAGGTATTTACCCGAGGGAAATGAAAACATATGTCCACGCAAAAACCTGTCTCTGAATGCACAGAACAGATTTTTCAACCGTCGCTCCAAAGTGGAAACAGCTCAAATGTTCTTCAAGAGGTGAATGGGCTGACTACGGTCCATCCACACAGTGGAATGCCTCCAGCAGCAGCAAAGAACCAACTAGTGACACTAGCCACAAACACGGACGACTCTCCGACGCAGCGTGCTGAGTGAAAGAAGCCACACTCAAAAGTCTGCAACCGAGATGCTTCCACGTTATGACATTCTGGTAAAGGATAAGAAACAGATCAGCAGCTGCCAGGGCCTCGGGTAGAGGCAGAGGCAGACGGGGGAGAAAGAGCACAGGGGCTGGGGGGTTAGAGCCGTGCTCCGTGTCTTGATTGTGGTGATGGTTCTGTGCCTGTCAGTGTTTGTCAAAACTCACCAACAGTATGGCAAACAGGGTGAATTTTATGGCATTTAATTTCTGTCTCCAGAAAGCTGGCCTGAAAAAGTAAGACAGGCTTATTTGCACATCCATGCTCACGGCAGCATCTTTCACACTAGCCCGAAGGTGGGAACCACCCAAGTGTTCATCGACAGATAAATGGGAAAACAAAATGTGGTCCATCTATCCAATGGAATATTATTCAGCCTTAAAAAGGAAAGAAATTCTGACACAGGCCACACCACAGATGAACCTTAAGCACATGGAACTAAGTGGAATAAGCACTCACAGAAGGACACGGCCTGTAGGACTCCACTTCAATGAGGTCCCTAGAGGAGTCAGATTCATGAGACAGGAAGCAAAATCGGGTGCCAGGGGCTGGGGGAGGAGGGAATGGGGAGTCAGTGTTTAAAAGGGACAGAGCTTCGCTCTTGCAACATTAAAAGAGTTCTGGAGACTGATGGCGGTGATGACAGTACAATATAAATGTACTTAATGCACTGAACTGTACACTGAGACATGGTTAATATGGTATATTTTATATTATGTATATTTTTATATAATGTACATTTTTAAAAATGTTTCAAATGAAGGCAAAATAAAGACATTTTCAGAAAATCACTTTTAAGAACCTCAGAAATCGGCAGGTCTGGCCTCCTCATTTTAAAGATGGGGAAACTGAGGCTCATCAAGAGGGAATACCTGCTCAAGATCATGGGGCTCAGCAAAGGCAGAGCTTGAATGGGAAAGTGGGTTTCTTGCCTCATTATCCAAAGTGCTTTTCACTGGACACCAGGTCCCTAAGCAACATGCCGGCTGCTCACCAATGCAAATTTGTCTCAGTGACAGATCGAGTGAAGAAATAACCAGCTGTGAGTCATAAGTTCAAAACATATGCAGGGCAGAAAAAGACAACAGATGGCAACCTCGGCCAAGGTCTGGCAGGATGGAAAAAGAAGACCTGCAGGGTTGATGTTAACCAAAGGGTTTTCCGGCACTCCCATCAGTATCCTCTGCCATGATGACGATATCTACACATCTGAATCACCCAGGACATTTTTCGTACAATCAGACTTTACAAACCTGGCTGTAGATTTTTGTTTTTGTTTTTTTTTTTAGTGTATATATGTTTTTGGCACAAGCAGAACTCACCTTGCTCCTTTCCATTACATGTGGTAATTCCATTTTCCACAACACCCTCCCCATCTGAGCTGGGTCTCTCTGAAGACAGTTTCTGTAAGGAGAAAAAGATTAAGTTATTCTTACAGTGGTCACTTGGACCCAGTGATGTGTGATGGATCAACCAAAAGTTATCTCAAAAGTGAAAGAAAACACAGGCCAAATTCATAGCAATCCAGAAGTGGTTAGAGCTTAACTATAACAAAGACTGGCTGGTTAGGTGGCCACAACCGCTTTAAAAACATCCAGAGGGGGAAAAAAAAAGAAAAACCTCACTGAGGCTATAATTATACTAACCTATATATATACTGTCTCATGCCTATTTCATTCAAATCACTTCTTGTAAATGATTTTGAAAAAAATATTATGATTACAAAAAATATTTCCCTCACCAAGCCATATTATCCTCGCAGAAGTAAATATTCCATAGTCCATTTAATTTCTTCCTGTCATTCACCAATAATTAATTGGGTGAGTGTCAAGTATCTGCTTGTAACAATACACTCAGAATGTACACAGAGTGAGGGCAAGGTTGCTATCAAAACCCTTGGAGGGGGATGGGGGACTGTCACTATCTCAGTCCTAACGTCTGGATTTAATGAGTAATTAGGATTCCACGTCAGTATCTGAATGAGGTAGAGTGTTTACAGCTAGACCCCTTCCATTGCCACCCAAGAACCTGTGGGGTCATAGCGGAGGGAGTGGCCTCCAAACACCGTCCTCAGAGCCTGTGCCTTCCACGAGGGCCTTGGAGACTGGGACACAGATGAGATATGTGAGCAGTTCCCAGGCACAAAGGAACATGTGTGTTCAACTCGGAATTCGAGGGGCAATCCCTTAAGAGCTGCAGTGAAGAAACCAGTGCCACTTAGTGGGAAGCTGAGTTCCAGGGATACAATGACCTAGAGCTGGCACCGCCCTGGCTCTCACACCAGGAACAGCTGGGGGAATCCAGGGCAACAGGTCCAGCCAGGTGCTCACGGTACTGCCTTAGAAACCAACATAAGTAAAGCAGAATTGCCAATTCTGGTGTGAGTGCGTGGATGAGGAACTTGGATGCAGTATGGTGGGAAATAAAATTGCATCAACCTTTTGGGAAAGCAATTTGATTTTCAACATGAATCGAGATCTTAAAAAAGAAAAAGAGGTCTATCCTTTGGTCTAGTAATTCAGCTTCCAGAAATCTATTCTCAGGTAATAGGCAGAGAATCAGCAAAAATTATGCAAAAGATGTCAAGTACTATTTTATTTTAGATGGCCAAAAAAGGACAAAACAGGACAGGTACGGTGGCTCACACCTGTAATCCCAGCACTTTGGGAGGCCAAGGCAGATGTATCACGAGGTCAGGAGTTCGAGACCAGCCTGACCAACATGGTGAAACCCCCGTCTCCACTAAAAATACAAAAATTAGCCAGGCTTGGTGGAATCCCAGTTACTCAGGAGGCTGAGACAGGAGAATGACTTGAACTCAGGAGGTGGAGGCTGCAGTGAGCCAAGATGGTGCCATTGCACTCCAGCCTGGGCAACAAGGGCAAAACTCCATCTCAGAAAACAAACAAAAAGACAAAACAAAAGGACAAAACAACTAATGGGGGGGGCAGTTACATAAGTGATAATGGAGTCATACAAATTTGACATTAAGCTAATGAAAATGTAAAAATGTTTGTGGCTTAAGAGTTGTTAAAAACCTGGAAATTTGCTAATAATATAAAGGTTAAGTAAAAAAAAAAAAGCAGTATAAGAAACTTTATGCATAAGCTTATCCAAACCATTAAAAAAAAACCTTGAACTCAGGAAAGAGTGGTTAATATATCAGTAGTGTTAAGACGAGCTGCATCCTCTATGTGCTGTTGTAATGAGTGACTTTTTTCATCCCATTTATGTTTCTATGAGCTTTCTGAATTTTCTAAAGTGAGCAGAGATTAGTTTTGTAGTCAAGGAGAAAAACAGCCTGTTCCATTACGGTATGAGGATGAGGACTGTGATGTTTAATTTCACGTGTCAATGTGGGGGGCATCTGGGGATGAGATTAACATTTAAATTAGGGAGCTGTGAGTAAGCAGCCTGCCCTCTGTAATGTGGGTGGGCCTCCTCCAATCATTTCAGGGCCTCAGTGGAAGAAAAACACTGTCCTCCCTGAGCCAGTGAAATCTCCCTAAATTCCTGCAGACGCCTTCACACTTCACCTGCACCATCGGCTCTCCTGGGTCTCCGCCTGCGGCCCACACTGCAGGTTTCAGACTTGCAGGCTCCATAATCATGTGAACCAATGCCTTCTAAGAAATCTGCTTCTACATACATACATCCCATTAATTCTGTTCCTCTGGAGAATCCTGACTTATATGAGGACAGGCAAAAAGGGATCTGTCTCTTCAATGGCAGGAGGTTAGAGAGGGAGGGCTCAGAAAGTCCCAGGGACACAAGCTGCCAACAGAAGGTTTCATGGCAGGAAGCCAGGGGTCTCCAAGGAAACAATATCAGTTGGATTTAGACAAGCAAAGTGCATGCAGAGCAGGGCCTGCGGCGTCACAGTGATGGGCTCCATACATTTCTGGCAAAAAGGGGTGTACAGATGACAGGCCATCCCCGCCCACTGCTGTGCCCCTCTGCCTTCCAACAAGCAACAAGAGTGCAAAGCAAAGGGAGACAGAGACACATCCTGGTCTGCTGGGAAGAGACCTTTGGGAAGGTACATTTATGAAACGCCTGCTGTATTCCGGAAGTAGACAGGCTTGCCTTCAGACTTCAGCTCTGCCATTTAATAGCTATGTGACCTTGAACAAGGCCCTCACACATTTAAATCCATTGCTTCATCTGTAGCTGGGAGTAACAACACTAACTACACAGTCTGTAAAATGACTAATTCAAGCTTAGCGCAAAGCAGGCAGTTAAAAAGATGGGAAGCACGACTGCACTTTTTCTTTTTTAACTGGAAGCGCTGAAATTCTCAGAGATTGTTATCAAACTTTGAAAGAGACCCCAATCCACTGCAAGGTCACCGTCCCCACCCAGCAAGAGCAGCGCCCTTACCTTCTCCAGTTCTGCCTTGTGCACCGGGGAGCTTGGTGGAGGAGGACACTCTGAATCCACGGGGCCACTACAACCACTGTAGGCTTCTTTGATCACCTATAAAAAGCACAGACACTTTGTGAGTATGCCCAAAGGCAGAGATACTTAAAGGCTTGAACTGTGAGTTGTACAGACAGAGGCACATGGCGTGGTAGGGAAATTCATGGGCTCAAAGCACCTGGCTCTGAGTTCCAGCGTGCCAGGTACTCATTTGTTCACTCACCCATGCATTCATTCACCCAAAGTCTATCAACGCTGGTACTAACATAGGGCATGGAACATGCAACTACGTTTCCTGCTGGCATGGAGTTTCATTCCATGTAATTTATTTATCGCCATGAACAATAAGGGTCACCAAAAGAATGACAGCAACACGAGACCGCAGTAAGTGCCACAAAGAACAAAAGATAGTGGGTGGCTACTTTAGATCAAGAGACCAGGGGGCCTTATGCAATGATGCTGAAGGGTCCAGCCATGCGAACAACTGGCGGGAAAGGGCTCTGGGCAGCAGGAACAGCTGGTGAAAAAGCCCTGCGGTGGATGTGAAGAGTTGGGAATAACCCGGAGTGCAAACTGGCAGGACGGGAGAGGGAGAACGTGGTAGGAGATGAGGCAGGAGGCCAGTAGGAGACTTCAGGCCCAGGAGAAGACAGACCCTAGGAGCATTTCAAGGAGAGGAGGGACTGGATTCAAGAGCATTGGCTCAGGACCTAGTGCCTGGGTTTAATCCTGGCTTTAGCCTTGGACAAATCAATTAACTGCCCTGTGCTTCAGCTTCCTCATCTGAAAAGTGCAGGTGCAACAGTGCCTACCTTCTGAAGGTTAAATGCCCCAAGACAGGGCCTAAAGCATAACCAGCACTTGATTGTTAAAAGGCTGTAGAAAACACTCTAGTTGCTGTGGGAAGAAATAATTATACAGGGACAACAACAACGAAAAAGCATAGGGAAATCCATGAGAGGACATTGCTGTAGCAGTGCAGGTGGCAGCAGAGGCTGGAGTGACCCCACTGAAGACAGAAGGACAGACAGGGAGTCAGGAGGTACCCGAGGGAGAATCGCCAGGCCCAGCTGGATTGGACATGGGACTTGAGGGAAAGAACTGACTCCAAGGTGACTCCTGGATTCTTAGCAACTGGGTGGTGCTATTTACTCAGAGGAAGACTGGACAGAGAAATGGGCTGGGTGGAGAGAAGCCAGTTTGAAGTCAACAGCAAACTTCTAGTCAGTGCTAGAAATAAACTGGGAGCCACTGGCAAAAGGATGATGCTCACAGCCTTGGTCTGGATGAGTTTACCAGGGAAGATGGCAAGACAGAGAAGAACAGAGATCAGGGAGAAGGACCTGGAGCCCGTTGGCGTCAAGGAGTAGAGTTAAAGGAGAGAAGCTGGTAAAAGATGCTGAGCTGGAAGGCACGGGAAAGCAGGCAGAAAACCAGGAGAGCACAGTCTCCAAGGAGAGGGAGAAGAGAGCTCCACGGAGGGAGATGAGCCGAGAGAGAGAGAGACAGCCGTGACTCCCTAAGGGAAGCGGAGAGACTAGGAGTGGGGGAGGAGGAGATGAGCAAAGGAAGGCGTTTCCAAAGTGTTCCTTCTCCTGCTGAAGGATGGTTCCATTTTAATGAAAGGCAGAGTGAGGATGTGGAGGGAAGAGGGAGGAGGCAGAGAGGCTAGCACATCCTGTCTGACAGAGTCCACTTTCTCAGTAAGACTATCTGTTACCAGGCCAGGCGCAGTGGCTCACACCTGTAATCCCAATGCTTTGGGAGGCTGAGGTGGGCGGATCACCAGAGGTCGGGAGCTCAATACCAGCCTGACCAACATGGAGAAGCCCCATCTCTACTAAAAATACAAAATTAGCCGGGTGTGGTGGTACACGCCTGTAATCCCAGCAACTCAGGAGGCTGAGGCAGAAGAATCTCTTGAACCCAGGAGGCAGAGGTTGCGGTGAGCCGAGATCGCACCACTGCACTCCAGCCTGGGCGACAAGAGTGAAACTCCATCTCCAAAAATATATATATACATATATCTGTTACCAGCTGTGTGGCCTTGGGGGAAAGTATTTAATCTCTCAGAGCTTCAGTTTCCTCCCCAGCGAGGGAATAAGTGTGAAGATTACCTGTCTTGCAGGACTATGGTTAAACTGAGACAGTGAGATCCGCTATGGAAGAAGTCTAAGCCAGCATGTGGCACGTGTACATTCAAACCATGGAAGCAACACCGTCATTACTGTCAGCATTTTGATGACCTATGATAAGAGCTCAGAAAATGATTCTGGACTAGACTTCCAGATGCAGGGATGGTGAGCCTGCAGGACAGGATTCCGTGCACGAGGGCTTTCCCAGCCGCCCCCTACATGCAGTCACCACATGTTTCTCCAACCCCTACTGAGCTCATCAGCAACCAGGCCCACTGTGATCACGGGGGACGTGCAGCAAATAAGACAGACAAGGTTCCAGCACTTGCAAAACTTACATTCTTAAAACTGAAAAGTTAGCAGGCAAAATTTTCAAAATGTCTTCTATTCTTTTTAGGACTAAGCTGCAATTTCAGTTAAACTCAAGCTTCTTCTGGGCAAAAAAGAAACACCAAAGTCCCAGATATGTGTGTAGTAATTTTGCAATTGGGCCTCCACAGACAGATCCAAATTCCCTCAGCTTGTGCTGGTGCTGGGATTAAATCCAAGGCCTGACAAGAGACCAGGATAGTGTTTCCAGCCATTTTGCTCCTCAGCTGTTTTATGAAAAAACAACAGAGTGATGTCCACAGTTGAGACTACAAAAGAGAGAAAGAAAATGAAAGAAGAAACCCAGAGAGCTCGCTGTCATATCTCCTCTTTGCTAATGCCGAGGTGTGGAAGCATGAGCAAACCTGAACCTCAATGCAGTGATCTGTGTGTCTGATCTCTCTTGTTTCTCTCGCTTTCATGCTAATTGCTTTTTTGGTCTTTACTCCCTCACCTACCCTAAGGTGTTTATTAAGTCTCCAAATGACAAGGCAAATTTTTATTTGATTTGAGGACAAGACTTTCTTTTCACTAGGGAAGGCATGTTCACGCAATGGAAAACTCCTGAGCTTCTACGTCAAACCCACCTGGGTTTAAACCCCAGGTGGACCACTTGCTGTTTATGTGAAGCTGAGCAATTCTCAGAGCCTTGCTTCCTTCCTCAATAACACGCACAAAATAATACCTCAGGGGGTCATTGTGAAAACTAAACGTTAAAACAAATGTGAAGTATCCAGCCCAGTATTTCTCCCCTAACAGGCATTAAGGAAACCTGAACTCTCCCCACGATTATATTTAATAGTGTTAAATAAATGAAAATGTGCTTCCATTATACAAACGCACCTGACATGCTCTTCATTTTACACTAAAAGGCTGTACCCCATAAAACATAACCTGCCAAAACCCATGATCTCTGGCAAATGTTTTTATTCAAAAAAAACGGTTGTCTTCTTTCTTTTTCTTTTTTCTTTTTTTTTTTTTTTTGAGACAGAGTCTCGCTCTGTCGCCCAGGCTGGAGTGCAGTGGCACGATCTCGGCTCACTGCAAGCTCCGCCTCCTGGGTTCATGCCATTCTCCTGCCTCAGCCTCCTGAGTAGCTGGGACTATAGGCGCCCGCCACTGCGCCCGGCTAATTTTTTTTTTTTTTTGTATTTTTAGTAGAGACGGGGTTTCACCGTGTTAGCCAGGATGGTCTTGAACTCCGGACCTTGTGATCCGCCCGCATCGGCCTCCCAAAGTGCTGGGATTACAGGCGTGAGCCACTGCGCCCGGCCCCTCTTTCTTTTTTTTTTTCAACAGGGGAACTTCTTTGGCAGCACTACTCCAATTATTCCCAGCAGCCTCTTGGGTAGGGTGGAGGGGCTGGCTGTGTGAATGGTGTCTTCTGGAGGAGCTGTGCTTTTTTTTATATAGCTAAATAGAACTCATCTTTCAAGATTCAGCTGAGGTCTCCCATCTTCAGGAAGCCTGCTCTGGCCCTTCTGTGTGGTCCATAAGGCAGGGCTCCCCCTCCACACATGCCCACAGAGGCCTGTGTCTCCTACTAAGTTGTGCTCGTGTTCATGGGAGGGGCTGGGCCTTGCTTTTGTCACTGTTCCCAATGTCTACTTCGAAACAGCAACCAAAAGTTTGATTAAAGGGAAAACAATGAGGGAATGAGGAAAGAAACTGGAATTAAGATTTCTATGAAGAAAAAAAAGAAGGAAAGAAAAACAGAAGGAAAGAAACGTAGGCCATCACTAAAATAAGAAGAGCCTCATGACCAAGCTTCCCCAGTCCTCGGCACTGGTTTCTAAAATCCTCAAGAGGAAAAAGTGTTGTTTTGTGTGTTTTTTAAAGGAAAGTAGATAAAAGCCATCTGGCACATACGCACTTCCCCACTCAGCCCTACCCTAACACACACACCCTGGCTAAGCTCCTGGCAGACTCGCCTGGTCCCTGGAGTGTCCCCATCCCTCTCCTGTTCCCATCAGCTCCGACTTTCTAGCAGACAGACGACGCTGCCCAGCATCAAAGCACCTCACGTAATCGCCTTTCCAAGAAGCTTTCCTGGTACACCCAACCATGTAATCTGAATGCTTAGAATGGGGAACACAGACAAGCCAGCCACGTTTGCTCTCTAATCATTAACTTCTCTCCCAGCTAGAACTCACATTGCCCCAGGAAAATAACAGCATCTCCAACAGTGCTTGGGAGGATCGCATTCAGCAACCCAGAGCAGGCCCAGGATCAACCTGGTGCCCAGCAAGGGGGTGGCTCATGGCATCCCAGCTTCGTGGGACTCTCTTCCCCCAGGCATAATAACTATGTCCAAGGTACGAAGAAAGGCATTGCTAAAAACATGCATCAGCATAAACCAGTCTTTATTCCCACAAAGTTTTTCAACCAGTCGGAGAGGTCAGGTTATTTTCATGAAACTGTCTTTCTACTTTGGATCTCTGTTGATTGCCAAGCTGCACCTGCAGAGTTTAGTCAGAAGTAATAAGTAAAGCACTGATCACTCCAATTCTTTGAACAGCTATAAATGAGGCTTCTATTAATACATTTCTACTTGAAGAGCCATGTCCTATGAGGTTCAATGTGTATTTAAGAGAACTGGATCCAAATTCAGAATCGCAAATCCTCCAAAAAAACAAATTGTTATATATTTTGTGGTATTTTGTTTGCTTTTAACTTGAGCCCTCGACTCCAGAAACACAATCTCTGCACATTTTTTAAGGAAATCTGACCACTCCGTTTCTGGGAATATTGGCTCTTGTCTTCTGTTTGACCCCTACACAAAGGCTCATGTTTTCAGCATTTGTGTACACACACACACACACACAGAGACAGTCAGTTAATTCTGTCAAGAACCACTAGTAATGGAAATTGGAGACAGAGAGCAGAAACAAATTTGGCAGTAATTCTTGCACGAGTATGTGCAAAGTCAAGCACTGGTTAAACACAGTTCTCATGGTTTTTTTAGACTTGACAAAGGGCGTGTGCAACTTCATTAAAGATTTTTAATGGTTACATTAAAATTACGTTTCACAGAAAGTCAAATCTCACATGTTCTCACTCATGTGGGTGCTAAATAATGCCTACACGTGAATGGAGAGTGGAGAATGACAGCAATGGAGGCCGGGAAGGCTGAGGGAACGGGAGGAAGGGGGATGGCGAGAAATTGGTTAATGGGCACTGAGGGAATGGGAGGAAGGATGGTGAGGAACTGGTGAAGGGTACAGTGTACATTATTTGGGTGATGGATACCCTGAAATCTCTGATTTGACCACTATGCAATCTATGAATATAAATTTATACAGATCTTTTCCAAAGCTGTGTTTCAAAAGACTGAAAGTCTGGTTCATTAGTACTGAACAATATGGGATAACAGCAGTTTATATTAATAAAAGACTTGGCATTTGTATTATAAAACAATTCATGTTAGAGACTTGTTAACCCTAAGGGGTAATACAAATATTATCATTCATATTTTCACTGTTTATTATAGTTCTAAGAATGCATTTATATCATGATTTCATTCTACCCCTTTGAAAATTCTGATGATTATTTCCACTTGATAGATAAACGGGAAAGGGTTTATTGCCCCAAAATATCATAACGAGTTAATGGTATTCCAGGAATGTACCCTATGCTTCCCGACTCTCACCCACCTTTCCATCACTCTAGCGCACTACCTTCTGGCTCACCAGGGGTTGTTCCTTTTATGCGGCAGTTCTTTAGTTTTTAAAAAAAATCTACCTCAGTCACCAAGACGTGGCCTTTACAAGGTGAAATAAAGAGCTATAACAACACTGACTTCTTTCAAATTAAAAACAGATAATTTTAAAGACATCAACTATTTGGAAAGTAAGCACTATATTCCCAAATAAACCATTAGTCAAAGAAGAAATCAAGACAGAAATTAGAAAATATTTTGAGCTGAATAATAAAAGTACAAAATATCAAAACGTAGAGGGTGCCGTTAACACTGTGTGTAGAATGAGACATGTAGCCTTCAATGCATGCATAAGGAAAAAAGGCTAAAAACTCAATTATCTAAGTGTACGCTTCAGGAAGTTGCGATAATTACAGCAAATTAAGCTAAAAAAAAGTAGAAGCAAAATAATAAAGAAAAAGAACTACATAAAGTAGAAAATAATCACACTACAGGAAAAAAAATTAACATAGCCCAGAAAGATATTTTTTGAGAGAACTAATAAAATTGATAAACTTCTGGCAAGACTGTGAAGAAGAAAAGGCAGCAGGCACAGGGCATTTTTACTCCAGTTACCACACAGAAGAGCATGCAAGACCATCACTCCCACCCTGACAAATAAAACAAGTGGATATGCTTAAAAAAAAAAAAAAAAGTCCTAGTACGTCTGAACCGTTCTGAGCAATGAAGATGCAAAAAACCTACATGAACTAAATCCTAAAAGTGAAGGCTCCTTTGCAGGAAAAAAGTGACCCACAGGCCCCCTTCTAACTGGTAGAATGGTGGGTGAAGGGGGAACCCACCATATTTGGGACAGGGAAGAAGCCAGCCAAGTTCTCACTGTGTGGGCTGGCATACCTGTTGACAATTCAAGGTGCCCCGGTGACAGAATGAGTCCACAGTCACCTGCCAACTCTCTCCAAGGTCTTTACTGGGTATGCAGGTACAGAACAGAAGCTGGAGGCAAGGAAACAGAGTTTGGAGAGTCCCCACCCCACCCCGCCGCCCCCAGAGGCACAGCCCTTCTCCCAGGTGCAAGGCAGTTGCCCTACAGGGGAAGGCAGGGAAGCAGAGAGACGCCCCTCCCAGGAGGCCCAGGCTTCCCAGAGCATCCACAGCTGGAGACAGAGCACAGCACAGAGGGATTTCGCCCAAGGCACAAAAAGCCAGAGGCAAGACTGCAGAGAAAAGAGACCACTTAGCAAGTGAAAAAGCTGGCCGGTAGGCCAAAAACAAAAACAAAATCAAGCTGGTTTAGAAAGCTGGCACTTGTCTGTAGCACACAAAAGAGATCTTCAGATTTTCACCACGGGTCTTGGGTCCTGGGCCATGCCATGCCAACGACAGGAAACTCCTGATCCAACACGTCAATGGTTTGGAAGGCAGTAGGGGAGTGAGAGTGAGGCAAGGTGAAGCTGCAACAACGTGCAGCCCCTCCCCACCTGCAGGAGAGCCAGATACAGGCTGCCAGTGGGGAGCAGGGTAGGAGGCGGGCACACCCTTCTCCAGGGAAATAGGACTCTTGTCAGTCTCTGCTGTTCTTCTACACAAAACGCATGGAATGTCATGGAAACTCCTGAGACAAATTCAACAGAGGCAGCCCAAGAGCTGGGCCCAATATTGGAATGACCAAAGATGTTAAAATAACTAAAATAAAACATGCTGAAATAGCTCATGAAAAGGCAGGCGACATAAAGAGATGGAGAACTTCAGCAGAGATGGAAACGATTTAAAAAAGAAAGAAAGAAATGCCAGAAGTGAAAAATGGATCTCAGAAAAGATGACGTCATCAGCTGGGCTGAAGAGCCCACAGGAGAGAAGAGGACCCGTAAGCCCGAGTACAGGTAAATAGAAGCGTCCACCCAAGCTGAGGCACGGAAGGAGTGAAGGAAACCACAACGGAGTATCCACAATCTACGGGAAGTATCAGAGGACCCAACATACCTACAGATGCAACTTCAAAAGGAGAGGAGAGGCCGGGCACGGTGGCTCATGCCTGTCATCCCAGCACTTTGGGAGGCTGAGGCAGGCGGATCACCTGAGGTCAGGAGTTCGAGACCAGCCTGACCAACATAGAGAAACCCCGTCTCTACTAAAAATACAAAATTAGCTGCAGGTGGTGGCACACGCCTGTAATCCCAGCTACTTGGGAGGCTGAGGCAGGAGAATCGCTTGAACCCGGGAGGTGGAGGTTGCGGTGAGCAGAGATAGTGCCATTGCACTCCAGCATGAACAAGAGTGAAACTCTGTCTCCAAAAAAAAAAAAAAAAAAAAAGGGAGAGGAGAGAAAAATGAGGCAAGAGAGGACGGCCAAAAGCTTCCCCAAGTGAAGCTTTTGAGAGACACCAACCCATAGAACAAAGAAGCACAACCAACCCTGAGAAAGAGAAAAACCCACACCACCGCACTGAGACACATCGCAGTCAGCTGCTGAAAACCAGATGTGGAGAACAAATCTTAAGAGGAGGAAGGCGGGAAAGGACACTCCACACCCGGAGGACCAATGGGCACAAAGGGCGGGTGACGTCTCATCCGAGCGAGGGAGAAATGAAGACCCTTCCAGACAGTCAAGGCTCCGAGAGTTGACTTCCAGAAGATTCGCTGTATAAAAAAAGGTTTCTTAAAATTTTGTTTTAATAACTTCTTTGGGGTAAAAGGAAATGAAAGTGACTGAACACCCAAATCTTCAGGAGGAAATGAAGGGCATGTGGAAGGTGAATTCAGCCCGGTGAATATTAAAGACGTGGCTTCAAATGTGGGTGTCCACAGGATTCAGGTTCTGCAAGGACAATGGATACAGTAAACATATTGTGGTTCTTCCTTGAGAACTCTGGCAAAGCCACTATGGTACCTGCACAGCACATTAAAGCCACTCTGTGTTCACCTAGGGCTGCTTGAAACCACAAGATGCTAAGAAATCCCTATAGCGTCGCCCCCACGCCCCCCGGCTGGCTATGTGAACTTGGGATCCACCAGCACCAGGACTCTGCTACGTCCTGATGAGAAAAGGAAAGCAGCATTTTCAAAACTGCTTAAGATGGTTGCCTTAGGGTGTTTTGGTTTATTTTGAAATTCGAGACAGCAGCTTATTCACCATGTGGTTTCTTCTTTCAGCAGACACAGGAAGAGTCTGTCTCTCAGCCTCCCCCACAGTTTGGCCAAAGGAGTGTGGGAAGCGGTGATGTAAGTCCAGTTCTTGCCCCCAGAAACATCCTGCTGTCATCAGCTATCCGGCCTGTTCTCTGCAGGCGTATGCGGAGCCTAATGAGATGCAGAGGTGGTGGCAGAGGAAAAGCAACAGTGGTAAGAGCAGCTTTTACTTATGTAAGGCTCATGACATGCTTTCTGCCATTGTGAACACTCTGTCTTAGCATCTCGTCCTCACAATAGCTCTAGAAAGCAGATACCATTATTATACCCACCTTTACAGATGAAGAAACAGAGGCACTGAGAAGTCACATAGCTTGTCCAAGAAACACAGTGCCTAACAGCTAGGGCTCAGGTCATAGTCCCAGGAGTCTGACTCCAGTCTGTGCTCTACCTATACCGTCTGAAATGGTTTAGCTGTGTCCCCACCCAAGTCTCATCTTGAATTGTAGTTCCCATAATCCCCATGTCTCATGGGAGGGACCCAGTGGGAGGTAATTGAATCATGGGGGCGGTTACCTTCATGCTGTTCTCGTGATAGTTACTGAGCTCTCAGGAGATCTGATGCTTTTATAAGGGGCTTTCCCCTCTTTTGCTCCGCACTTCTCTCCTGCTGCCATGTGAAGAAGGACGTGTTTGCTTCCCCTTCTGCCAAGATTGTAAGTTTCCCAAGGCCTCCCCAGCCATGTGGAACTGTGAGTCAATGTAACCTCTTTCCTTTATAAATTACCCAGTCTAAGGTATTTCTTCATAGCGGCATGAGAAGACTAATACACTATCTCTCCACACAATACTGGCTCCCAAGTCCTTTTCCTGGCTGTGTTATATTATGCTGAACTTAAGAAGCAATTATAAAAATCAAGTAAAACTTTATTCAAAGTGGTTGTGGGATGCCATTTACCCTAACTGCCTATCTGACTACAAAAAGACTTATTTTCTCTGATATCCTACCACTTCCCTGAGGCCTCCTCTTAAAAGGAAATGGGGGTGCTGAGCAAGGGTAGTTATTACCAAACCTGGCTTTGCCTCAGTCATCTGAGAACTCCTTAAAAAGAGAATTATAAGCAAAGAATACAGACAAAAACAGCAAAGGATATAAACACAGTTCACAGAAATACTGATACAACTGTAGGCTCTTAAACCCTATAAAAAATACTCAGTGTCATTCACAATAAGAGGAGTGCAGATTACAACTAGACTGAGATACCATCCTTCCACATCAGACTAGCAAAAACTCACAAGTTGGCTAACACACTCTATTGGCAAGGCTACAGGAAGAAAAGGCACTCTGATATATTGTTGGTGGGAGGGAAAATTGGTAAACCTCCTAGGAGAGTGCCTTAGCTATACATCAAAATTATAATACGAATGCTGATAACCTTCATGGAAGTGATTACTCTTTCTGAGAATTTAGGCTACAGACCAGCAAAAGTGTGAGATGAGATAAGCATAAGGTTATCTAATACAGAATTGTCTGTAATATCAAAAGACTGAAAGCAACCCAATGTCCATAAATGGGAGACAGACTATCTTTTTGAAGTATGGTCTATTCATACAATAAAATGTTATAGCCTGTAATAAAGAAAGAGGAAGTGCTCTATTCTCTAAATTGCAAAAATCTCCAGGATACTTTGTTTAGGTGGAAAAAAAAAAACAAGGTCCAAAATGCTGCACCCTTTCTATGGGGCGGGGCGAGGGGGAAGCAGATGAAATCTGCATTGCTATTTGCTTGCCTATGTACAAGGAAACTCTGAAAGAATACATACAAAATAGTAACTCTCCTGCACCGCTGGGAGAAGGGAATTGTACAAATAATCTTGGAAGACAATCTGGCAGAGTTGGTGATGCTGAAGGTGTGCACATACTAAATAAGGCAATTCCAATGTAACAGGAGCGTCCTAGAGAAGACAAGAAACGCGAGGCTGTGGGACATGTGCTGGAAGACCTCACGGCACCTCGGCCTGCAGTAGCAACAGCCCGTGAGCACAAAAAGTGGCCATCAGAAGCAGATAATTCTGAGTGAGAAAAAACAGCTGCAGGGTTTGTGGAGTTTGAAGCCATTTACACAGAAATTCTAAAACATGAATAAAGTATCATTTACCTTGAATGGTTATATACACATATAAGTGAAAGGTTTTATTATTATTATTATTATTTATCTTTAGAGACAAGGTCTCATTCTGTCACCCAGGCTGGAGTGCAGTGGCCCAATCACAGCTCACTGAAACCTCAAACTCCTGGGGCTCCAGCGATCCTCCTGCCTCTGCCCCTCAAGAAGCTGGGACTATAGGCTATGCCACCATGCTCAGATAATTTTTTAATGTTTTATAGAGATAGCCTCTTGCTATTTTTCCCAGGCTGGTCTTGAACTCCTGGCCTCAAGTGATCCTCCCGCCTTGCCCTCCCAAAGCACTGGGATTACAGAAGTGAAAGTATTTTTTTAAAAGCATACCAAGATAATAATAAAGACCAAATTCAGATAAAAGTCGCCTTTGGGAAGGGAGAGAGACTTAAATAGGGGAGGCATGTTTCAATTCTATCTGTAGCATTTTAGACCTTAAAAGGATATAAAAATAATACAAAGTAAAAAGGGAAAAAAAGATTCTTAAGTCCCTAATAAATCTGAATCACTGGGAATCAATGTTTTTTACATCTCTAAGTGTTTCTGATCTAATGACAGTATCTGGAAGAAACTACACTAGCCCATCTCAAGTCTCTGCTGGCCCAAGATAATTCTGTAACTGCTTGAAACTAGTTTTGTCATCTGACTTTCCTTTCTAATCAAGACTTCTTAGATTCCTGTACCATTATATGTACTGGAAGTAACATCACAGACATGAAAAATAGAGTAACTGAACAATTTAAACTCTTTAGAAAAGATACTTTACCCCGTATTATTTACTTTCCTTTTAAGAAAAATCAGCAAATGCTAAAAAAAAAAAAAAAAAATTCTTGCAATTAACTTCCGTTCATAAATGGAGTCATCATTCTATAATTAGCTAAGTGCCTCTGATCTATAAGTAGCTCCCATCTGGTGAAACACGATACAAGATTATTTCACCCCATCAGCGTCTGACATCTTGAGAAAGTTTTGTTTTTACTGGTCTGTTTGTCAGCGCACTGTCGGCTCTACGCCCTCTCCCAGTGACACTCCAGGATGACTTCATGTCAGACCAGCACCAGCAAGAAGGGGGCTGCTCTTCAGTGTGCAGGAAATACTTAACTAACTGTAAGGACAGAGGAGAAAAAGAAGAAAGCTGAAATTTCAGAGCGGCCTTTTTTGGGTTTCCACTGAGGAAGAGCTAAGCACAGAACGCAGAAGGATGGGTACAGGTGACCAAAAGCATGGGATCGGGTGAAGAAAACAGAATCATACAGAAAGCTTCACACTGAATTCCATAATTGTCGTTCCCTCCTTACGGAAGGGATGGCACTATGGTCATAGAAATGTGGAATAAAAGAGGGAACGGCAAACTGTCAGATGGCCCAACACAGTGAGAATGAAATGTGAAGCCAGGAAACCCTGACTTAGACCCCCTGCTTGATCGCTATGGATCATGGTAGCACTTCGCCCACCTGAGACTCAGGCTGTCAGCTGACAAATGAAACTACACACGCCTGCTTTGAGGTTAAGAAGCAATGATGGCAGAGAAGTCCCTTGTGAGTGTAAAGGGCTTTAGTGAAATTGGTAATGGTGGTGGCTGATGTATAACATATTAAAGTTCCATGCTGGGAAGGCTAAGTAAGCTCGACAGTAGAAACTTCCAATCACAGGACTTCCAGAAGGATCATCTGGAGGGGAAAAAAGCTCTCCTGAATCTCCCGTATGATACAGATGTGGGAAGAGCCTCAGCCACTGCCAATAACATGAAAAAAAAAAAGCATCTGTGTGTCCTGAGCAGCTGGCAGACAGCGGTGGGAGCCACTGCTCTTGTCATGGGGTCAGAACCACATGCTTTCCTGCGGATGACAGCGAAAGAGACTGAAGGTTTGATGGAGGGAGACCTGTGTAGTATAAGACCTTCTGCTATGAAGTGTTCTACCAGGTTTTCCCACCCCACTCCTGAGCCCTTTTCTCACAACAGGTACTTGCCGGCAACGATGGACTAGGTGGGTTGGGCCAATCTTCCTGATGAAGACAATTAGAAAAGCAAGATAACCGTCACTCTTCACAGAACTAGAAAAAACAATCCTAAAATTCATATGTTAAAAAAAAAAAAAGAGCCCACATAGCCAAAGCAGGACTAAGCAAAAAGAACAAACAAAGGAAGGCATCACATTACCTGATTTCAAACTACAGTATAAGGCCATAGTCATCAAAACAAAACAGCATGGTACTGGTATAAAAATAGGCAAATAGGCCTAGGGAACAGAATAGAGAACCCAAATACTTACAGTCAACTGACCTTCAACAAAGCAAACAAAAACATAAAGTGGGGAAAAGACACCCTTTTCAACAAATGGTGCTGGGATAATTGGCTAGCCTCATGTAGGAGAATGAAACTGGATCCTCATCTCTCACCTTGTACAAAAACCAACTCAAGATGGATGAACGACTTAAACCTAAGACCTGAAACTATAAAAATTCTAGAAGATAACATCAGAAAAACCCTTCTAGACATTGGCTTAGGCAAGGACTTCATGACCAAGAACACAAAAGCAAATGTGATAAAAACAAAGTTAAATAGCTGGGACTTAATTAAACTAAGGAGCTTTTTCATGGCAAAACCAGTCAGCAGAGTAAACAGACAACCCACAGAGTGAGAGAAAACCTTCACAATCTATATATCCCACAAAGGACTAATATCCAGAATCTACAACGAACTCAAACAAATTAGCAACAAGAAACCAAACAATCCCATCAAAAGTGGGCTAAGGACATGAACAGACAATTCTCAAAAGAAGTTATAGAAATGGCCAACAAACATACAAAAAAATGCTCAATATCACCAATGATCAGGGAAAGCAAATCAAAACCACAATGTGATACCACCTTACTCCTGCAAGAACGACCAGAATCAAAAAATAGTAGATGTTGGTGTGGATGCGGTGAACAGGGAACACTTCTACACTGCTGGTGGGAATGTAAACTAGTACAACCACTATGGAAAACAGTGTGGAGATGTCTTTTTTTTTTTTTTTTTTAGATGGAGTCTTGCCCTGTCACCCAGGCTGGAGTGCAGTGGTGCAATCTTGGCTCACTGCAACCTCCTCCTCTCAGGTTCAAGCAATTCTCCTGCCTCAGCCACCCAAGCAGCTGGGACTACAGGCACGTGCCACCATGCCTGGCTAGTTTTTTGTATTTTTAGTAGACACAGGGTTTCACCGTGTTATCCAGGATAGTCCCGATCTCCTGACCTTGTGATCTGCCTGCCTCGGCCTCCCAAAGTGCTGGGATTACAGGCACAAGCCACTGCGCCCGACCTGGAGGTTTCTTAAAATAATTAAAAGTAGAAGCACCATTCAATCAGGCAATCCCACTACTGGGTGTCTACCCAGAGGAAAAGAAGGCATTATAAAAAAAATACACTTGCACACACATGTTTATAACAGCACAATCCACAATTGCAAAAATGTGGAACCAACCCAAATGCCCATCAATCAACAAGTTGATAAAGAAACTGTGGCATACACACACACACACACACACACACACACACACACACATATATACAATGGAATACTACTCAGCCATAAAAAGGAATACATTAATGGCATTTGCAGCAACCTGGATGAGATTGGAGACTATTATTCTAAGTGAAGTAACTCAGGAATGGAAAACCAAACATTGTATGTTCTCACTCATAAGTGGGAGCTAAGCTATGAGGATGCAAAGGCATAAGAATGACACAGTGGACTGTGGGGAATGACACAATAGACTTTGGGGATTCAGGGAAAAAGGGTGGGAAGGAGGTAAGGGATAAAAGACTACCAACTGGGTGCAGTGTATACTGCTTCGCTGTTGGGTGCACCAAAATCTCACGAATCAACACTAAAGAACTTACTCATGTCACCAAACACCACCTGTTCCCCAATAACCTATGGAAATTTAAAAAAAATTTTTTTCAAAAAAAAGCAAGATAAAATAGAGGAAGCATCTTTCCGAAAGCATAAGGCAGCTACTATGATAGTAAGCAAGGCCTGGGCCAAAATCCAGAAGAAGATGGAAATTCAGAAGGGAAGCCTGGTGGCTGGGACTGCCTTGCTACCCCAAGGGGGCAGCTGAGGGGCAAGGCAGAACCTCCAATGGCTCAGTGGGAAGAGAGATCCAAGCTGTAGTCCAGGGCATGCCAAAGAGGGGGTCCCTGGCAAAATACCCATAAGCAGGATGGAGACCCCAACGGAATGTAACTTGGAGTTAAGAGTGAACTGAAACAAATATAAACCTGCCTTTGAATGGACTGCGGGTGGCCTTAAGGTTACCTGGGTGGCTCTTGAATGGACTGCGGGCAGCCTTAAGGTTACCTGGGTGGCTCTTGAATGGACTGCGGGCTGCCTTAAAGTTACCTGGGTGGCTCTTGAATGGACTGCGGGCTGCCTTACAGTTACCTGGGTGGCTCCTGAATGGACTGTGGGCTGCCTTAAGGTTACCTGGGTGGCTCTTGAATGGACTGCGGGCTGCCTTAAGGTTACCTGGGTGGCTCTTGAATGGACTGCGGGCGGCCTTAAGGTTACCTGGGTGGCTCTTGAATGGACTGCGGGCTGCCTTAAGGTTACCTGGGTGGCTCTTGAATGGACTGCGGGCTGCCTTAAGGTTACCTGGGTGGCTCTTGAATGGACTGCGGGCGGCCTTAAGGTTACCTGGGTGGCTCTTGAATGGACTGTGGGCTGCCTTAAGGTTACCTGGGTGGCTCTTGAATGGACTGCGGGCGGCCTCAAGGTTACCTGGGTGGCTCTTGAATGGACTGTGGGCTGTCTTGAGGTTACCTGGGTGGCTCTTGAATGGACTGCGGGCTGCCTTACAGTTACCTGGGTGGCTCTTGAATGGACTGTGGGCTGCCTTAAGGTTACCTGGGTGGCTCTTGAATGGACTGCGGGCTGCCTTAAGGTTACCTGGGTGGCTCTTGAATGGACTGCGGGCTGCCTTAAGGTTACCTGGGTGGCTCTTGAATGGACTGCGGGCTGCCTTAAGGTTACCTGGGTGGCTCTTGAATGGACTGCGGGCTGCCTTAAGGTTACCTGGGTGGCTCTTGAATGGACTGCGGGCTGCCTTAAGGTTACCTGGGTGGCTCTTGAATGGACTGCGGGCGGCCTTAAGGTTACCTGGGTGGCTCTTGAATGGACTGCGGGCTGCCTTAAGGTTACCTGGGTGGCTCTTGAATGGACTGCGGGCGGCCTCAAGGTTACCTGGGTGGCTCTTGAATGGACTGTGGGCTGTCTTGAGGTTACCTGGGTGGCTCTTGAATGGACTGAGGGCTGCCTTAAGGTTACCTGGGTGGCTGAAAACCTCAAACCCTGAATTGAGAATAAACTAATTTTGGAGCGCTAACACCCCCAAGTGTGCGGGAGAGGCAAGGGAAAATGCTCCTTGGTAGTGGAAAGCAGAGTTCTAGGAATCAAGTTATTTCCATAGGAACAACTGGGGACCCCCGTGAAAAAGAATGAAGTTGGACCCCTACTTCACAGTGTATGCAAAAAATTAAATCAAAGTGGATCAAAAATCTAAATGTAAGAGCTAACACTGTAAACTTCTCAGAATAAAATACACATGTAAACCTTCAGGACCCTGGATCCAAGTAATCAGTTCTTACATATGACCCAAGAAGCAATAAAGAGCAAGGAAGAACTGAAATCTGCTTCAACATGGACGGACCTTGAAAACACGACGCTAAATGAAAGAAGCCAGCCACGAAAGCCCAAGTACTGTAAGAGCCACTTCTGTGAAATGCTGACAACAGGCAGCTCTACGGAGACAGAAAGCAGGTAAGTGGCTGCCTAAGAAGAACAGGGGTGGTGGCAAAAGGGCAATGACTGCTAATGGGTATGGCGTTCTTTGTTTTTGAGACAGGGTCTCGCTCCTATCACCCAGGCTGGAGTACAGTGGCGCAGTCACAACTCACTGCAGCCTCAACCTCCCAGGCTCAGGTGATTCTCCCACCTCAGTCTCCAGAGTAGCTGGGACTACAGGAACGTGTCACCATGCCTGGCTGATTTTCTGTATCTTTTAGCAGAGACAGGGTTTCTGCATGTTGTCTAGGCTGGTCTCAATCTCCCAGGCTCAAGCTATCGGCCCACCTTGGCTCCCAAAGTGCTGGGATTACAGGCATGAGCCGCTGCGCCCAGCCAGTACAGTGTTCTTTTTGGAGCGACGAAATTCAGCATCTAGACTATGGTGATGGCTGCACAACTCAGTGAATATACCAAAAAAAAAAACACAAACCACTGAATTGGACTTGAAAAGGGTGAATTTATGGTATGTGAATTATCCCTCAATAAAGCTGTTATAAAAAAAGATTTCAATAATTTTTCCCCTAATATAATGCCTAGCGTGAACTTGAGATAACCTGGCACAAGGATGACAAAAATGACATGAACAAGTACAGCACAACAGACAACAGAACCAGGTTCAAACTCCACCAAAACCACTGTCAAACCACCATGCTGATGACATTTATGAAGATAAACGTCAAGTAAACGTTTCTAAAAGAAATTTAACAATGTACAAATAGTATTTCCAGCCTGAAGAAGAAACAACTAGAAATTCTAGATACAAGCCAAAATGAACTCTAAAACAAAAACAAACCAAAAAGATTAGAGACTCTAGGACTGAACACTACTGCCATGGACGGAATGTGTTCCCCCAAATTCATATCCTGAAATCCTAACCCTCAAGAGGATGGTGTTATGACGCAGAACCTCTGGGAGGTGACTAGGTCATGAGGGCAGAGCCCCCATGAATGGGATTGGTACCCTTATAAAAGAGGCCCCAGAGACCTGCCTTGTCCCTTCCGCCACATGAGGACACAGATGGAAGATGCCATCTGTGAACCAGGAAGCAGGCCCTCACCAGACACTGAATAGAACGGTCCCTTGATCTTGGACTTCTCAGACTCCAGAACCGTGAGAAATACATTTGTTATAAATAAGCCACTCAGTTTATCATATTTCATCAGAGCAATCCAAGTAGACTAAGACAACTACCATCACCAAAATTAAGAACCCAGTGAACAGGAACACATTTAATAGCAGATTAGAAGCAGCCAAAGACAGAAATAATGGGCTGGAAAGGAACAAGAAAAATAAACCAGACTAAAGAAGAAAAAAGAATGGTTAGGGCTGGACACGATGGCTCACACTTGTAATCCCAGCACTTTGGGAGGCCAAGGTGGGCGGATCACTTGAGCTCATGAGTTTGAGACCAGCCTGGGCCACATGGAGAAATGCTGTCTCTAGAAAAGATACAAAAACTAGCCAGGAATGGTGGCATGTCATGCGAGCTAACTTGGGAGGCTGAGGTGGGAGGATCGATTGAGCCCAGGAGGCAGAGGTTGCAGTGAACCACGATCATACCGCTACATTCCAGCCTGGGCAACAGAGCCAAGCCTTGTTTCAACAAACAAAGAAAAAAGGTTGGTAAATACAAAAAGAAACCAGAAGTAAATATAGTGAGAAAGTCTAACATATATTTAAATGTAGTCTCAGGGAAGAAGGAGAAATGGGGAAAAGCTGTATTTTAAGAAAATGGCTGAAAAAATTTTCCCAAACTTAGAAAGATAAAAATCCACAAGATTTCAGAAGCCCAGCCAATCCCAACCAGAATAAAATTTAAAAAGAATTCATATGCAGACACAATAAAGTGACACTGTGGAAAATAAAAGAGAAAGTCGTCGAAGCAGCCTACAAACAGAGACAAGCTGCCTTTTAAAGATAAGAGTGAAAGTGACGCGGGGTTTCTGATTAACCTCCATGTCATCAGAATATTTAGCTATTAAAGACAAAACTCTTTGGGTGAATCCATCTTGCCTATGCTTGAACAAAATTAAAATTAAAATTAAAATTAAAATGGATCTCAGAAAGGCATGTGGAACTGAAATGGCTGTGAAACACAGCAGACAACCTACCTTCAGCCACTGCTCGGCCTGTTCCTTGCTCTGGACGGCGAGAACAAGCGGGTCCGTGCCCTGCTGAGTAATCTTCAGCTCGTGCTTCTTCTTTTTGCTGTCTTTCGGGATGTACGTAATGTTACAGCCTTGGAGTGGCAGTTCCATCTGAGGCTGCTGGTCCTTGGAACTTTTATAGCACTGCATTCAACACAACAAATCAACTGATATTATAAGGGAGTTCGAACAGAAACACTGAGGAAGCTCTAGCATCATGAAAACCTGAGTGCGGGCAAGGCATCTGAAAGTCTGAATCTGCAGATGAGCAGGTTCACACACACACACACACACACACATACACACAGTGCTCTTCACAGACACTTCGCCTCCAAGTGTGAAAAAGTACATCCATTCACTGATTCAGAAAAACTTACTGAGCATCTATCACAGGATTCAACAAACACCAAAAGTCCCTACTCTGATACAGTTTATGATCCGGTGGGGCTTCTTCATTAAATTACATGAATGTATTTACATAAATAAAAACATAGGCTGGGCACGATGGCTCACGCCTGTAATCCCAACACTTTGGGAGGCTGAGGCAGGTGGATCACTTGAGCCCAGGAGTTCAAGACCAGCCTGGGCAACATGAAGAAACCCCATCTCTACCAAAAACATAAAAAATTAGCCAGGCATGGTGGCGTGTTCCTATAGTCCCAGCTGCTTGGGAGGCTGAGGCAGGAGGATCCCTTGAGCCTGGGAGCCCGAGGCTGCAGTGAGCCATAATACCACCACTGCACACCATCCTGGGTGACAGAGACTCTGTCTCCAACTAACAAAGAAAAACAAAACAAAACAAAAAAACCCAACACACACAAATATATATTTAACATAAATGTTTATTTAAATGTATATATAAAATACATTTATATTTATGTGAATAATATATAAAATATACTATTAGATTTGTTGCAACTCCACAGCCCTAATGAGAGAAAATGGAATAATTTGGATACTTTATCTAATAACCTATATTGCTTGTTATCTGCCTATCTCATCTTCTCTTTCTGAAAGACACAAATTATTTTAGTAAGAGGATAACAGCAATGTATAATATACAAAGCTGATCCATCTACACAACTGACATTCACTCTAAAGATTTCGACTGGTAAGGTTAGAACTGAGACTTAACTCAAATGGCTCTTGCTTAATCTTTATCTGTAAAACTGAGAATCAAATCATTGCCCAAAGCTTCCCTTACCCCCGTTTGTTTACCTGTACTACTTGGGGCCAAAGCATACCTCCTAACAGTCCAAGAGGGCAGATCTGGGTCCTAGATCTACTACTAATTTATCTGCATCCCAGGGAGTTTCTTAAACTTCCTGAGTCTGTTTCCTCGTTTGCAAAATGTGTTTTGCAGTTATTGTTATTATTATTTTATGGAATTAAGTTATTAGCAACAATAACATCTGCTACCAAGTGCTGAATGTCGACATCATATGAGGCATTTCAAGCACCTCAATCAGCATGGTGGCTCATTCTGCAGATTATGAAACCGAGGTGCAGCTGGTTAAGTCACCTGCCTGAAGAGTCAGGCAACCTGAAAAGTGACAGACCAGGACCAGACCAGGACTCCAGCCCCAATTGTGCACGTGCAGAGCCTGCATCTTGACTCTAAACATTCACTGATGTAGGAAGGAATGAATAGATAGTTATTTTCAGAAGTGATTTCTAGAGTCCTTTCTGGTTTGTTTTTGGGATGTGTGTGTGTGTGTGTGTGTGTGTTCCTGGTTTGTTTTTGGGGTGTGTGTGTGTGTGTGTGTGTGTTTGAGATGAAGTCTCTCTCCGGTGCCCAGGCTGAAGTTCAGTGGCACGATCTTGGCTCACTGCAACCTCCCCCTCCTGGGTTCAAGCGATTCTCCTGCCTCAGCCTCCTGAGTAACTGGGAGTACAGGCGTGCACCACCACACTCGGCTAATTTTTGTATTTTTAGTAGAGACAGGGTTTCACCAGATTGGCCAGGCTGGTCTCGAACTCCTGACTTCATGATCCGCCCGCCTCAGCCTCCCAAAGTGCTGGGATTACAGGCCTGAGCCACAGCGCCCAGCCTTCCTGTTTTGGTCTTCTAAATCCAGGACTTTGAAGTACACAGATAAGAAATACATCCCCTTTTTAAAAACTCAACTGATCTGAAAAGGAAGAAAAAAATACCTCAACTAACCTCAGATTTTTATGAATGTTGACCATTTGAGATTTTCTGCATTTTGAGTATGTATAAAAAGAAAGGTGAAAAGCAACTAATCGTACAATGGAAGGAATCGGAAAGGGAATTTTATTTTTTGATTTTAAATTGTGTAAACCTTTTTAATCGACATGTAATAACTGTACATATTTATGGGGTACAGAGTGATGCTTTGATACAGAAAATGTATAGTGATCAGATCAGATAATTAGCAAACCCCACATCTCAAACGCTTATCATTTCAGAAAGGGAACTTTATAACATATTCTTCCTTAAGTTAAATGCCTCACGAGAGATATGCAATCAGCAATAGGGACAGGCTGCAATCTGGCAGTCCTAGCAGGCGGGATTTCCTGGGAAGCCGCCTCTATAGCAGGCAGCAGCATGCAGGAGGTTTATGAATGGGCGTCCTGAAGACAACACCAGGAGCAAGGAGAGGGAGGAGTGGGGTGGGCAAAGACGCCCAGTTTGAGTGGCCTCAGGGATACCACCATGAGAGCTCTGGGGCTGGAAGGCCCCATCACAGCTGCCCAGTGAGTCTGGGTCTATACCTCCCACACACACACACTGAATGCAGACCCCTGGGGAGGGAGCTCTGCCTTGGGCTCTAGGCCCCTCTTCAATGCAGACAGTCCCCGAGGTGGGCTCACCAGCCCTGCCAAGGAAATGCAACCTTCAGTCCTGAAGCGGGAATCTAGGTACATCACAGTACCCACCCCAGAGCTACCTGAGCACAGAAGGAACAAGTTCCAGAAGGAGATGGAAAAAAAGCTGTTAATGGCGGTAACTTGTGGGAAGACAGACTGGGAACATTTAGGGGAAGAACATGGCTTTTCCTTTTCTGTGCTGTTTAAACTTGGAAAGTATTTGCTTTGATCACTGTTCATTATTTTTTATGCCAATGGGGGTCATCTGGGCCCTGAATGATAGGTCATTTTTGAAAGGAAAAAAGCTTCGTAATAAAAGTCAATAACTTTGATTCTGCATTTGACCAAACAGTGCTTTCACCTGCTTTTCCACTAATTTCTTCTTATTCACAACTACTCTTAGTAGTAGGTATTATCATCCTGGTTTTGAAGGGGGAAAGCTGGCAGGGGCCCAAATGGAAGACAAAGCAGGGGAGGGGGGAAGAAGTTAAGAAGTTAGGGGGTGAGGGAGAGGAGGGCAGGGGAGAGGGACCAGGGACTCAGAACCCCAAACTGCTAATCCCTACACACAACCGCGAAGCTTCCCTCACTGGATTTGGAAGCTTCTCTTTTAAATGAAAGTTGATTATGTATTTCTAAAACATTCATATAATATATCCACATCTTGTAGCCATTATATCAGACTGGAAATAAGGACCACATTAATCTTCTTTTTTTCATTTTTTAATATTCCCCATGGCATCATTTTTGGCACATTCTAAATCTGGGAGAAATTCAGGCCACATTTGTGGAAAAAATATGTACTCTGTTTTAAAAAACTGAACAAAAACATTAAAAAATATATAATATCCTAGGAACTTAGTAAAACAAAAAAAGATTCCCACAATTCAAAGATGAAACCTGGATTTACAAAAAAAAAAAAAAAAAAAAAGATAAAAAAAGGATTATCTGCTCCACTAGAGTGCTCTACAGAAACATAAATTCTTGTTTTCTAATTAATGATATAATTTTGAGCAATGATTCCCCCAAGGTTAATCTGAAGGAAGAACAAAAGGCAAAAACATACTTTAAAGTTCATAATTCTAATAACCAACCATGGTTTCTAAAAAAAAGGCAGGAGGAAAAGAAGGAAGGTGGGGAGGGAGTGGGGAGGAGGAAGGGACGCCACACCGTCCTCCCGGAATGCAGCCTTCCTGCTGGGGTCTCCACTGGAATAATCCCACAGCAAGGTCCAGGTTCTCGCCTTCCCTGCTTCTCTGTTCCTTACTTGTCTTCCTGCTCTGCCTCTCAAATTTAAAAAAAAAAAAAAAAATGGGAATTGGCCCCAAGCTTTCCAGAAGAATTTCCTTTCCTGGCTGCTCCCCGTCCCACTTCTATGAGCTGGCTTTGAGGAATCCACTGACTCACTACAAATGAGAAAATCCATCTTGCAACTCCTGGCAAGTTAAAATCTTGTGCATTTCCACAGACGCAAACCACAGGCCCTGCCCGGGAATGGGAATGATTTTGTTCGCTGGCTGCTTTTGGAGCTGGGAAACCGGCAACCTTGAACACACAACACGGGCGAGTGCTCCCTGATGGCATGTGGGGGCCCCTGGCATGGTACTGCGGCTAGCTCAGGGCACCTGGCTGACACCTGAGTGCTGCCCTTCCTGCACAGCTGATGTTAATGGTGACTGGATATAAACGCCATGGCTTCTGAGTGCAGCAATCTTACAAAAAATGCAAGCGATTCCAAATGTCTTACCAGCAGTTTGGTGTCTTTGATGACGCAGAGCAACTTGGTCCACTGGCCGAACCGCTTCTTCCGCAGCAGGAAGGCGCAGATTTTGGCGTCCTTGACCAGGTCCATGGAGGCCTCCTCGGAGGGCCACTGGTGCCGGGTTTTCTTCCCCTTCCCATCCTCCTCCTCTTCATCATACGACTCATAAGAGCTGCTCATCGCATCGGAATCATAATCTGTAAAAAATAAACATACACTGGTAAAAAGGACTTCTTTACCTTGAAGTTTACCCGTGGGCTCAAGAGCACGTCCTCTTATTTTTAATCACCAAGTAACTGAATGAGAAAGGGACCTCTGCTCCTTAAGGGAAAAAACAAAAACAAAAACAAAAATAAAAAAACAATGCTAAGACTTGGGCAGTGGAAACTCAATGACAAGGTGAAGTGCCTACAAATTCTGTGTTTATAAAAACTGTTTCTAGACTGTTTCATATGGACGGGACCCCACGCTGACCCGACACTGACTCCTCACCACATTCTTGCAGGACGAGCGCCATCCTCATTCTGCAGAGTGTTCCGCCATACAGAACTCTTGCCCATGGAGGTCCCTTGCCCTCCCACGTCCGCACCTTTATGTCAAAGACCTCCCAAGGCTGCAATCTGCTTCTCCCTGCTGGCATCCCCACGTGCACAACATCTCTGACACTCAATATGCAACCAAGGGCCACCTCTCCCTTCTGGGGCATCCTTGGAACTTTGACAGAAATGTACACCTGTCCTTCTAATGGTGCCCACCTCACTCTGTGACACACTGGCATGTATACTGCTGTGACTGACAGTTTCCCAAACACATCACCCCTCTGCCACCTCAGGGTCTCTGCATGTGCCACGCCCTCTAACAAGCTTCCTGTCCATCCACTCGCCCTCCTGCCTTTGCCTGGTAAATGCTCTCATCTTTTGGGGTTTAACTTCCTGACACCTCCAGCAAACCCTCCCTGAATCACCAAAGCTGGGTGCTATGGACTGAACTGTGTCCCTCCCGGAAATTCAAGTGTTGAAGCTCTAACCATATGACTATATGTAGAGATAGGACTTTTAGGAGGTTACTAAAGTTAAATGAGGTCCTAAGGGTGGGGTCCTAATCCCATAGGTCTGGTGGTCTTTTAAGAAGAGAGAGAGAGAGAGAGAGCTCTGTCCCCACCATGTGAGGACACAGTGAGGACTTAGCCATCTAAAAGCCAGGAAGAGGCCTCGCCAGAACCCAACCGTGCTGGCAGTCTAACCTGGACTCCCGGACTGACGAGCTTCTGCTGTGGAAGCCCCCCAGTGGTGGCATTTGTCACTGCGGCATGAGCAGACTAATACACTAGGTCAAATGCCCTTCCTCTGAGCCTCCACACGGCCCAACACAGAGCGGATCGCAGCACACCTCAACACTGGCCCCCACTGCAGGCTGTAAGCCCCCTGAAGAAAAGGAGACCATCTCGTTGGCGGTGATCTCCCCGGCACCTAACAAAGTACCTGGCACAGGGCAAGTGCCCAAATAACTGTAGAAGGAAGCGCGTTAAATGTCTTTAAATTAAACTGGCAAAGCCCTTGGAAGGGCCAATGGCGTAGTAAAAGGTCTTCCTAAATACCAGCGCCCGTCATTCCTCTCATTACTTTCAGCTGCGCTGGATGATAAGCTCCCTGAGACAGGATCTGATTCATCTCCAAATTCCCCTCAGCCCCCAGAATCATCTGGAACACGTTTCTTTTTCAAAACATACTTAAGGGATGAACACCTAAATGATAGATGAATGAGAGATAAGGAGAACAATGGCCAATGCGGTTGCAATACTGTGCAAAATGGCAGAGTCTGCACAGAAGAGAACTCATATTTTTACTTGCTGGAAACTGGAGTTTAAGTTGTACTCAGTAATCATGTTTGCCTTATAATTTCCTTGCAAAGATTCAATACTAGCAGGGAGGAACAGAAAGATTTAGAGTTTAAGTTGAATTTTCAACAATGAAAAGTTGTCCAGGAGGCCAGGTGTGGTGGCTCACACCTGTAATCGCAGCCCTTTGGGAGGCCAAGGCGGGCGAATCACTTGAGCCCAGGAGTTCAAGACCAAGCCTGGGCAACATAGCGAGACCCTATCTCTATAAAAAGTAAAAGGCTAGCCAGGCATGGTAGGGCACGCCTGTGGTCCCAACTACTCAAGAGGCTGAGGCAGGAGGATCACTTGAGCCCAGGAGTCCGAGGCTGCAGTGAGCTGTGATCCTGCCACTACACTCCAGCCTGGGCAACAGAACAAGATTATTATTATTATTATTATTACTTTAAGTCCAGGAAGGATTTTAGGCAAAAGCTAAGGAGATTGAAGAGGTAACTTTGGCAATGGCACTAGGAATGGGCTGAAGAAGGGACGAGGTAAGAGACAGGAGCAGCTCAGAGGCCACGAGGGATGCAATGAGGGGCTGACTCAAAGGTGAGAGGCGAACAGAACACCCTGGTCTGGGTCACAGGTCTCTGCCCCGCTTCTGCCCCTGCTTCACATCACCCTCCGCCCACAGGTGGGTCGTTCTCACTGGCTCCACATCCCCCTCCAACACACCCCACACACCCATCAGCACCTACACTCACCAAGCACCCCCTGCTTCACAGGGCAGCCACAGGGGGTTACTTACATTTCAATTTTCATTCAAGTCCCACATGTCAACTGGATACCGGGGCCCAGAGGAAAAACACTCCCCCTGCTGCCAAAGCTCTGCTGGACGGCACAGGGGTGGGGGGGGCAAGATCTTTACAATCTAGGGCAAAATGCAAGCTGTCATGGAGCCGGGCACGAGGGGGCAGCATATGCAGGGGCACAGGGAAGACAGCACAGAAGATGTCACTTTAGAGCCAGGCCTTGAGACAAGCTATTGCCAACCAAAGGAAAAAGTCTGAGAAGGAGAAACGCGATGAGCGAAAGCACTGACAAGCATCAAATGCTGCCAAGGCACAGGGGGTCCTTTCAGCTTCTGGACAGGACGTGAGCGAGGCCACAAAACGACGTCCGTGGTTACGCTTGGCTGTGCTAGGAAGGAGCAGGGGGCTTCAGGGACTGACAGTGTTCTACCCTTGACTTGAATGGTGGTTACACAGATGGCTTCTTTATGATAAATCACTGAGCATATACTCATATTTTATGCACTTTCTGGTAAATGTATTTTACAACAAGAGGGTTTTTAAAACAGTAAGCGTGGCTAGAACAAGGGTATGTGGAAGGAAACGATGGAATATGGAACGAGAAGATGGGCAGAGGCCAGACCGCAGATCGCGTGCTGTGCTACGATCCAACGTAAACTGAGGGGTTCTGGAGGGGCCATGGACATCATCCTAGCTTTATTTCAGAAAGATGATTCTCATAGCGGCCTGGAGGACCACACAGCCCTCAGGGCTCGGCCCACTTGCTGGAACATCAAGTTCAGTAAATAATGAAGTAAAGATTTAATGAGTCAGTTAGTTATAAATGGGAAAACTACCTTTAATTTCACTCATTCCACAAATATGTTGTGAGCTCTACTCTATGCCAGGCACTTTTTAAAAACTATCTATATTTACACAGCAGGTGCTAGGATAAAGCCATGAAAAGCCGGGCCTGCTCCAAATTTACAAAGGTTTCTCACATCCACCATCTCACCGGACCTCCCAGCCACTTGGAGATGGGGCACATAAGACATTAGTCTTATTCAGAGAAAAGGAAGAATGAGTCTCGAAGACTACGAGATTCATCCAGGAGCATAGGCTTGGTGAATGACAGGACTGAAACATGAACCCGTGCCTTTGTATTTTAAACGGAAAAAGTAAACTATGTTCTAGTAGCCCTTTCATCCTTGGGAATGAGTTGAGGTCTACAGTTATGAAAAAGACAATTAAGTTCATTGTCTTGCCTTCTTCTAAGAGTGTAGAAATGACATTTTTAGAAAAACCAGCCAACTTAGCAGCAAACAAGGAACAGCCAGAAGTCACCGAGCACAAAGGATAATGAACTCTCCAGAAAGTATGCTTAGCAATGACCCAAACAAGAGAACTCTCTGGAAAGTATGCTTAGCCGTGTCCCAATCAAGAGAACTCTCCAGAAAGTATGCTTAGCGATGACCCAATCAAGAGAACTCTCCAGAAAGTATGCTTAGCAATGACCCAATCAAGAGAACTCTCCGGAAAGTATGCTTAGTGATGGTCCAATCAAGAGAACTCTCCAGAAAGTATGCTTAGCAGTGTCCCTAATCAAGAGAACTCTCCGGAAAGTATGCTTAGCAGTGTCCCAATCAAGAGAACTCTCCGGAAAGTATGCTTAGCAATGACCCAATCAAGAGAACTCTCCGGAAAGTATGCTTAGCGATGACCCAATCAAAAGAACTCTCTGGAAAGTATGCTTAGTGATGACCCAATCAAGAGAAGAGACTCTTGCTCAGGATATCACTTGGTAGCTCCACCAGCCAGAGCTGTGGTCTAGGACTTTGAGAAGTTCACCGTCTGGAGGCCTGGGGTTTTGGATTACATTAAGAGGTCATAAACGTTTTGTGAAAAATTATGAACAACTCAGAAATGGGGAGCAGGGAAAAGAATTCCTGATTGCCTTCTAGTCTTGTAGTAAGTGGTACAGGTATTCACAGAGAGAGGAACAGGAAGGTTCTATTTCAGGGGTACTCGGGGTGGGGCATTGATTAGATACCATCAGGCCCGACCCATTCAGATGTCTACACTTTGTGTAGAGTAAGGCAGCAGACCAAAGGGCCAACAACAGAACCGTGTGAACTCTGTTGAAAGGACGTTGTTGATTAGGAAATGCTCTTTGTATCAGTCAGGACTCTCTAGGGAAACAGAAGCCATAGGAGATTGACAGATTAGATACATGGATGGATAGACAGATGCTCAGGCAGACAGATGGATCGATGTATGGATGGATGGACAGGTGGATGGGTGAGTGGGTGGACGGAAGGAGGGAGGGAAGGAAAGAAGGAAGGAAGGAAGGAAGGAAGGAAGGGAGTGAGTGAGGGAGTGAACAGGTAGATGGGTAAGTGGGAGGGAGGGAGGGAGGGAGGAAGGAAGGAAGGAAGCAAGGGAGGGAGGGAGGGAGGGAGGGACGGATGGAGGGAGGAAGGGAGGGAGGGAAGGAAGGGAGGTGATTTATTAGGGGGGATGGCTCATGCTATTATGGAGACTGAGAAATCTCACAAAAAGCTGTCTACCACCTGGAGACCCTGGGATGCGCAAAGCGTGGCTCAGTCCGAGTCCAAAAGCCTCAGCACCAGGGAGGCAGATGGTGAAACTCTCCGTCTGAGAGGGAGGTCTGAGAATCCAGGAGGTGGGGAAGTGCGGGAGGGCAGTGGTGCTGGTATAAGTCCTGGGGTCCCAAGGCCGGGATGCCTGAAGTTCTAACGTCCAAGGGAGAAAGAAGTCTCCCAGCTCACGGAAAAGAGAGGCCCACGTGCCTCTCCTCTGTTTCTGTTCTCTCTGGGCCTCCAGCCTATCGGATGGTACTGCCTACACTGAGGGTGGGTCTTCCCCGTGTGGACCACTCAGACCCACATGCCAGTGTCCAGTGTCCTCTGGAAACACCTCACAGATACACCCAAAAATAATGCTTCACCAGTTCCCTAGGTCCCCCTCATCTAGTCAACTTCACACCTCAAATTCACCACCACACTCTTCTTCACCAGAAACTAGTTTCATGGGCAGGAATTGCTATCATAGTGTCATTCTGATGAAATTAAGGAACACTCCAGTAAACTACTATTTTTAACTGTAAAATGTTTATTCCAGAAAAAAACTGCATAAAAGCAACGGCAATACCACACACACTGCACATCAGGCACATCAGAGCCAGCAACGGTGCCCTGAGAAGGCGGTTAGGGCGTCACGACTTTCCAAGGGGCCATGCCTTCTCTCCACCCAAATGACACAAGAATCTATCTTTAAAAGGCACAGGAACCACAGACAAAGGTTAAGTGACAAGCAAGTGTTCTCAAGGGGACTGGAGCGCCACGCAGACCCTGCCTTTTCGTTTCAATGCACTGGCTTTGCTGAGGCCATAAGCAGGAGACCCACCAGGCGTCTCTCTTGGTTTCTGACCTCACTTTTCAGAGGGAGGGGAGAGTGAGAGGCTGGCAGAAAACACGGCTCCTCTAGGGCAGGAGCTGTGGCCCTCATTTCTCTTGGAGTTCTAGTTCTGGGCACAAGGCTGAGCAAGCACAATATTAGATGTTTCACAATTAAAAAAAAAACTTGAAATTCAGCATAGAAAAATCAACAAAGGAAAGGAGTGGAAAAAGCACAGCCTTCATCTACTCAGTAAGTGTTTATTGAGCACATATTACCTGCCAGATGCAAAACAGACAAAAGCCTTGGCCCTCTTTGTTCTCACACTCGGGTGAGGGGGAAAGAGATGACAAACGGCCTATTGGAGAGTAGGGATGTGTCCAAGTAACACAATGATGAAGTATGGCTACTTTCTGGAGCTGCTCTTTCAGGTCTCAATGTCATTTCATAAGAATGATGATGGTGCTTTGCAGCTGTGTCTAGCGTTTTCAGACTCACAAAGGGCTTTCCCCTCGATCCTTCCAGCTGCCCCACACAACTCTGTGGAAGGCAAGGCATTTGGAGTGCAGAGAAAGGTTCTCCATCTCACATCCTCACTTTGGCAATATCATTCAACACTTTTCTACTTGCGATTCTTACAGGATCAAAATACAAGAGCTACAAAATACAAAATGCAAGAGGGTCACAAAGTTTTGAACACTGACTCTCCTTCTGCATCACAGATTCTCCACTCTTTCATGCTGCTGTGACCATGTAAAAGGGGCTGGGGATGGGGGGTGGAGGGCAGTGAGCAGGGGAGGAACACGTGGTAGGTAAAGGGACGAGGAGAGAAGCCCTCAGACGAACTTTGGCTTTAACTTTTGAGTGGGATGGGATGCCACGAGAAGGTTGTGAATAGAGCAGAGATCTGACTTATGTTTGAAAATGGCCAGTCTAAGTCCGAGATCTCACTCTAGAGAAATATAGTAAGTCATTGAACTTATTTGAGACTCAGTGTCTTTAAGATAATCTTGTCTCTCTGAGAGTTACTATGAGGATAAAATGAAGGACACAAGATAGCTCCCTGTGAACCTGAAACTCTAGAAGCAGGTGTAACTACCTGTGCACATGACCATCCAACATCGGGGCCTGAGGAAGTGAGTGCTCATCTCCAAACACCAGCAGCATTACATAATGTATTTCGTTTACACACACACCCACACCCCATAACATCAGAAATGCCATTTCAACCAATCCCCCTGGAGGAGGGAGAGGGAAGAGGGCAAAACAGAGGAATTAGAAAGCTGAAAATAAAACTGAAATCTGTGTCTGAAACCAAAACAGCCAATGAGCGTTGTAGTGAGTTTATGCTATGTCACCGTAGCTAACTGGAACGCCACTTCCATTGCTCTGCATGGTCTGGCTACAGGAGAAACTGAGGAACCTGGAAGGAGAGAAGGAAACAGCAGGCCCATCTCCGAGGCCAGCACAGGGCGCCAGGCCCTGCAGAAGCTGTGGCATGTTGCGCACCCTGCTGGTGTGGGGCAGCCATGGGCTCAGGTCCCCCAGCTGCTTGCTGCAGGCTCTCCCGCTTCGGTGTTTTGTACAACTCCAGAGCCAAGGGCATCCGCATCTTGTGCGGGTCACTTGTGTCACTGAGTCTGGAGGAAGTCATAGATGAGTTGCAGTTTGACCTCATGGATTATCGTTTACCCTTGACCTCCTGCGCTTCACGGCCAGCTTTCCTTCCAGGTGGCAGGTCCTACCAGGTGCTCAGGCCACAGCCAACCACTGACTTCAACAGCTCCCGCAAGTGTGCACGGCTAATCTAGAATAAGTCTTCTATCCCCATTGTAATTTCTGCTGTTCTGATGAAACCCTCACTGCTCCGCAGGTTGGTATGGACACTCTGGCAGGCTCACCCAGGCAAGGCGAGGGTGGACCTCTGGGAGTTTGGAGCACGGCTACACCATCCTTTAGAGAGAACCATCTTACTTCTGAGGAACTACTTTCAGCTAGTGAAGCCCTGGCAGAGACGTAATGCTTCACCATGAGACACCAAGAGAAGAGGAAACCTGAGCCGCCCTGCATGGCCCACAGTCTCTCTGACCCATGAAGGGGCACTCCATCCTCAAGTCAAAGCGGGTGTGTGACAGCAGGCTCCATCCACTCCAGAAGATGTGAGCGAGCAAGCAGCCCTTAGTCCTGTGCGCTGCCTCTTCCCTCAACAACCATTCATGAACACTGCCTAATGGTTTGGTTGGATGATCGACAATGGAGAGGAATATGATTAAAAAACAGGTAACAAACAACTGGTCTGCAGAAGATGCTGTCAACAGACCTTCACAAATGGGCACATGATGTAAACAGACCTCAGCAGAAGAGGATCTTGATACTCGGGTAAATACCACGACCCACTGTAGCTGCATCAGTCATCCTCATTCCCCAGACTTCTTGTCCAAATGGGCTCACGTATATGTGGACATGATGGCAGGAATAGAGGTTATGCATGAACTCAGCAACACGGACTTCACTCATGGAAAATCCGACTCCAGGTACTTCCGAGTACCCTACCTGCCAACAGCAGACGGCAACATCAACCTCCTTACCCCATCCCCACGCCCTGACACCATCCCTGGGATATCAGCTGGCACCTAATGGCAGGTTGTTATCACTGGTCCACTTCCATCATGAAGAGATCATTAAAATAAATTTGCCTTCTAGGTCCACAGGGCCTTAAAGAATGTCCTGTTCTCCATGATGGGATCCCCACACCATTGCTTCTGACCAGGGAACTCATTTACAGCAAATCAAGTACACAATAATGGGTCTGTGCTCAGGAAATTCACTGATCTTGCCACAGACTCCAGCACGCTGAAGTCACTTACCCAATAGGTCAAAATAATTTTTTTTGAATATCCAATTATAGTGCCAGCCAACTGGTGATACCTTGTAGGCTTGGGGGCAAGAGACTTCAGAGTATCTTCTGGCACTATATGTTCTGACTTGGTGGTACTGTTTCTCCCACAGCCCAGATTCACAGCCCAAGAATCAAGGGGTGAAACGAGAGGAGCCTCCTCCCACTATTACCCCCAGTGACCCACTAACAAAATGCTTGCTTTCCTTCCCTAAAATGCTGGACTGCACTGGTCTAAGGGCAAGATATGGCAATGGTTTCATTAAACTGGAAGCAGAAGCTGCCACCTGGCCACACTGGGCTCCTCGTGTCAGTAACAGGCAAAGAAGTGGCTCCTGCAGTGGCTGAGGTGACGGACCCCAATTGTGAGGAAGCCACTACCCCACAGTGGGAGTAAGGAAGAACACGCAGGGGACCTGGAAGACCCCCTGAGTGCCCCTCTGTGTTCTCACACCCTCTGATTAAAGTTAATGAAAAGTCATGACCATCCAATACAGAAGTGCTACTGAAGGTCCAGACCTTTCAAGAAAGGAAGCTGAATCACCCACCAAGAAAAAACCACGACCAACCAAGGGGTTTGCTGGGGGCACCGGGAATACAAAAGGGGCAGTAGATGGAGGTGGTAAATTCTAGCCATGAACACTGACCAGGTGTGGAGACGGAACCTGTTACAGGCTTTTCTTCCTTGTTTTGATAAGAATATAACTGTGTACACAGAAACGAATTCTTCTTCCCCCTCTCCCAGGCCCCCACCATCTCACATAAGAAGGGCTAACAGGAGTCAACCTTGTATGAATATCTCGGAATTTAGGTTACAGGCTCTAGAAGAGAATGGATGTGACCCAAATGTTGGACAAAGGGGCTCTGTCTCCTCTGCGGGGAGTTGGGGAATTTCCCGTCACCCGGGCAATGGTGAATCACGTTAGGCTCAAGCGTGCGCTGCTCGTCTCTACTTGGAAACTCAGTGTGGCTAGAAGAGGTATGCATGGGTGCCAAGGTGACCAAAGATAAACTGTGGTAGTTTTCTACTGTATCAGCCTAGCAAGGCTGGAATCACACTTCCCAAAATTCCCTTTCTTAGATGATTCTGGGCTAGGGTGGCCCTGAGAGAAATCTGGGAGTGATAGGGCAGAGGGGAGCAGTGGCCCCAGACTCTGCATGGGTGCCAAGTTGACCAAAGATAAACTGTGGTAGTTTTCTACTGTATCAGCCTAGCAAGACTGGAATCACACTTCCCAAAATTCCCTTTCTTAGATGATTCTGGGCTAGGGTGGCCCTGAGAGAAATCTGGGAGTGATAGGGCAGAGGGGAGCAGTGGCCCCAGACTCTGCAGGTGGACGCGGGGACAGGGACTGCCGCAGCTCACGTGGGCTGTTGCTGGTCACCTGTGCCATCAGGAGAGACGCAGGCTCCCGTCTGTCTGTCCCTCCTCTTCCCCAGTCCTCATCCAGCTTTCTTCCCGGCTGCCGGCCCGACCAGACACAGCAGAAACTGCCCGTGCTTCTTCCAGGGAAGAAGTTCTCACAACTGCACACGCCCTCAATTCCTTCAATAAACTCTTCCCTCCATGACATTCAAAATGCTTTGGCTTCTCCGATAAGACCATAACCCACGCAGGTTTCACAAAACCATCTCAAAGTTCGTATCTAACTGAAGGTGGTACAATCCTTAACTGAGCTGACAAGTCAACCCATGGCTGTTGCTCTTCAAGGGAGGGGCGGCTGTGTCCTGGGGCCATCAACTGAGAGTCCCACGGCAGACGTGTGATTGGAGAAGCCACTGTGCGCCATCACTGCTGTCTCCTCATTCCCCAGGCGTGAGTTCCTCAGTCACCTCTTCTTCTGGAGTCAGCGGCTAAGGAACAGCCCCACTGAAGGGGCCGTGACCTGCCAGCTACGTGCAGCTCCTCAGAATAAAAATGACCAACAGCCCCCAAAATCAAACAATCACTCTGTTTCCAGCCTTGAAAGTACACTGCAGGGGAAGGGCCAGAGACAAACGTTCCAAATGCTAGAAAATACCCTCAATAAGAAAACATACTTGTCTTTACTCACTGCCATTAAAAATAAAGGAACCCAATGACGTTCTGAGTTATATCGAGGCATTTAATTTGTTTTCTAATTAATCTACTGTCTTCTTAAAGAGTTGGTAAATTATTCTCAAAATCGAAAAATCCATGACCACCTTATCAGAACTATCCCTTTTCTCATCCAGAGCACAACTAAGTATTGACATTTGGCCCAGTCTGTGCCCCGACTGCTCCAGAAGCTGAGGAGACAGGCAAGCGGGAGCAGCTGGCACCCTCAGGGGCACGCAGTCCAGCTGGCCTGGCTTCTCCACAGCCCTTCTCCACACTCAGAGAAGCATGCCAACGGGGGAATCTCCCATAACAACCTCCTTCCAATCATCAAGACGGATCCTGCTTTGGTGGAATAGCCGCGCTCGTAGACTGCCAAGGAGAGAAAGATCTGAAATGCAAAGTCTCTATGTGGCAGGTAACAGTATAACAACTTTGGGGAAAGGGAGAGCATTTTCCTTAGGAGACAGCGAAGGCCGGAGACCACGCAAAGAAGATCAATGCACCAGGAGCCTCCTGAGTACAGTCAGCAACTGCTCTGTCACTATCCACTTATCTACCTTTCTTTTTAAAAAAAGCAAGCTGGATTCCATTAGTTGACATACATTCAGGTATTCAACTTTCTTATGAGATGGTAGCCCCCCGCCTGACAGATACTGAAAGGAGACATAGAGCCACCAATTCAGAAATGAATTCCGGAGACTCAACATCATGTCATGCTTCATCCGCACTTGAAGCTGGGTAGTAACAAACAGGTACTTCTGAGTGCTACCAGCAGGCCACTAACTGGGGCCAGGAGAACCAGAACTTAGGCAAAAATCATCTAATAGAACCTGTACCCCCAAAAAAGAAAAAACCAAAAGTCTATGACAGAGACGCCTGTTTGTGCTGTACCCAATTATTTCTGGCCCAACAGCCAACCTGGTGGAAACTGCTTTAATCGTGGCAGAATGGGTGCAGCCCAAGAGCATCAAAGACTAAGGAAGTGGGGGCTGTAGCACGCACCCAAAAAATATACCACAAAGAGCCATTTCTCTTCCGCACTGCTGATACCTGTTGCCACAGCAATAAGCTTTCACTACCTCTGAGTCACAAGGAAGACAGCAATCGGAAGAGAGGCTTGTGTGTGAGGCACTCGGTGTCCTTCTCAAAACCTTTCCTGTACTGACAATCTCTTTGGGTTCAAAAAGTACTTGGCCCACAGTGTTTTATAATACCCTGTTGCCCTTCCTACCCAGAAAGGGGACAGGCTCTGCAACAGTCCTGCCAATCACAAAGGCAGCATGGCTGGGCAGGGCTGGCCACTCACTTGATGTGATGTATTCCGGAGCTTTTCCGGGGCTCAGCGGCACAGCTTCCTCATAATAACCTTCTGGGAGGGAGGATGTTGGCAATGGTGGAGGCCCACTGTCAGGAGGCTGAGGAAGAAAGGAAAAGTGACACAGAAATTAGCATGACCATTAGAAGGAAATTCTGGATTTCCAATTAACAGGTGTGGCCAGTCTTTTCCTCTTTCCTTTGTAAAGTCTTCGGCAAAAGAGAACCTCATCCTACGAAGAGGCTTGGAAGGCCAGCCCTGATGTGTCTCTCTTACTTTCCTGCGCACATTCTTGCCCCAGCCCTGGCCACATGCCGTCCAGTTCACACCAAATCTCCAGGTTCGGTGTGTGCAGCAGTCTCACTGGAGCATCCACGACACAGAATGCCCCTTCCCCCACGCAGGACTGGGCCTGTTCAGATGCTGCCCCAGGGGTCTGAGACAGTGTCTGCACTCCCCTTCATCCCCACACACTCCACACACACCAACCCTCGCAGGCCTCAGACGCAGACTCTGGGACTCCATGGCCCTGCCACAGGCGGTGGGCTCCTGGGACACAGATGCTCAGGCGCACCCAGCACTCATCACAGAGTGAGTTGGTGAGCCACACTGGCTGAGTGCACGAGTGAGGCTTGCCCACATTCTCACCATATCCCTATTGTGTGCTAGGAAAACTTTAAAAAAGCAAATCACCTGGGAGCCACTTTCTAAAACAAAGTAGAAATTATTCTCTAGAGATGGAATCCACTCCTTATTAAAACCAATCATGTCACAATTTTTTTTTTTGAGTTGGAGTCTTGCTTTGTCACCCAGGCTGGAGTGCAGTGGCGCAATCTCTGCTCACTGCAAGCTCTGCCTCCTGGGTTCATGCCATTCTCCTGCCTCAGCCTCCCAAGTAACTGGGACTACAGGCGCCCACCACCACACCCGGCTAATTTTTGTATTTTTAGTAGAGACAGGGTTTCACCGTTTAGCCAGGATGGTCTCGAACTCCTGACCTCGTGATCAGCCCGCCTTGGCCTCCCAAAGTGCTGGGATTACAGGTGTCAGCCACCGCACCTGGCCCATCACAATTTTTTAACAAACTCAGAGACCGAAACTCTCTCTGGTTGTGAAGCCATAGCCTTAGAATATGGACGAGCTGGGGGCTCACTCCGCGCCTCGGGACAACCTACGTCCCACCTGGCCTTCAGGACTGTGCTCAAGTCCCCTCTTTTCTTAAATGTTCCTGACGGCTCTAATCCACCCCAGCCTCTCCCTCCTAAGACCATCTACAGGACTTGCTGGTGTGTCTCTCACTGGTCCTTCTGCCAAAAGAGGTGGCTGAGTGGCAGGAAAGCCAGCATTCGCCCAGCATCTGCAATCTGCCCAGCACTGTGCTAGACACTTCTGCACTTGCCACATGAACGTCAATCAATCCATGCAGGAATCCTTCAGGGCATGTATTCTATTACCTTATATTTTACAGATACAGAAGTTGAAGCTCAGAATCTAAATCTGCTCAAAATCAGACACTAGTAACTGCCAGCTGGAGTTTTCAAACACCACGTCTGCCTGCTAAAGACCTTTTTAATATTCATATTCTTTCTCTCTCCCCTTTTTCCTATGAATAGCATGCAACAATTTCCCACTACCTAGATTCTGTAAACAACCTGGGAAGAGGTATGTTCACAAGGAATGGAACAGAGCAGAGGCCCCAAATTGAAATCTACTCAGTTACAGTTCCAAGTAGAAAAAGGTTCTATTGAAAGTATGGGGCTGTTGCGTTTTTTTAATGTAAACTCTCCAGAAAGTACGACTCCATCGCTTTCTATGTAACTCATCTCTGAAGCCAAGAAGTCCTTTGTGAATGACTAATCACCCACTGCAGATTCAACCCACTCCTTCCTCTCACCAGATGAAGAAGAGAACTCACTCCAGACCATCTGCACAATATTCCTTCAGGGACTTACAGAGAGTTACCTCCCTCCCGCCCCCCGTCCTTGTTCCCGAGGCTAAATAACTTCAATTCCTTTGCACTCCTATCAGAAGGCTGGCTTCCCAAACTGTCATCTTAGTGTGGCGTTAGGCTGGACCATCTCCAGGTCCTTCATATCTTCCTACAGACGCAACAGAACCTGATACATGGGGCCCAGCACCAGGCAAGGTCTGTACAGGAGTCCACATCCAAGTTAAAATCTCTGCTGGCTGCTTTTGGAAAACAGCTGCTTGATTCACTGAGTATCTTTTATTCCTGAAACGCAGGGTATTCCAAATTCCTTTTAGCATGGTCAAACAAACTATTCATGTCCTGGAAAAGCACGACAAATAGCTGAATCAAACAAACGTTTGTGAACTAGTACAGGTCAGACTCCTTTCCTCAGTGCCCCAAGGAACTTACTCTCTGAATCGATGGGGTTCTGAGCAGACACTTTCAAACCCTATTGGTGGTCATGTACTTGGCACAACCTTTTGCGTATCCCCTTAGATCCAATAATTCCACTTCTAGAAACATATGTCAAAAACCACATATGAAAAAAACCACATAAGGATGTTCAATAAAAGTTTGTTTAGTAAAATCTAAAAACAATCTAAATTTTCAAGAGAAGAATGCTCAGATGTACTGCTACATCCACAGACAAACATTTAAAAGGCCAGTGCATGTGTACAGCCATTTACTTTATTAACCTCTACGAGATACTGCTGCATCAAAGAACAAAGGTGTACTATGATCCCTTTACATAAAAGGTGAGTGTTTGTGCTTACATATACACAGAGGCAGAAGGTCATTCACCAAAAGTGTTCATAGCGGTTGTCTCTTTCTACATGCAATCTGGACTGCTTGACTTTTCTGCATAGTTGTCATTTTAAAAATCATTTTAAAAAATAAAACTACTTTCACTTTGAAATAATACCCCCTCAGAAAATAATACTGCTAAAGAATCACTCCACTCTCAAATACCACTTATCCTTGAAATCGGCCACAGGGGTTTCAGACACTTCAGGCTTGTTAAAGTCAAACAGGAGAAGGGCCGAAATGATGAGCAAACTGTCACCACCACTGCTTTTAGAGGATCAAGTCTTTCCAATCCTTTCCAATAAGAATTCACTGAGAGCACAATTAATGGAATTGTAAAAGGTACACAACAGGGAAGGTAGGTTTCCAATAGGGGCCACGGGAAAGCAGAGGCCAGGCAGGAAATAAGAGAGTCTGGCAAAGGGAGGAAGACGCAGGCGCACAGCCACTCACATCCAAGGCTGGCTTGTTCCTGCACCTCTGCAACCTTGCCAAGACTCCACGTGCCCATTCCCTCACCTAAAACAAGGGCATCGCATCAGAACAACCTTCAGTGCCCACCCCAGCTCTGAGAGTCCAATTCCAGCATTCTTATAAAGTTACAGGTCCACAGACAACAAAGCCAACTTTACCTCTTCCAAAATTCCATTGAGAGCTGACCCCATGTCCTCCCAAAGGATAAAGGACGTGCGAATCTCTGGGCAGAGCAAGTCCCTCAAATGTACCACTGAATGGCAGCCCCACACACCACTGTGGAATCACTCAACTCTCCGTCACTATCAGGAGAGACCCAGTCCGTGCACATGCCCCTAACACGGCCTGCATCTGTCCCCACTGTTTCCTGGGCTACCACTCACAAAACACAAGCTAAGGCAACAAGGGTCCTTGGGTTGGGCGCGGTGGCTCACGCCTGTAATCCCAGCACTTTGGGAGACGGAGGCAGGCAGATCACAAGGTCAAGAGTTCAAGACCAGCCTGGCCAACATGATGAAACCCCATCTCTACTAAGAATACAAAAATTAGCCGAGTGTGGTGGTGGGCACCTGTAATCCCAGCTACTCAGGAGGCTGAGGCAGGAGAATTGCTTAAACCCGGGAGGCAGAGGCTGCAGTGAGCCAAGATCGCCACACTGCACTCCAGCCTGGGCAACAGAGCAAGACTCTGTCTCGAAAAAAAATAAAACAAGGGTCCAAAGTCTAACCACCATGGCATCTTTAGACACTTAAAAAGAAGTATGAGAAACTACCCTCCTCAGAGAATGACTGATCTTCACCCCTGCTGTGACCTAGAAATAAGAAAGAACTGACACTGTGCCAGTGACTAGGTAATTCTCAAATTCACTAAAATATTTCTCCCTCAAATTAATACTTAAGTAAAAGCTCCTAAACTTTTAGTTTAGAAGATCTTATCTACCTTCAGGAATCGTACATTTCTGCTGTAAGGTCTCCATCTTGCATTAGAGAAAACTAGTACTTACACAACACCACAGTAATATAACCTAGGCTCGTGGGCTTACAGTACTGGCCGTAATTTTAATTCTCGTCTTTTGGAAAGGAAAGCCCATTGGTATCTGTCTTTGCTACTTTAAGGAAAAGTGAATTCTTTAAACAAAAAGAATTCACAGAGAATTCTCTTTCCAATAATAATAAAAATAGCCATGGTGGGAGGACTGCTTAAAGCCAGGAGCTCAAGACCAGCCTGGGCAACATGGCAAAATCCCATCTCTACAAAAAAATACAAAAATTAGCCAGGCATGATGGTGCATGCCTATAGTCCCAACTGCTAGGGAGGCTGAGGTGGGAGGACTGCTCGAGCCCGGGAAGTCGAGGCTGCAGTGAGCCATGATCATGCATTGCACTCCAGCCTGGGTGACAGAGTGAGATGCTATCTCAAATAAATAATTGTTTGTAAAATGATATGTTATAAATACAGTAATAATTATTATTGTTATTACTACAGGTTGAGGATCTCTTCTGCAAAATGCTTGGGACCAGAAATGTTTCTGATTTTGATTTTGTGTGTGTGTGTGTATATGTGTGACAGGGGGGTGGATTTGGAATATGTGCATTATGTACTTACTGCTTGAGCATCCCAAATCCAAAAATCCAAAATCTAGAATGCTCCAAAATCCAAAACTTTTTTTAGCACTGACATGATGCTCAAAGGACATGTTCATTGGACCATTTCCAATTTCCAGATTCAGGATGTTCAACCTGTACTGACCACTTGCCTACAAGGTGTCAGGCACTGTCCTGGGATGCTTGATACATATTTTCTCTCGTTCAGAAAATAACAGTCAGATGTCAGCCTCTCAATTGTGATTTCACAGATGAGGAAACTGAGGCTCAAGAGATTAAAGACACTGCCCGGGGCTGGACATGCTTATCCACAGAAGTCAGCCAGAGTGGGCACGGCCTGCTGACCTGGAAACTGTGGCACAACTGCACGGCATCCGTTGCTCCTGCAGCCTCAGCACCTACCACACAGCGGGCTGAGCGGACAAGATGTAAGGAGGGAACCAACAAACCGAACAACCAAGACTGCACGGGTCCAGACCTTTTGCTCCCATATCACACAGCACAAGCAGACGCATCATTTCTTAGGAAGACTCTCCTCCCCGCGCCCAAGGCAGACCCAGCACCTTCATGCCTTCCACTGCCGCTTGCCTCGCCTGCCTCGCTCGCCTCGCCTCGTGGCTGGCACTCCGCCCTCTGTCTGCTGCTCCCCACCTTCTTCCCTACCCCTGCCCCATCTGTTGCTTAGTCCTTTCCAGGGAAACACCAATAAATGACGAGAGCTGATCTTAGCTGAGAAATACATACACCTAGGATTTGGAATCCCTTTCTGACTTTAATTTTATATCTACAGTGACACCTCCAGATTCTGTTTTTCTGGTAAGAGGGATTAAAATCTGTTAGGAGTAACAGCCAAAAAATATATAATTTGAAATAAGAAAATCAGGGCTCCAGTTCCATTTCTATCACATATTGGCGAAACCCTTTTCTAACTGATGTATTTCAGCAGCACCCTACGGCATTCATGCCATCATCTAAACTTCCTGTGCCGCTTGCTGCTCATCTGCAGGAAGGAATCCATGCCGCTGAAGGAAACTGAGGATAATAAAATTTTATAGTTTAAGCTGCGAAAATGGTTTCAATCCTAACACTAAGAATTCTGAGTACATACTCTTCTTGGCAAAATGCAAGTCTTTATCCAAATTACACCCCATTCCATTGTGATCACTGTTAAGTCTGCATTCCACACAGCGCTTGAGTAAACACTGGGAAGATTGTCTCACATATTTTCTTAAAGTTTCTCTCCTTTTACTTATGCATGACAAAGAATGAAAGCCCTGTGGGGACATGTCATCTCCCCTCCCTTTTCCATCAGCAGGCAGGCATCCAGATGGAAGGCGAGGCAGCCCACCAGGGGCGGAAACAGGATAGAGTGGAATCCAGCCATAAAGCGAATTGAAAACAAAGATGCCACTGGGATTATACATGAGCCAAAACTCTGAGATTCCTCAAAGATGATGAAAAAGGCAAACAAGATGGCTCACATCCACCAAAGGGTCACATCTTACGCCACAGGAAAATGAATGATTTTCTTGTTTTAAATCGTGGGCTTTAGCCCCAGCTCTACAACTGGTAAAAGAGCCAACGTTGTCACATAATCTCAAAGAGCCTCGTAATGTCATCTGTGAAACAGAGATAACAAGGTTACTGTGAAGGTACCTGAGAAAGGGCGAAATGCATCGATGGGAAGATGGTAACGCCTGGTATCAAAACTTCACTGTTTCAGGCCGAGTGTGGTGGCTCACATCTGTAGTCCCCGCTACTCAGGAGGGTGAGGTGGGAGAATCACTTAAGCCCAGGAGTTCAAGACTAGCCTGGGAAACATGGAAAAACCCCGTCTCCACAAAAAATACAAAAATTAGCCAGGTGTGATGGTGTACATCTGTAGTCCCAGCTACTCGGGAGGCTGAGGTAAGAGGATCACTTGAGCCTGGGAGGTCAAGGCTGCAGTGAGCTGTGATCATGCCACTGCACTCCAGCCTAAGCAACAGAATGAGACTCTGTCTCAAAAAAACAAACAAAAAACTTCACGATTTCCTAGAGACAGTGGATGCCAGGGGCAGGAGTTGGGGGCGGGGGGGGGGGGGGGCGCCGGCGGCGGGAGAATGGGAAGTTAGTGTTTAAGGGGGACAGAGTTTCCATTTGGGATAAAGTATGGAGCTGGATGGTGGTGATGGCTCCACAATACTACGAATGTACTTCATGATACTTAACTGTCATTTTAAGTGTATTGAACCGTACACTAAAAATGGTTAAAATGGTAAATTTTATGTTACGGATATTTTACCACAATAAAAGGAAACTTGGCTATAATCTGCTGGCATAAAAAGGCATCACATTTACATAAGTTCTGGCCCTAAAATACCAGCGAATTAAGTTGCTCCCTCTGCTATCCCTTGAAACATGATATAACCTCAGGCTGTCTACCAAATGAAAATATGTCCAGAAAATGCCTTGATCTAGAGTTGTATGTACTGCATGACAGCCCCAAAAGGAGTCTAGCTTGCCCTTTTTTCTCCTGAGCCATGAAGATCTGAGATACCCCTATGTTTAGACACAATGCTATGCTGAAGAAGGGTGGGGGAGCAGCACAAACGGCGCTTATCCATTTAGACCCCTTTAGCAAGCCGGCTGCTTGCGAGCTGGGCAGTGGGTCACGGCAGCCAGCGTCAGCACAGATGGGATCCATTTCCCAGGACCTGGGGCTCGCCTTCTCAAACACTCTTTTAGCACTTGCTGCAAACGAAATGCAATCAGTCTGATAGCTGCACAGGTCGCCCTTGAAACAAAGAGAACAATCTTTTGAAAAGCCAGGCGCGGTGGCTCACGCCTATAATCCTAACAGTTTAGGAGGCCGGGGTGTGTGGACTGCCTGAGCCCAGGAGTTTGAAAGCAGCCTGGGCAACATGGTGAAAACCCTGTCTCTATTAAAAAGACAAAAAAATTAGCCAGACATGATGGTGCGTGCCTGTAGTCTCAGCTACTTGGGAGGGTGAGGTGGGAAAATTGCATGAACCAGGGAAGCGGAGGCTGCAGTGAGCCCAGATCGTGCCACTGCACTCCAGCCTGGGCGACAAAGCGAGACTGCCAAGAAAGAACGAAAGAACGAAAGAAAGAAAGAAGGAAAGAAAATAAAAGCACAGCTCTTTCCACAGTTTTTTGAATAGATGCATATTTTAGCCTATCCGAGTCTCCCCTTGAAAAGCCAGGGAGATAAAGCAGAGTGTGAAACATGCTACATCCCACACGTGTGACTTCAAAAATTCAGAAGTTCAAGATTTCCACACTACACACACATCTACTCTCCTGCAAGCACTTCCAAAGACACATTAGCCAGGTGGAAAGACGCACCATGTCACACAGGGCATCTCAGGCTTTATTAACTATTGAATAAAGGTATGAAGCACTATTAGACACTAAAAAGGATAAAAAAGTAAAAGACAACCTTATTTGTTAAAGAGTTTATAATACAAAACACTATAACAAAAGGCAATATTCAATTCATGCCACAAAAGAGGTAAAAATAAAGTGCGGTTGTGCTTCAACGCATGGGAAATAGAACCTAGCTGAAGTAAATTGTACACTAAAAGAGCCCTTCAATGGCTTACTGTTGCTTTCACAACCCATTCCCAACTTCCCATCACAACCCATTCCCAACTTCCCATCACAACACCTTCCCAACTTCCCATCACAACCCATTCCCAACTTCCCATCACAACCCATTCCCAACTTCCCATCACAACCCATTCCCAACTTCCCATCACAACCCATTCCCAACTTCCCATCACAACCCATTCCCAACTTCCCATCACAACACATTCCCAACTTCTCATCACAACCCACAGGTCCTTTGTAATTTAACCCCTGCAGACAATTCTGGCCTCATGTGTGGATTTCCTGCCCAAATCCCATGACCCAGCAAGGCAGAGCTACCTGCAACGCTCCTAGTATAGCTGGCTGTTTTTCTGGCTTTTGCTTTAATTTACAGCACACCCTCTGCCTGGCACAGCTGCCTACCAGTCCCGTCCTGACCCCACAATAAGCAAATTCTCTTGAAAGTCAATTCATCAATAGCGAAACGGCCAACTAGCCCAAAGCCAATTCATTAAGGCAAACTTAATGTACTTAGTGACTAGCTGACTTGCTGAATCCCAAATTCACTAAAAAACTATCAGAAAACTACAGTCCAGCTAGCTTAACCAAAGCTCTACCTCCTTGACTCATGGAGTTGACAGCTGTTCTCTATTCCCTCTGTAAAATACCCTGAAATCCCTAAAAGGCTAAACATTCAGGGCAACAGGCTCCTCCCTGGGGTGCCCACAAAAACTGTCCCACCTGTTGAGTTGTGTATTTACCAAGAGTCAGCTTTGTTCTTTAAATTCTTATTACCATAATTATTTACTTTAATTTGACCATTACATAATAAACCAATGAAAAAAATGAGTGCCAAAGCCGAGTTGATGATTCTCTGAGATGCTTTAGAAAGGTTCAGTCAAAACAAACTAGGCAGGGCACAGTGGCTCATGCCTGTAATTCCAGCAGTTTGGGAGGCCTAGGCAGGAGGATTGCTTGAGCACAGGAGTTCAAGGCTGCAGTGAGCTATGATCGTGCCACTGCACTCCAGCCTGGGCAACAAAGTAAGGACCTGACTCTTAAACAAACAAAAGTACCTTAAAAAGCTATACAATTAGATGTGGGGACATCAACTATTAAAAAAAAAGACAGGGCAACATTCATAAAATTCTAGGAATTCTAAACTCAGATTGTGTTACAAAAACTGGAAATTACAAAGTAATCATATGTATAGATTACACAGAAAAGACAAACAGAACCCCATAGGTAGCAACACACCAAAGAATGTGGCCCTCGGTCCTACATCAAAACACAGTGATTTTTATAGCAATTAAGCATGGCTTAGGTGTCCAGGGAAAAATTACCTTGATACTCATGCATTAAGCACCAGGAGGGAGAAATTACCCACTGGCAAACTGTCACTCAAAAAGGATTCATTTAGGCTGGGTATGGTAGCTCACGCCTGTAATTCCAACACTTAAATCATTCACTTAAATTTAACATATTTAAAGCACATGTAATGTATACCTTTTTAAAATTTTCTCACCTTAACCAACATTTTTGATTGACCAGTTCTGACTATGCCAGTAGAAGGGCCTCATAAATACCTTAACCCAGACTAGTTTGCCATAACCATTTTCCTACCAAAGGCAGGAGCAGATCATAGGCCAGGGAAAGCAAGAGACAAGGAGAGAGGACGAGAGAGGGAGAAAGAGGATGAATAAGTAATAAACTATACTGGAAGAAGACAACACAGAAGTGAATCAATCATTCGATGGTTGAAAATGGTAGAAAATGCTGACTAGTCATGAGAACTCTTCATCTGAAACTGGCATCCCTCTGCTACACCCAGCTGGCACGTGAGGGACATGCAGTTTGGTCCAAAGCAGGTGGGAGGGCACTGCAGCAGCACTAGAGAAGAGTCCATGACAGTCACAGGACCACTGCTACTCTTCCAGCTGCTTCTTTTGTTTTGGTTTGGTTCTGTGGTCTTGTTTTGTTTTGTTTTATTTTTTGAGACGGAGTCTCGGTCTTGTTACGCAGGCTGGAGTGCAGTGGCTCGATCTCAGCTCACTGCAACCTCCGCCTCCTGGGTTCAAGCGATTCTCCTGCCTCAGCCTCCCAAGTAGCTGGGACTACGGGCACCCAACACCATGCCCAGCCAATTTTTTATTTTTAGTAGAGACGGGGGTTTCACCATGGTGGCCAGGCTGGTCTCAAACTCCTGACCTCAGGTGATCCACCCACCTCGGCCTCCCAAAGTGCTGGGATTACAAGTGTGAGCCACTGCGCCCAGCAGGTTTTTTGTTTTTTTTTGAGACAGAGTCTCGCTCTGTCACCCAGGCTGTAGTGCAGTGGCGCAATCTTGGCTTATGGCAACCTCTGCGTCCCGGGCTCAAGTGATCCTCCCACCTCAGCCTCCCAAGTAGCTGGACTACAGCTGCACACCACCACACCCGGCTAATTTTTGTATTTCCTCTACAGATGGGGTTTCGCTATGTTGCCCAGGCTAGTCTTGAACTCCTGAGCTCAGGCGATCCACCCGCCTCAGCCTCCCAAAGTGCTGGGATGACAGGCGTGAGCCACCGCACCTGGCCCCAGCTGCTTCTAACTGTTCTCAGTTCCCGCTCCATCTCAGAACATCTTTCCCAATATGAAATGTGATGAAATATAAGACCCATCACAGGGGAGCCAGAGATTCCAGACAATCTTACAAAGAAAAAATGAAAATAAGCCAGAAGAGGAAGCCAGAAAATGGAAGAACTGCTGATTTCCCATCTAGCTCTTCATCTTTTAAAATAACAATGCTATATTTCTGGACTTTAATATCACATTATATCTAAAAACAGCAAATGAGGCCAGGTGGGGTGGGTCACACCTGTAATCCTAGCATTTTGGGGGACCAAGGCAGGAGGATCACTGAAGGCCTGGAGTGCAAGACAGCAACACAGTGAGACCCTTTCTCTATTAAAAAAAAAAAAAATTAAACATTTGGCTGGGCATGGTGGCTCACACCTGCAATCCCAGCTACTTGGGAGGCTGAGGAGAGAGGATTGCTTGAGTCCAAGATGTTGAGGCTGTAGTGAGCTATGAATGTGCCAATGCACTCCAGCCTGGGTGACAGAGCAAGACCCTGTGGAGGAAAGAGGAAAGATGAAAGAGGGGAGGGGAGGAGAAGGGAGGGGAGGAGAGGGGAGGAGAGGGGAGTAGAGGGGAGGGGAGGGTAGGGGAGCGGAGGGGAGGGGAGGGGAGGGAACAGAGAAGGGCAGCATCAAAGCCCCCATCCACACCTAGTGAACCAGAATCTGCACTTTCAGATGGCCGGGTGGTTGGCTGAAGGCTAAAGTTTGAGAAGCGCTGCTCTGAGGAGGGATTAGAGTGCAGGACTTAAATATATCCTAAGCACTTGAGATATATTTGCTCTTTCCATCTCCTGGATAATCCTGAGGCACAGAGGTTACATTAATCTCCCCAAATCATATGAGGAGCCTGAGGCAGCGCGGGGGCGGGAAGCAGGCGGCCTTCCTCCTGAACTGCCCCTGCAGCCTACAGCCACCCTGGACTCCACTTCGGTGGACAGGCTCAATGCTAACAGTCTTCTCCTGTCTGAGGCATGCTTGCATCTGATTTGCTGCCACACCTCTGAACTAGTATTGTTGAGAAAAGTGTGAATTTGAAATAAATGTTGCAATCTCTGCCCCCTCTACTTATTTTATGATGTTGAGCAAACCACACACCTTCACTGAGCCTCAGCTTCCTTCTCTGAAAAATGGGTGTACGTACACTTCCCCTGATAAGAAGCGTTAGGGGTTCTTTGAGGCCAAGTTGTGGGAGTTAATGAGTTGTAATTTATGGTGCTGTGTGCCAGGAACCCAGTAAGTGCTTGTTTCCCTCTGTGCCCACTGCAGTGAGAAGCCCTGAGTCCCTCCAAGACTCTTGAGCACTGTGGCAGGCCCAGGCAGAGCGGGGGTGATCAAGAAACGGCCCTGCCTTCCCACCGTTCGTATCCTGGCAGAGAGATCATCAGATGATTCACACTGAAAGCAAACACAGAAAGAGAATTGCTACTGATTTTGCCCTAACTTTGAATGACACTCTGAATTCCTCGAGTAAACAAGTTAGAAAACAGCCAAATATAGAAAAAGCTGAATGGTACATAAAAGTTTGCAAATGAGGGAATCGCCAGATTAAAAAAAAAAAAACAACAAATTTGAATTTGAATGCATAAAACTAAAGTATACATTCCCGAAATATGTACATATTTTTCTCTCTTGGAAACAATATGGATAGTTAACCCCAGAAGAAGTCTAACAATGACTATTAAAGTTTCACAATAAGGTATTCAACTTCAGAATTAACTCAGAAGAGAGTCAAGTCCACAAGGTCTACAGATACTTTTGTCTGCTAAATCCCCTAATTTTTGTTTTTCTTAATCTGACGTAAGAAAAGATGTCTGTGGCCCTGTAGCTCCTGCTATAGGTAATTTATGGTGGTGTGAGGCAGTGCAAAGAAATGCTAGCTTCCTAAGGGGAGGCTACACCTAGAGTCTACCAACTAGCTATCACTCACAGCTTCTCAGCCCTAGAAATATACTCAAAGGAGTGCCTCGAGACAAATAAGGGCTCCATTCTTCCACACCGGGCTTCCATCACAGGCCCCTGGAGCCCGTAAGTACCCCCAGGCCTCCAGCGATGACCACTGAGATGGTGGGACCTTGACTCACCAGCCAGGGCTGAGGGATCTCCGGCAGGGGCATCTGAGGAGGGGCTGGCAGGCTGTTAGCGGTCTCCTGCTTCTGAGCATGGTCCTTCACATCAAAACCTGTAAGAATTAACCAGAACCACAGAACTGGATGAGGATGGGGATGAGAAGGGTACCACTAGCATCTATCAGTTCCTGAACCCTGTGTTGAACACTTTGCAAATATTTATTTTCTCTAATCCTTTACAACAGTCCTGCAAGGTTAGGTATTATTCTTCTCCATTTTACAGGTGAAGAACCGACAGCTTAAATAAAGTGAAAGAAAAGAAAAGAGAAAGAGAAAGAGAAAGGGAAAGGGAAAGAAAAGAGAAAAGAAAAAAGAAAAAAGAAAAGAAAAGAGAAAGAGAAAGGGAAAGGGAAAGGGAAAGAAAAAAGAAAGAAAAGAAAAGAGAAAGAGAAAGGGAAAGAGAAAAGAAAAAAGAAAAGAGAAAGAAAAAGAGAAAGGGAAAGGGAAACGGAAAGAAAAGAGAAAAAAGAATAAAAGAGAAAGGGAAAGGGAAAGGGAAAAGAAAAGAAAAGAGAAAAGAAAAGAGGAAGGAAGGAAGGGAGGGATGGATGGAGGGAAGGAGGAAGGGGAAGGAGGAAGGGGAAGGGGTGTAAGAAATGAATGAAAGCACTCATAGATGGAAATGGCGGCACTAGTGCCAGAGCCTGCATGCTCCTCAGTGCCGTGCTGCACCTCAAAGGGAAAGCTGCTCCCCCTCAACTTCTACTCAGGGCAGGCAGGACTTACCCATGTAGTAATAGGACAGACACCTTCCTGGGAATCAATAAATTTTTATTAAGTATCTTCTTAAAGTCAGATACTGTAATAGACATACTGTATGGAAGACATGACTGATACAAGCTCACATGTCTTGGGCACTCAGATTTAAGTTGGAAAGACAAACAGATACACAACAAACTACTAGGAAAGGTGATGAACACGATACCAGTGCAGGCAGGAAAGAGGAAGAAACAAGTTTTAATTTGGGCACAGTACTATTTGTATGCCTAACACTCATTTGGAAAGGCCTGTAAAAATACTGACTTAACAACGATCACCTATAATGGGTCCAGTACTACACTAGAGGCCAGGCATTGAAACATGAAAAGCCCCAGTGCCTGACCTCCAGGAGCTGCAATGGAGAAAAGAACTTCGTTAGAGAACTGCAAACAAACAAAAGCAAGAAAGGAAAAGGATAAATGACACACACACACACACAAAATCAATAGATAGGTTTAAAGCAAATTAAAGAGCTGAAGAAAGAATTCATGAATTGAAAAATATCAGGAGATTCATCCAGAAGGAGGCATGAAGAGACCAGTGCTGGAGCTCACTGGGCGGAGGGAAAAGACAGGAAATCAGGGGAAAGCAAGTGGTCATCAATACCTGACGTGTTTACTATGCATCAGGCACTGTTTTGAAATATTTTATACCGTCTCATTCAATCCTCACAACATCCCATGAGGTCAATACTACCATTAGCCCTTTTTATACACGGAGGAAACTGAAGTATAAAAAGCTTAAGTAACCCGTGAAAGGTTGCATGTTTGGTAACAGGTAGGGCCAGAATCAAAAAGGCAGTTTAACTTTGAAGTTCATACTCATAACCACCTATGATAAAGGGCCTTGTGGGATGGCCGAAGGAGTCTGGATTGTGACCAGAGGCAAAGGCTGACAGATCCAAGAGTCTGAGCAGGGAAGTAACAAAATTACTTCAGAAGTGAACATTTCAGGCCAGGCGCAATGGTTCATGCCTATAATGTCAGCACTTTTGGAGGCCGAGGCAGGCAGACTGCTTGAGCCTAGGAGTTTGAGACCAGCGTGGACAACATGGCAAAACCCTGTCTCTACAAAAATAACCTAGCTGGGTGTTGTGGTGTGCACAAATGTAGTCCCAGCTACTAGGGAGGCTGCAGTGGGAGGATCACCTGAGCCTGGGAGGTTAATACTGCAGTGAGCAGTGATCACACCACTGCACTCCAGCCTGTGTGACACAGTGAGACCCTGTCTCAAAGAAAAAAAAAAGTTAATATTTCATATTACCCCAGAATAGGGTCCCTATCCTGCTTTCTTATCTAAGTGGCAGGCCCCATCGCCCACCCAGGTTTCCCCAAGCCACCCACGTTCAAACTGCCACCAAATCCTTCAGCCCATCTTCCAGACTGGCCAGGTGAGCTTTCCAGAATGCAAATCTAATCGTGTCATACATGGCTTCATATACTAAAAGAATTCATGTAAAAGTATAAATGAACTGTACACTTTAAATGGTGAAGTGTATGGCCTGTGAATCACATCTCAATAAAGAGGTTTAAAAGAAAAATCCTCCATCTCATCCGGCAGACTATCTCCATAGAGTCCTCAAGATTCTCACATCCCATCATCCAGGAACTGCCCCTCGGACCTTCCACCACCCCGGTCTCTCACTCAACTGGTGTGGACTTGCTTCTCAGGTGCTCTCATAAGGCTCTGATGCTCTCCACAGCAGCACTTAGCAGGCTTTCTTATTGCCTGCTTTTTATTGTCCTGCTCACTGTGCATCAAAGAGTTAATGTAGCAGGCCCAAAGCTGCTCTCTCTAGAGGGGCCTGCTGGCAAGGCTGGCCCTGGCTGGCCTCTGGGAACGTGGATTTCAGAAGTGATCCCACCATTCCCTGATGGACAAGGGTGGTTCACTGTGCCTGTACTGTTTGTGTAAACAACACAGTTGTGCTGAAACCCTGCCTGTCCTGGAATTCTGGTGTGTGATAGGCAGAGGGTGCCTAGAGGACCGGACCCAAGTAAAAACCCTGGACACCGAGTCTCTGATGAGCCTGAATGGAAATGTCGCACAGAGCTTGCTGCGTTTTTATTGCTGAGGACAGCGTGTGCTCTGTGTGACCCTCGTGGGAGGGACAGAGCACACAGACGCTGGCATATGGGTTCCTCCATGTTCCGCCTACATCTTCTCCCTTCCGATCTGCCAGTCGGACTGTGCATCCTCACTACGGCTGCAGTGCGTCCTGCACACGAGGAAGAACAACCTGATGCCAAGTCCCGTGAGTCCTTCCAGGTAATCTCCAAACGCTGGGGTTGCCCTGAGGACTCCCAAAACACGATTCCATTAGCTCCTTCAAAGCTTTATCTTTCTACACCTGGAGGCTAACACAGAACTTGGCACAAGTGTAAACCCTCAATGAAAACTTGATGAATAAATAAGCTTGTAAGTTAAAGAACAAATAAATATATTTTAGAAAGGTGGTAAAATTAAAGACGATTTAGAAGCCAAGACACTGTAAGAAGGAAAAGCAGGCGTCAGAATGAGACTCACCTTTGGATGACTGTATTCTTAGCAGAATGTTGGTTATCACTGCCTTTTTCTCCCTGACAGTTGAGGTTAGATATTCATGGTCCAGGAGTTCAAGAAAGAGACGAAGTTCAACTATTAACTCTTCCATTGCTGACAACAAAAGAGGAAGAGTATTATTAGACCCAGTGATTTGCAAATGTCAAAGTATGAATACTGAGTCTTACTCGAAGCATTTCATGTTTAGCTTGATCATTGGATATAGTATTCTGACCTAAAAAACAAGTTTGCTGAAAGCAGGTCCACTAAAAGATTCAGGCGTCTTCTTCTTAACAAATGCACTACTCCTTTGCTTCTGCTTTAAGGCAGCAAAATTCAACTGGGAGAAGCTCCAAAGCCAGGCTGCCAACAGATGGTGTGACAACCCAAAGGCCTGACGTCATCATTTGGTGTCAATTCCACGATATTAAATTTCAATGTCAAGAAGGAGATGGGAGTTTAAAATGCCAAAGAGTTTTCTAATAACCAGTAGGGCATGGTTTCAGAAACTCAACACCCAGCTCTCTGCTTTTGCAAAGCTGGCTCCAGCCCAGGACAACTGTGAGCATGTTTATGCAGTTAGCACAAAGGAGGCCAGATGCCGAGGCTGGTGTAAATACAAGTTCAGGTGCTGAATTCCCACCATGCCTTTTCCTTCTAGAATGATGGTAGACTTGACTTTTCCTCTGATATCCACAAGACTGGAATGCTGGCTTAGGTCAGCAGTTTGTAGATGATGATCTTAGCCTCTGGGGATGTGAACTCCTCCTTTCAGGGAGCCCACAAGGCCCGAGGCCCAAACTATTTTCAGAATGCTAAGACATTATTCACCTTTTTCTGCATTAATGGTGTAAATGCCAAGGTAAAACTGCTAGCATCTTAGCACGAATCAAGGAAGTGACACCAAACTATCCTAGCGGTCATGATATCCTTCACCATATACTCACAGGTTTTTTTTCCTTTTTTTTTTTTTAAAAAAAAAAAAAAAAAAAAACTACTTGGGCTGGGCGCGGTGGCTCACGTCTGTAATCCCAGCACTTTGGGAGACCCAGGCAGGCGGATCACCTAAGGTCAGAAGTTCGAGACCAGCCTGGCCAACATGGCCATCTCTATTAAAAATACAAAAAGTAGCCGGGCGTGGTGGCATGTGCCTGTAATCCCAGCTACTGAGGAGGCTGGGGCACAAGAATCGCTTGAACCTGGGAGGCGGAGGTTTCAGTGAGCCAAGATTGCACCACTGCACTCCAGCCTGGGCGACAGTGGGAGACTCTGTCTCAAAAAAAAAAAAAAAAAAACCCCACTTTCACTTAGGAGTGTCTTTGAGAAAGCAGTAAAAAATAATGGCTTTTCTTAAATCTAACCTTTGAAGACACACCTTTTTTTTTTTTTTTTTTTTTTTTTTGAGACGGAGTCTCACTGTCGCCCAGGCTGGAGTGCAGTGGCACGATCTGGGCTCACTGAAAGCTCCGCCTCCTGGGTTCATGCCATTCTCCTGCCTCAGCCTCCTGAGTAGCTGGGACTACAGGCGCCCGCCACCACGCCCAGCTAATTTTTTGTATTTTTAGTAGAGACGGGGTTTCACCGTGTTAGCCAGGATAGTCTCGATCTCCTGACCTCGTGATCCACCCATCTGGGCCTCCCAAAGCACTGGGATTACAGACGTGAGCCACCACACCCGACCAACACACACCTTTTTAACGTATCATTGAATGACATGGGAAGCACGCATGAAGCCCTCCTGCACACGAAATACCACAGTCGTCTAGAGAAAAATCACTCTTGTGAGTGTTTGAGTTCCAAGCCACCCGAAGCCACTTGTTGCACACAGCACTATCTTTACTGGAGAGAGTGAATGACAGGCAAACTGCAATGACTTAGACTTGAGTACCTGGCAGACATGTTCTCAAGAATGAACACATGAGCTCATCACTTCAAGGTAAACAACTGATACCATTTGTGGCCAAGAACAAAAGTTGAGCTTCCAAGTGAAAAAATAATTTTTGAAACTTTGTATCCACCCCATAAGAGCTTACTGCCTCCTAATACTGGAGGCTTTTCTACTGAGATCAGCAGTGACATGAACAAATGTGATTTATATTGCCTAATGTCATATGTTGACATTTATTTGGAAGATCTGCACAACTCAGTGAACCATGATGTAACAAAGTCATGTATGGGTAAAAGATCCACCTAAAGAGCAAAATAAACTAAACTATTCTAATGTAACAGAGGATGGCACAGCTTCAGATGCCACATCACAACTAACAGTTAGGAAACCGCCACTTGTCAAGTTTTGGTGTAGTATCAAAGAAGAATGTCTACAATTTTCTGAAAAGGCTACTGAAAAACTTCCCAACTACCTATCTGTGGGAGGTCAGATTGCCTTTTTCTTTTTTTTTTTTTTTTTTTTTTTTTGAGACAGAGTCTTCCTTTGTCACCCAGGCTGGAGTGCAGTGGTGCAATCTCGGCTCACTGCAAGTTCTGCCTCCTGGGCTCACGCCATTCTCCTGCCTCAGCCTCCTGAGCAGCTGGGACTACAGGCACCTACCACCATGCCCAGCTAATTTTTTTTTTTTTTTTTTTTTTTTTTTTTTTTTTAGTAGAAACAGGGTTTCACCATGTTAGCCGGGATGGTCTCGATCTCCTGACCTCATGATCTGCCCACCTCGGCCTCCCAAAGTGCTGGGATTACAGGCATGAGCCACCACACCCAGCCTAGATTTTCTTCACATACTTCCACCATAATATCTCACACAGTCTGAGTGAAGAAGTAAATATGAGAATCAGCTATCTTCTAGGCCAGATACAAAAGATACTTGCAAAAGTCTAAAACAATGCTACTCTTCTAATTATCATGTTTTGGTAAATGCAGTTACTTTTCATAAATATATATTATTTATGTTAACATAATAGGTTTATTGATATTTTAATGAATAAATATCTTCAAATTTGCCAATTTTAATTCTAATATGGTAAGTACCTACAGATATAATCATATAAATAAAGCTCTTTAAGGTCTTCAAAATATATTTTGAGACCAAAAAGTTTCAGATCTGAGATCTGCTGATGTAGGCAATTACTTTAAGATCTTCATTCATTTATTCGTCACTTACCTATTGTCAGTCATATAGGTCATGCAGCTCAACTGACAAAAGCATAATGAAAATGATTCATGCAAAAAGCCTAAGCAAAAAAGTTTGAGAGCTGCTCGTCTGTGGGATTCTTCCAAATCTACTATTCTGTAAGTCTACAACATCCTTCGGGATTAAAGATCCATACTGAGGCTGCCGTGCACCATCAAGGCTCTCATCATTTTAGGTAAGCGGGAGAGAAATGGTAAATGAGCTTAAGTAGGTGGATGTGGCACCAGCAGTTCACTCTTTCCAGCTGGGCGATTTTCCCTTCTATGAAATGAAGAAGTTGGACTAAGTACACCTTTCAATTAAGGTCTTTTTCATTAATCAATTTCTTGATTCTAAGCAATCTCATCTATACTTTAAAAATGGACGAGGCATGTTGGCTCACGTCTGTAATCCCAGCACTTTGAGAGGCTGAGGCAGAAGGATCACTTGAGCCCAGGAGTTCGAGGCTGCAGTGAGCCATGACTGAGTCAATGCACTCCAGCCTGGGTAACAGAGTGAGACCCTGACTCTCAAAAAAAAAATGGAGGTGGGGGGCGGGACGGGGGGCTGATAGCATTATTCAGAATGTCAAAAGATAGAAAATGAATGACAAATGAATGGATAAATGAAATGTGGTATATACATACAATGAAATATAATTCATCCATTAAAAAGAAAAAAATTCAGATAAATGCTGCAACATGAACAAACCTTGAAAACATTATGTTAAAATAGACAAAAAGAGGCAAATATTACGAGTCTACTTATATAAAGTACTTAGAGTAGTCAAATTCATAGAGGCAGAAAGTAGAACAGTGGTTACTAGGGGCTAGTGGTGGGGAGAATGTAGGGTTATTATTTAATGGGGTTCAGAGTTAACAGTTTGGGATGATGAAAATGTTCTGGAAATGGATGGTGAATATACCTAATGACACTAAATTTTATACTCAAAAAGGGTTAAAAAGGTAAAATGTATGCTATGCATATTTAATTTAAAAAAGGAAAGAGAATTTGCTTGGGTTCCACCTAACAGCATGGAACTATCTGAAGAGAACCTAAGGATGCATCGATCCTAACTTGCCACCTAAAACCTGAGCTCCCTCTACAGTGCGACCATGAGGCCGCTGTGCAAAACCCTCCAGAGCCTGGGAGTTTGTCGTGGCCCTGGCCAAGGTATCTGCCCATCCTCTCCTCTGAGAACAGCAGCCTCAACCACAAGGGGGACTTTCAGCAGCCACTGCTATACTGCAAGGTCCTGCACACTGCCTCCCACTACTAGGTTATGGTTAATTGGACGGCCGGATTCCAAGACAGTCAATCAGATCTTCCATTCCTCTATCTTTTGCCTGAAGACTAAGAAACAGGATTCGGTTGGGATGGTCTCTTGAACTGAAAATATAGAAATGCAGCAACCAGGGCAAGTGCAAGTACACGGGTGCAAAGGACAGAAGCCAGCACTGGAGGACGAACACACAGAGGTGACACCCTCAGAAGCTGGCACACTCAGAGGCAGGCAGCCCCGCAAGAGAGGAAGTGTCTCAGACGCCGACCATGCTCCGAGGCTTTCCCGGGCCTGTTGTTAGCTACTCGGAAAACTGGGCTGCACTTGAATTCCAAGAAATATTTGTATCATTCTAATAAATTTTCATTTCATTGTATTGTTGTTAAGCTAATCTGTGTGGTTTTCTGTTCACCTGAAACTGTAACCAAAAGATTCTCAAAACACAGCTCTCTAGCGCCTCAGAAAGCGAAATACTCCCATAGCAGACAGTTGTAATTGTTAGAAAAGCTCCTCCTTTTTGGGATATTCACAGACTAAATAAACCATATTTTCTACTTGACAGTCTTTCCAAATACTTAATACTCATCCCCTCTTTCTTCCAGCCTTCCAGCCTTCTCTAATTAAACACCCCAGTTGGCTCCCCCTCACTGAAGTCTTCCCTAATTACCAAAATCCATTCCTCCTGTAGCAGCTGTACTGATGACTGGATACTTAGTGATCTTAAGGTTTACTTGGGTTTTTGTGGGGTTTTTTTCCCTCAAGGTAGCTAGTCAACTGGTTAAAGGCAGGTGTCATCCTATGTTTATCTCCTAACACCTGACAGCAGCCTAGCAGTACATTCTGCACAGAAAGCATGCAAAGGTTTTCAAATGAGTGACTTCCACAGGAAGAGAATGACCATTTTCTCACAACGGGTCCTGTGAAAGGCACTGTGCTGGCATCTACATAAAATAGCTCATTTGATTCTCACAAGAATGCAGCGAAGACGCACTGCGCCCCATCTACAGCAGAGGAATAAGAACTCCTGTGTCAGCTTTTAGTCTGCTTTTCTTTAAGCAAATCCTCACATAGTGATTACAAGTGCCAGGCACTGTTCTAAGCCTGTTACATATATGAACTCATGTGCTCTTCACAACATTGCTAGGAGGCACGTACTGTTATTATCCCCGTGTTGTAGGTGAGGAAACAGACACAGAAAGGCTGCCTACGGTCACCAAGCCTCTCCAGTTGATAATCTGCTCACAGTCATATAGCTAGAACATAAATAACACAGTAAGAATCTGAACTCAAACCTGAGTCCAAAAGCCCTGCTTTGAACATTTCATAATAATAATTCCACAGACTGTTTTCAGAGATAACCCTAGTCTGATGAGACGTTATACCCATTTTGTATTTAAAAAGAGCAATAGTGTGACCAAATAAAATTTAGTCCTCGAAAAAAATTAGGAAAATGAACAAGAAATGTCAACATAGACTACAGAGTAACCTTAGAGGTAGCACAATTCTTCGTTGAGCTGCCTGGCTCCCCCATATCGCCAGTTCCCAGGACGCAGGTGCAGCTCCTGGTGCATCTCTGTATCTCTGCTGGTGCCTGACTACGTTCAACATAAACCAAG